>NC_000011.10:121111818-121414848 GCF_000001405.40 Homo sapiens | reverse complement strand
ATTTGGTATAATAGCAATGTAAGATACCTGGAAAAGGATACCTAAATAATTTAAGTGGTAGCTGGAGGAACTTGCATCTCTGGATCTTGGTATTCTTATGTGTAAAATGGGGAACTTGGACTATCTCAGAAGTCTCCAGGCTTTCCTAGTAGAAATTGAGAAGTAATCCGCAAAGATGGACGGGTGAGAAGATGCAACCTCCAGTGTTCCACATGCAATGCTTTCCAGCTGCCTCCAGACATTGGAATTGTCTTACTGCAGGAGAGGTACATGGAGGGAAGGAAGGCTGAACATGAGGAGATGTACACAGAACTGATTATATAATTTGCAGGGCCCCTTGTTCAAAATAATAAGAATTTCAAGACTGCAATAGTAGAACATTGAACCAAGCATGGGTCCTTGTAAGTGTGGGGCCCCAGGCAACTGCACTAGTTGTTCCTTTATGAAGCCATCCTGAATATGTTACAGGCCAAGAGGCTGTGGCTCCCCATGTAATGAAAATTAACATAAGGCCAAGCAGGTTTCCTGGACAAGGATTCTATTTTGGGGCTTGTGCTAGAGCACAAGAGAGACAGCCAAAGGGAGATAGCAGAGGCAAAAGGATTCTCCAGCTGGCTCTCTGAAAAAAAGCTGTTAGGGATTATTATTATTATTATTATTATTATTATTATTATTATTATTATTATTATTATTATTTTGCCTTGAGATGGAGTCTCACTCTGTCACCCAGGCTGGAGTGCAGTGGAACGATCTCGGCTCACTGCAACCTCTGCCTCCCAGGTTCAAGCAATTCTCCTGCCTCACCCTCTTGAATAGCTGGGACTACAGGAGTGTGCCACCATCCATGGCTAATTTTTGTGTTTTCAGTAGAGGTGGGTTCACCATATTGGCCAGGCTGGTCTCAAACTCCTGACCTCCTGATCTGCCCACCTCGGCCTCCCAAAGTGCTGGAATTACAGGCGTGAGGTCAGGAGTTTGAGACCAGCCTAGCCAACATGGTGAAACCCCATCTCTACTAAAAATACAAAAATTAGCCGGGCATGGTGGTGCACACCTGTAGTCCCAGCTACTTGGGAGGCTGAGGCAGGAGGATCACTTGAACGTGGGAAGTGGAGGTTGCAGTGAGCTGGGATCATGCCACTGCACTGAGATCGTGCCACTGCACTCCAGCCTGGGTGACAGAGCAAGACCCTGTCTCAAAAAAACAATAAAAATAAAAATGAAAAAGTTAAAGAAAAAAAAGGAAGGTGGGATAACTTTGCTTGCTGAATCTTCTGGCTTCCTTCTTTCTCCCATGCTGGATGCCACCTTCCGCTCCTCCTGCCCTTGGACATCAGACTCCAGGTTCTTCAGCCTTTGGACTCTGGGACTTGCGCCCGTGGCTTTCCGGGGTCTCTTGGCCTTTGGCCACAGACTGAAGGCTGCATTGTTGGCTTCCTGGTTTTTGAGGCTTTCAGACTCAGACTGAGCCACTACCAGCTTCTCTCTTCCCCAGCTCACAAACGACCTATCATGGGTTTTCATGATTGTAATTGTGTGAGCCAATTCTCCCTAATAAACTCTGCCTTATATATATACACATGTATCCTATTGGTTCTGCCCCTGTGGAGAACACTGACTAGTACGGTGGAATGCAAGAAAGAATGCCGTAGTAGGGGTGAGCTGAAGCCAAGCTCCATCCCTACCCTGTCTCATGACAACACCCTGTATCAACTGGACCAGTTTAAAACAACTCATTTGAGGCTCCTTGTCTAGATGATTTCAAAACTCTCTTTTGGCTATAATAGAAGATACTTCAATCAATAAATCAATTAAAAGCTTTGCTGATCATCTATATATTAAAAAAAGTTGTGATTCTATGAGTAAGTAATAGAAAAAAACACATAAATGCAGAATTACTAAATATCTCTGAATCCTCCAGAACTGGGGGGGATTCTGGGATGATTGTGGCTTTGACTCATTATCACAATCTGTTTCAAAGAGGCCTGCCAAATAAGGAGATTTGCCTGCACTTTTTTTTTCTTTTTTGAGATAGGGTCTCACTCTGTCACCTAGGCTGGAGTACAGTGGTGAGATCTCGGCTCACTGCAAACTCTGCCTCCCAGTTTCAAGTGATTCTCCTGCCTCAGACTCCCAAGTAGCTGGGATTACAGGTGCACACCACCACGCCTGGCTAATTTTTGTAGTTTTACTAAAGAGAGGGTTTCACCCTGTTGGTCAGACTGGTCTCAAACTCCTGACTTCAAGTGATCCACCTGCCTCAGCCTCCCAAAATGCTGGGATTACAGGCGTGGGCCACCACGCCAAGCTGCCTGCACTTTTTAAACAGACATTTTATCCCCATTATCCCCATTTGTCTTTATTCAGAATCACACACATCCATTTACCCTTTCCTCTGGGATTGGGGTCAATGAACCACACTTCTCTTATTCATTTCGCAACTATTTACCACACTGGAAATATGTTAAGTGCCCCACAGTGTGCTAAGTTCTGTAAGGTACTGGGAGCCAGGCCCCAGCCAGAGATGACTGGTTAGGGAAGGGGAAGAGTTGGCTAAAGGCAGGGAATATCATGAGCCAAGGCGTTAAGGTCAAAATCTTAAACTGGGAAATGGCAAGGAATCCAGTGTGGCTAGAGTATAAGGTGTATATGAGGGAAAATGTAGGAGGTGAATATGGCAAGGGAGTTTGGAGCCAATAGTGGAGGCTTGTGAATGCCATAATAGTTAGTCCTTGAGCCTATGAATAAAAAGGAGTTTTTGAGCAGAGAAGTGCCAAGTTCAGAGCTGCCCTTATAGGGAGTTAATTTGTCAGTCACATCCAGCACTAAAAAGTGGTAGCTATTATTATTATCATATAATTATGTAATCATTAGGACATTTATTTAGAAAAAGTAACCAAGAACAATGTACAGCAATGCCATTTCCCTACAGCGTCCTCCATGTGGAGCATTATCAACTCTTCTTGTCTGTCTCTCCATTTAGTGAGGCCTTTCTTAATTTCTCAGTGTGGAGGTCTTGCTCATCATTCATTAAATTCATACCCATGGATTTTTTTACACTGTTTTATATATATATTACTTTAAAAATCATTTTCAATTTTTCATTATTAATACGTAGAAATGTAATTGATTTTTATGTTAAAATTCTATCCTATAAGCTTTGAAAGAAATAAAAATATTTTACCTCCAAATATTTCTTTGACATATTTTGAGATGGCTGTCAGAGGGCCAGCAAACAGAAGTGGCCCTGTAAAGCTGTCTTATTCCTTCCCATCAAAGAATAAAGGTTTTTGCTTTTTGAAATCTTTGAATCATCACTTTGGCTACATGAATCACTATTATTTCACAGTGAGCTGTGATCCTATTTTGAGCAAGTGTTTTAAACCTTTAGTATCTGACAAACTTTCCAAAATCAAAATTTCAGATTTGAAATTTTCAGGGAGATTTGCATCTGCAGAGAATCTGCATTGATGCAGCCAGGCCTTCCTTTGCCCAGATCTAGGAAAGATTCACTGAGAGACTGACATCTTTAAAGGTCTGAAAAGAAGCATTACCATCTATTCTCTCTGAAGACTGCTACCTGTGAGGTTTCATCTCCATACAAGACAACCTTTGGTGGCCAGGCCTCTTCTTCTTTCCTTCCCAGGACTTCTCTTGCCACCATCACCTTTTTTTTTTTTTTTTTTTTTTGAGACAGAGTCTTGCTCTGTTGCCCAAGCTGGAGTGCGGTGGCACGATCTTGGCTCACTGCAACCTCTGCCTCCGAGGTTCAAACGATCCTCCTGCCTCAGTTCCCCTAGTAGCTGGGATTACAGGCACGCACCACCATGCCCGGCTAATTTTTGTATTTTTAGTAGAGATGAGTTTTTGCCATGTTGGCCAGGCTGGTCTCGAACTCCTGACCTCAGGTGATCCACCCACTTCCGCCTCCCAAACTGCTGGTATTACAGACGTGAGTCACCGTGCCTGGCCACCATCACCATATTTACCATCATAACCTGCTTTGGGTCATGCTCTGAGCCGCATTCTCTCTAACCTCAAGATGGTATAGAAGCTTCTGCACCCCATTGGAGGATTGGGTCTTCATTCTGAAGGCTCCTATGTCATATAAAACTGTGATCAAATACATCTGTATGCCTTTTTTTCCTACTGTAATACTAGCCTTTTGTGAGTTGATTTTTCAGTGAAACTTCTGAGGGCAAAGGGGGAGTTTTTCCCAGGTTTGCCTCAAACTCCTGGGCTCAAGCAATCCTCTTGCCTCACATCCCAAAGTCCTGGGATTACAGGCATAAGCCACTGTGCCCAGCCTATAAAGTTTTATTAAAATTAGCTGTAACATTAATAATACACTGATACAAAGGTAGAATTAGGTTTTCTCTTTTGAACAAGATTTTTGTGTAGTATTAAGGGATAGTAAAATATTTTTTGGTGTACTTTTGCGTAAACTGAAAAAAAAAAAAGGTGGGGTAGAGGGAAGAGAGGGAGAGAGAGATTTTGTTTGCCTAATGGTTTCTATTAGGTCTTATGATTGTTTTGAAAGCTGTATTCCTTCCCATCAAAGAATAAAGGTTTTTGCTTTTTGAAATCTTTGAATCATCACTTTGGCTACATGAATCACTATTATTTCACAGTGAGCTGTGATCCTATTTTGAGCAAGTGTTTTAAACCTTTAATATCTGACAAACTTTCCAAAATCAAAATTTCAGATCTGAAATTCATTCTTTTTGACCTCAAACTAACTTTTTGAATGTTAGGGCCCCTAGACATCCAAGAGAGACATATTACGCTTATTTGGTATGTTAAAATCATATGGAAAGCATTATTAAATAAGAAATGGTGTTTAACTTTTGGAGGGTTATGTTTGTATAAATATGTTACTAATATGTGCTCCAAATTGTATGATTTCCTAAAATTCTGATGTGTCTTGGTATACATTATCAATAATAATTGGAATTATTATGTTCAATTGTTGCATGCCATAAAACAACGAAATGTTCTTGTCAATTGTGTCTGTATTTATGGCTAAAACTTTTGTCACTCATAGACAATTATTGTTTTACTTTGATTCTTCTTTTAAAAAAAGCAGTTTATAATGAACTACGGTCCAAAATTTGCTTTCTCTGAAAGAAATTCAGGGAAGGTCTCCTGAATACAGTTTTCTAACTTTGGATATCATACCATTGGACTAGGGAAAAAAACCTTCCAGGATTCTAATTAAAAAGCTGATGTGCTCATGAGGATTGCTAACCCAACATCAAGCAGAACAAGAGCTAATTACATGGGGCTGAACTAAGAAAGGACTAAAAAACTTTTTGTTTGATACATAGCTAATTCTTTTTATGTTTTGATTTCCAGAGTCAAAAAAAAACAAAAAAAAAACAAAAAAAAAAACAAAAAAAAACAAAAAAAACCCTTTTCTTTTGAGCTATTTATAGCTTACAAGAAATTGGGTAAAGTATACTTCGTGAGCAAAATTTGAAGCATTTATCTTTCTTTCTACCTGATATCTCCAGAATTTGGAAACTTTTTTGATTATTCTTAATTTAGGACAAGACAGCTATTTGCGTACATTCAATATGAATCTGTATTCTTTTGGAGGATTTGACTGGAATGGAATATTTTCAGATATGACCAGATTGCTTTGAGGAATTGAAGTTGACTTTATAGAGCTAATAAAAAACCCAGTTTCTTTGCAAGTTTCCTGACCTGTGTACCTTGACTGAAAAGGTACCTTTACAAGGTACACAGTTTCTTCACAAGGTTCCTGACCTGTGGTAAGTGACGAGTGTTACTTTCTGACGTGCCCAGGAACCTCAAGTTATTTTGGGACCTCAAGAAGAGAAGAATTTACCCAATTCATACAGGCATTGCAGACAGTCAATGATTAATGACAAATCCTTGCCTTGGTTTTATAGCCTCAAGGCTTTTAAAAGTCTAATCTGAGATTTCTTATGAAAATGTTTCCACAAAGCCAATTTGAGAAAAGCCTGTATGGTCAATCACTATTCTTGCTGCACTTTATGCAAATAACCAGGCCAAGTATAATAAGATAAAAACTTATTTTACAAATAAATTTGTCCTGCTATGATTTGTCTTTGGTAGAAATTTGCGGGACTGGGCCAGGTGTGATGGCTCACGCCTGTAATCCCAGCACTTTGGGAGGCCAAGGCGGGCGGATCACCTGAGGTCAGGAGTTCGAGACCAGTCTGGTTAACATGGCGAAACCCCATCACTACTAAAAATACAAAAATTAGCCGGGCGTGGTGGCACATGCCTGTAATCCCAGCTACAAAGGAGGCTGAGGCAGGAGAATCATTTTAACCCGGGAGGTGGAGGTTGCAGTTAGCTGAGATCGCACCATTGCACTCCAGCCTGGGCAACAGGAGTGAAACTCTGTCTCAAAAAAAAAAAAAAAAGAAATTTAGGGAACCGGAGAGAGAAAATTATGTTTCAAAGGAAAACTGTAGAACATCTGTTATTAGATTCTAGCCTTGTTCATTGTTTTTGAGATTTTATCATTTGCCTGCAACTTGTACTGGATCCTGAATTCTTTCCTGGCTACAAGTCTCCAAACTAATGTTGTCAAATTTTTATTTAATTTTTTTCTGACTTGGAATTACTAGAAATGCGTTGACAAACAACAACAACAAAAAAACTTTATAAAATATTTAAAGAGGCTTATCCTGACCCAATATGAGTGACCACAGCCCAGAGAACAGTCTCAAGAAATTCTGAGAAAGTGTGCCCAAGGCTGTCAGGTTATAGTTTTGTTTTATACATTTTAGGGAGACAGAAGTTACAGGCAAAAACATAAGTCAATGCATATAATGTGTACATTGGAGATGTCCCGGTAAGGTGGGACATCTCAAAGCAAGTGCTTACAGGTCACAGGTGGATTCAAAGATTTTCTGATTGGCAATTTGTTGAAAGAGTTCAGCTTTGTCTAAAGATTCGAAGTCAGTTGAAAGACATGCTTGAGTTCAGATAAGGGGGGTTGTGGAGGCCAAGGTTTTGTTATATAGATGAAGTCTCCATATAAAAATCTTTAGAGGGAATAGATGACAAATATCTCTTTTCAGAACTTAAAAGGTGTCAGAAAGTTAGTTAATCTTTCCTAGGTCCAGGAAAGTCCTGACTGTATTAACAGAGATTCTCTACAGATGTAAATTTCCCCCACAAAAGCTGGCTTTGCGGGGCCATTTAAAAATATGTCAGAGAAATATATTTTGGGGTAAAATATTTTGATTTCCTTCAGGATCGGCTGTCATGTGATGCTATGTTTGAGTCAGGTTGGAATCTGGTTATCTTCTTGCCACAAAGAGTCTATTCTGTCAATCTTATGATCTCTATTTTAATGTTAATGCTGGTCAGTCTTGCCTAAACTCCAAAAGGGAAGGGGCATAATGAGGCATGTCTGACCTCCCTTCCCATCATGGCCTGAAATTTAGTTTTATAGGTTTCTTTGGAATCCGCCCCCGGCCAAGAGGGGGTCTGTTCAGTTGGTTGGGGGGCATAGGATATTATTTTCAATTTATAAATTAAAACTGTGTTTTTCTTAAAGTCCTTAAAATCGAAGCTAGACAACTTTAATAAACTTTGAGAGAAATAACATCAACTTATATATAAACAGACTTCATGCCTGATGAGGTATGCAGTACTCAGAAAGTTCACTTGAATACCTAATTCAAACTACAATTCAAAAAAAAAAATCTTTCTGATTGTCATAGCAATCTGAAGATGCTTCAGAGACCAGAAAAACTATGGTACAAGCTACTACAGACATGGCCCTTTGTTTTTCTTCTGTTTCCATACAAATATCTCTTATTAAAGATCTGCTTGCCTGGATCAGATATAGAGGCCTAGCCCATCTGCAATGCCACCTCCTGGAATGGGACACAGCTGTTTAACTGAACTGATCTATTCTCAGGACTGAGAGACCGACTAAAGAAGAAATGGGACGTTATATTTAAATTTGCTCTTTTCTGCTTATCCCAATTTGTCTTTTCACTCTTTTGCCTATCTCTATCTAACAACCTCTAACCCAAAACTCTCCAAAGCTATCAGCGTTGGCTCTTAATATGTAAAGTTTTTTTAAGTTTCAAAGTAGGAACTGGAGGAAATAAAAATATTTTATCTCCAAATATATTTCTTTGACATATTTTGAGCTGGGTGTCAGAGGGCCAGCAAACAGAAGTGGCCCTGCAAAGCTGTCTTTTGTGGGGAGATTTGCATCTGCAGAGAATCTGCATTGATGCAGCCGGAACTTCCCTTGCCTGAATCTAGGAAAGACTAAGAGTCTGATACCTGTAAAGGCCTGAAAAGAAGCATTGACCGTCTATTCTCTCTGAAGATTGCTACCTGTGAAGTTTCATCTACATAACAAGACCACCTTTGCTGGCCAGGTCTCCTCTTCTTTCTCTCCCAGGACCTGTCTTGCCACCATAACCTGATTTACTACCATAACCTGTTTTGGGCTGCACTCTGAGCCTAAATTCTTTCTGTAACCTCAAGATGGTATATAGGCTTTTGCACCCCACTGAGGGATTAGGTTCATTCTGAAGGCTCCTGTGTCACATGAAACTATGGTCAAATACATTTATTTGTATGCCTTTTCTCCTATTTCTATGCCTTTTGTGACTTGACTTTTCAGCAAACCTTCCAAGGGCAAAGGGGAAGCTTTTTTTTTTTCTCCCCTACACTTTGCTAAATTGATTAATTTCTAGTAAGTTTGGGTTTTTTGGGTGGAATTTTGAGATATCATTCTCTAAATACACTCTCATGTTGTCTATGAATAAAGTCCTTTTACAGCTTCCTTTCTAATCTGTAAGCCATTTTGTTCTTTTCCTTGTCTTATTTCAGTAGCTAGTAATAATAGAAATGTAAGAGTAGACATCCATGCTTTGATTCCAATCTTAAGGGGAAGCTTCCAGTCCTTCAACAAGCATCCAGTCCAGTCCTATGATGCTGGCTAGTATTTCCATTTGTGTTTCTTTTTTAAAAAAAAAAAAAAAATTGTTCTCATTTCTCTTTTTGTTCCCCTTTTGTATTATTTTTTTGTCTGTTTTAAAATCTGAGCTTCCCTTTTGTTTTCTTTTTGTATTCGTCTCCTGAAGCTGCTACAACACAAATTGGGAGGCTAAAAACAACAGAAAATTGTTCTTTCCCTGTTCTGGATATTGGATGTTTGAAATCAGTATCACTGGGCTGAAATCAAGGTGTCAGCAGGGTTATGTGTCCTTCAGAGGCTCTATGGGAGAATCTGTTCCATGCCTCTTTTAGCTTCTGATGCCTGCCAGAATTTCTTGGCTTGTGGCTGCATCACTCCAATCTCAAAGGCCAGCATCGTTACTTTATTTCATTTTTTTGAGACAGGGTCTCACTTTGTCACCCAAGTTGGAGTCCAGTGGTGTAATCTTGGCTCACTGCAGCCTCAACCTCCCAAGTTCAAGTGATCCTCCTGCCTCAGCCTCACGAATAGCTGAGAATACAGATGCCCACCACTGTGCCTGGCTAATATTTTTTTAGGCTGAGTCTGTCTGTATCACCCAGGCTGGAGTGCAGTGGTGCAATCTCAGCTCACTGCAACCTCCGCCTCCCGGGTTCAAGCGATTTTCATGCCACAGCCTCCCAAGTAGCTGGGATTACAGGCACCTGCCATCATGCCTGGCTAATTTTTGTATTTTTAGTATAGACGGGGTTTCACCATGTTGGCCAGGCTGGTCGTGAACTCCTGACCTCAAGTGATCCACCCTCCTCAGCCTCCCAAAGTGCCGAGATTACAGGCTTGAGCCACCACACCCAACCTAATTTTTTTATTTATTGGAGAAACAGAGTTTTGCTATGTTGCCCAGGCTGGTCTTCAACTCCTGAGCCCAAGCGATCTGCCCACCTTAGCCTTCCAAAATGCTAGGATTACAGGCATGAGCTACCACACCCAGCCAAGGCCAGCATCTTTAAATCTCTGTCTGCTCTGTCTTCATGTGGCCTTGTGTGCATGTAACCTGCCTCTCTTAAGGATACATCTGACTGCATTTGGGGCCCACTCAGTCCAAGATCATCTCCCCTTCTCAAGACCCTTAATCAAATCCACAAAGGCTTTGCCATGTAAGGTAACATTCACAGGTTTCAGGATTAGAAAGCACATATCTTTTGAGAAACCATATTGTGGTCTATCATACTCATTATATTTATTTTTTTCATCTACAATGTCTAAATATTCATAATAACTTTTAAAGTCTTTGCTAATTCCAATGTCTGAGTCTGTTTCTATAAACGTTTTCCCCCCTCACAACTACGAGTTGTGTTTTTCTTCTTTTCATATATCTAGCAACTTTTGATGGTCTGTTGGGCACTGTGAATGCTACATTTTTTAGAAGTTAGATTTTGCTCCCATGTTGTAAATATGCTTGAAATCTGTACTGCCAGGTATTCATCTGTTGAAGTCACCTTGTCTTGTTGAGACTTACTTTTAGGTTTTCTTAGAATGAGTCTAGGGTAGTCCGTACCTTAGGGCAAGATTCATTTTTATTATTACTATTACTAATCGAAATTATGACATCAAGATTATTAAATCTTGCCCTAAGGTAAGGACTACTAAATTACTATAAGTTACTAAAGTCTCACTCTGTAGGTGTGGCTTTCGTATGATTGCAAGTGAATGCCAAGGATGTTCAACAAGCTCTCTGACTCCAGCTGGCTGTAATTTCAATGTCTCCCAACACTGTGTGATCTCCAGAATCTCTGAGGATCTTACTGATCCACCCTTGGCTATTTTCTGTTAGGTCTATATCAGTTTTGCATTGTACATTTCTAATTTGGTATTTTCATCAAAGACTCAAGCTCCCTAGGCCAATTTCTGGAGCTCCTTCTCTGCATGGCTTGCTACCCTCCAGGGCTGTGCCCTGAAAAGCCTAGCCACCTTAGTGGCCCCAACCTTCCATCTCAGTTTCCTGCATCTTTCTTTTCTCTTTCTTGTGCCTTAGTTTGGGAATCACTCGCCGGTGGAAAGCTGTGGTAAATGCAGAGCCAACCTCATGTGTTTTTATTCTCTAAAGGATCAAATCCCTCCTGTATTTGTTGTCTGAAGCATGAAAAGTGTTGCTTCATATATTTTGTTCAGTTTTGTAATTATAAATTAAGCATAAGTTTATTATCAGTTACCTCATCATGGTCAAAGTCAGAAGTCCAATATTATGAATTTTTTTATGCCTGCCATTTACTGAGCATTTGTGTAAGAGACAATATTTCACATGAATTTTTCTCATATAACTGTCATATAACCCTTTAAGACATACACTATATTTATCTTCCTATTACCTATGGGTAAATGAGACTTAGAGATGTTAAGTAATTTTCCCAAGATCACAGATTCTGTAGTTGAAATTCTTGGGCTTGCATACATCTCTGTCTGTCTGAAGATCCCAAGCTCTTAAGCGTTATATAATAGTATCATCCTGTAAAGGCTAAATAAATTTACCTTTGAAAAACACCAAGACCCAAGTCTGGAAAGTAGTAGAAATTCAATAAATCAGTAAATCAGGCCTACTCAAATTTCTAAAGTAACCATACAAACACTATTGAGTGAGTGACTGGTCATTGGCCTGTTTGATTTCACACCATTTCTCCATTTTTCTTTTTGCTATTCACTATTGCAGGAAATCACTTATTTTTTCCAGGTTTCCTTGCCCTTTGGATTCAAGAAATAGTAATTGAACTTCTTTAGGATGAAAGCAAGTGACCCCGAAATGTAATGCAAGTCAACATACACACACACAAGTGCAAGAGTAAAGATATGTAACTTTAAAAGACAGTATAACTATCTCTGTCTTCTTTCTGCTCTTAACTGATTTAAAAAGCAATTGTACAAAGTGATATGTATGTAATTGTCTTGTTGGGCTTATAGCTTATAGAAATGTAATATATTTGACAATAACAACATAAAGGAGGTAGGTGGGTGCAAAGCTTTATTGGAGTGAGGAAATGACAGCAGATGATATCCAGATTTGCAGGAACAAATAAAGAGAACCAGAAATTGGAAACAAGGTTAATATGAGAAATTCCATGAATACATACTAGATCTCCTTTCTCAGATTTTAAAACAGACAAAAAATAAGCGAAAGAAATGGAAGACTTGTATACTGAAATTACAAAATATCATTGAAGAATTAAAGACCTTAATAAATGAAAAAACATTCTATTTTATGAATTGAAAGACTTAATCTTATTAAGATGAAAACATTCCCCTAATTGATCTACAGATTCAACACAATTCCCTATCATAATCCCAGCTGGCTTATTTGCAGAAATTGACAAGCTGAACCTAAAATTCATGTGGAAATGGAAGGGAGTAAGAATAGCCAATATGGTCTTTAGAAAGAACAAAGTTGGTGACTCACACTTTCCAATTTCAAAACTTACTACAAAGCTACAATAATCAAAACGGTGTGGTGCTGAAATAAGGTTAAGGGTAGTCATATGGTTCAATGGAACAGAAGTGAGAGTTCAATTAGGGAAGAATAATCTTTTCAACAAATGGTGCTAAGACAACTATATATCCACATGTAAAAGAATGAAGTTGTAGCTACAAGGAAGAAAAGGTGTAAGAATGATATAATGGACTTTGGGGATTCTGGGAAAGGAACTGTGGTTGGGAGGGGGATAAGGGGTAAAAGACTACATACTGGATACAGTGTACACTGCTTAAGTGCTGGGTGCAACTAGAATCTCAGAAATCACCACTGAAGAATTCGTCCATGTAACAAAAAGCCACCTGTGCCCCCAAAAATGATTGAAATAAAAATAGAAAAAAAAAAGAATGAAGTTGGCACCCTTCCTCACATCATACACAAAAGTTAACTGAAAAGGGATTATATACTTAATCATAATAGATAAGACTATAAATCTCTTAGAAGAAAATATAGGCATAAATTTTATGCCTTGGATTGGGCAAAGTCTTTTTTAGACATGACACCAAAAGCACAAGCAACTGAAGAAAAAAAAAATTGATAAATTGGACTTCCTCAAAATGAAAAACTTTTTCAAAGGATAGCATCAACTAAGTGAAAAGCAACCCACAAAATAAGTGGAACACTTGCAAATGGCATATCTGATAAGGGACTTGTATGTAGAATATATTTTTAAAATCATACATATCAATAATAAAAAGATTAATAACATGATTACAAAATGGGCAAAGGATCTGCACAGTTATTGCTCCACAAAAGGATATACAAATGACATATAAGCACATGAAAAGATATTCATTACCCATCAGGGAATTATAGAAAAAAACACACACAATGAGATACCACTTCATACCTGCTAGAATGGCTGAAATAAAATTGACTGATAATAATAAGTGTTGATGAGGTTGTGGAGAAATGGGAACACTTTGTTGTGGAGAAATGGGACCTGTCGGTGGGAAGGTAAAATGATGCAGTAAGTTTGGAAAACAGTCTGGACATTCCACAAAATGTTAAACCTACAGTCACCATATGACCCAGCAATCCTATTCCTTGGCATATACTCAAGAGGTATGAAAACATATACCCACACAAAAATATGTATACAAATGCTTATAGCAGCATTATTCATAAGAGTCAAAAAGTGCAAACAACCTTAATGTCTATCAGCTAATAAATGGATTTAAAAATCTGGCATACAATGGAATATTATGCAGCCATAAAATGGAATGAAGTACTAATACACACTAACTTGAACACATTATGCTAAATGAAAGCAGCCAGTCACAAAAGACCATAGATTATATGATTTCATTTATTTTCATTTTATTTTAGAGCTGGGGTCTTGCTTTGTTGCCCAGACTGGAGTGCAGTGGCACAATCATAGCTCATTGCTGCCTCAAATTCCTGAACTCAAGCAATCTTTCTGCCTCAGCCTCCTCAGTAGCTGGGACTATAGATGCATGCCATCTAGCCCAGCTAATTTTTAAATTTTTCATAGAAAGGGGGGTTTTGCCATCTTTCCCAGGCTGGCCTTGAACTCCTGGGCTCAATAATCCTCCTCCCTCAACCTCCCAAAGTGCTGGGATTACAGGCATGAGCCACTGCACCAGGCTGATTCCATTTATATGAAATGTCCAGTATAGAAAAATCTATAGAGACAGAAAGGAGGTTAGTGGTTTTATGGGGCCGGGGCACTTGGGAAAATATGAGAAATGACTGCTAATAGGTACAGGATTTCTTTTGGAAGTGATAAAAATGTTCTAAAATTTATTGTGATGATGGTTGCACCACTCTATGAATGTAGTAAAACCATGTAGTTGCACTATTTAAATGGGTGTTATGATGGCATGTGAATTATGTCTCAATAAAGATGTTATATGTTTAACACTTGGAGGATGAGTAGGAGTTGACTAGGCCACAATGGCTGTGAGGAAGGAATGGGTGGTTGTCTTAGTCCATTTGTGTTGCTATAAAGGAATACCTGAGACTGGGTAATTTATAAAGAAAAGAGGTTTATTTGGCTCACGGTTCTGCAGGCTACACAAAAGGCATGATGCCAGCATCTCCTCAGCTTCTGGTGAGGGTCTCAGGCTGCTTCCACTCATAGAGCAAGAGGAAGCAAGAGAGAGAGGGGAAAGGTTCCAGACATTTGTCAACAATCAGTTCTCTGCGGAACTAACAGAATGAGAACTCACTCACCCCCTCCCACCTCTTGCCCCTGCCTGGGAAGGGTGGGCATTAATCTATTCATGAGAGGTCCATCCCCATGACCAAAACACCTCCCATTAGGCCCCACCTCCAACAATAGGGGTCAGATTTCAACATGAGAGTTGGAGGGGACAAACATCCAAACTATAGCCGTAGTGTTCCATATAAAGCATTTCAAATGGGAAGGCGTATTTCCCCAACCACTATAGAAGCCCATTTTATAGTATCTCTACTAGGTATCTTAACCTCTTCTTGACTACTTCCAGTGAATGATCATTCTATATTCATTGGCATAGATAGCTAGGCTCTGAAATAACTGTAAACAAAGCAATTCAGGAATCCAGTGAGCTAGGTGCTGTGATAGCGACATGTACAAGTGCCAAGGGAGTCTGTCCAAGGGAAGGGCACGAAACCCACTAAGTGCTCAGTGAAGGCATCTTGGAGGAACTCAGATAAAAGCCTTGGCTTAAAAATTAGTCAAAGCAAAGGAGGCAAGGGAACAAGAAAAATTTTCAGAGAGAAAAAGTATAAACAAAGGTCCCTGCTTGCTGGGAACTACACATCATTGAAAAGGGCTGGAAAGTAGAGTGTGGAAGCAAGGAATTGATGAGAGATGGGGCAAGAGAAATGAACAAAGGCAAGATGATGAAAGCCAGCTATATTTGTTTCCTATTGCTGCTGTCACAAAGTACCACAAATTTAGTGGCTTAAAATAACACCAATTTGTTATCTTATTGTCCTGAAGGTTAAAGGCTGAAAATGAGACGTAGGAGGCTAAAATGAAGATGTTGGCAAGACCACGTTCCTTCTAGAGGCTCCAGAGGAAAAGCCCTTTCCTTACCTCTTTCAAGTTTCAGAGGCTGTCTGCATTCCTTGGCTTGAGTCACTCTTCTCCATCTTTAAAGCCCATAAACCCAAACTCTGCTTTATCTCTTTTTTCAACTCCCACCCTCTTGCTCCCCTCTTATGAAGGACCCTTGTGATCACATTGAGCCCACCAGGATGATCCAGGATAATCTTTCCATCTCTAGATCCTTAATTTAGTCAACATTTGCAAGATCTCTTTTGTCAAGTAAGGTCACATATTTTCAGGTCCTGGGAATTAGGATGTGGACATCGTTAGTGGGGAGGGCATCATTTTGTCTACCACACCATCACCATCTTAAGAAATTTACTCATTACCTTAAATGTAGTGGGAAGTAATGGAAAGATTTTAAGAAGAGATGGCACATGATAAGATTTGGGTTTATAAAATATTATTTTGGAAGTGGTAGATGAGATGGAGAGAATGTGTGACAAGACTGTAGGCAGAGTACCACTTAGAAAGTTTCTCCAACAATCCAGGCAAGAAAGCGTGGCAGCCTGAGCCAAGGTAGGGGCAGTGAGAATGGAGAGAGGTAGCCAGGTGAGAAGCATTAAGGCAGCAAGTGATTGAACATAAGGGACAGGGAGGGCTCCTGAAGACCACTATTTGGAGGTGTCTGTATTATTTAATACTTAGATGAAAACAGGTCTAACAAAGATCCAAACATGACTTAACAAGATGGGAATTTTAACCTGGTAGAAAGTTCAACTAGGTAGAAATGCTCTCTTACTTAGTGCAATGTTTCCAAGGCTGAGAAGAGAAGATGGGTCCATTGTATTGGGAACTCAAGCTCCTTCTACTTTATTCTTGGTTTGTCTACATGATCAGAGAAGATCCATCATGACAACATTCAAGGCCAGAGTCAAGGGAGAGGAAGAGGGCACACCCCAATCCTTTTAAGGAAAGACCCCTCTTAGATTTTGACTGATCCCTCTTGTTTGAGCAAGAGGTGGCATACATCGTTGCTGCGTTTATCTCATTGACCTGAACCTAATTTCATGACCATAGTAAGGAGAAGTAGAAAATATAATCTTTAGTTGGACAGCCAGGGGCCCAGCTTAAACTTCTACTACCAAAAATCAATGGGAGAATGGACACTGGAGAGATAAGAGCAGTGTCGACCACAACTGTTATGGATCCAGTTGTTAGAAAGTTCTGTATTCAAAGAACTGTCTGCCTCCCTGACACTCAGTGATTGACCCTACACCAGCACTTTCAAACAGCATAAATCTACTTCAATTTCTACATGATAGCCCTTGAAATATTTGAAGACAATTTTAAGTTCCCCCTAAGACTTTTCCAGGCTAGACATTTCAATTTCCTTCAATTACTTATCATATGACATGTTTTTCAGACTCTCATGATCCAGGCTGATATATTTTATTTTTTTTTATTTATTTATTTTTTGAGATGGAGTCTTGCTTTATTGCCGAGGCTGGAGTGCAATGGCGCAATCTCAGCTCACTGCACCCTCTGCCTCCCAGGTTCAAGCAATTCTCCTGCCTCAGCCTCCTGAGTAGCTGGGATTACAGGCACATGCCACCACACCTGGCTATTTTTTTTTTCTTTTTTTGTATTTTTCGTAGAGACAGGGGTTTCACCATGTTAGCCAGGATGGTCTCAATCTCCTGACCCCGTGATCTACCCACCTCGGCCTCCCAAATTGCTGGGATTAAAGGCTGATATATTTTTAAAATTTTATTTTTATTTTTGTTATTGTCTTTTATTTTTATTTTTTGAAACTGGCTGTCACTCTCTTGCCCAAGCTGGCATGCAGTGGCGCGATCTCGGCTAACTGCAGCCTCTGCCTCCCAAGCTGAGGCCATCCTCCCACCTCAGCTTCCTGAGTAGTTGGGACTACAGGCACACACACCACCATGTCCAGCTAATTTTTGTATTTTTTGTAGAGATGGGGTCTTGCCATGTTGCCTAGGCTGGTCTTGAACTCCTGATCTCAAGCAATCCTCCTGTCTCGGCCTCCCAAAGTGCTGGGATTACAGATGTGATTCACTGCACCCGGCCTGATGTATTCTTTAAACTCTGATTTGTTCTGCCTTTCTTAAAACGTGGAACCAGAATATGGTGCATTAGGCAACATGAGTAAAATAGGACTATCATCTTTTCTGTTCCAGAGAGAGTTCCTAAATTAATGTAACCTAAGATTCTGTGTTAATGCTTGAATTATACTATTCACCCATGTGGAGTTTGAGATCAGTGAAAGAACAGCTCTCTCTCTCACACCTAGTTCAAGTTAGGACTCCAGCTGGTATTTATGCAATTCATTTTATAAGGTTAAAGGCAGCATGTGCACAGTTATCCCTACTACTTTTTAGGAGATGGGGTTTTACTAATGTTGCCCAGGTCAGTCTCATACAATTGGGTTCAAGCAATCTTCTCATCTCCACCTCTTTGAGTACCGGGGACTACAGGCGTGCACCACTGTGTCCAGGTGTATTACTTTTTACCTTACTACTTTTAACTTAAGGTTCTAGGATGTCAATAGGGTTTTATGACCTAATCTATTACCTATAACTTAGAGCATATATTTAAAGAAGTAAGAACATTTTAAAGAACCAAAATAATGATCAACTCTAGGAAAGACAAAAAGTTATACAACAAAGGAAACAATAATAGTGTACTACTCTTTTTAGTTTCCTTAAGAGTATCCTACTTAATACTACTACTGCTAATACTATTAGCTATACTACTTAATTAAAAGTATCCTACTCTTAATTCACTGATAGTGTACCACTAGTATACTACTATTAATGAATAGTAATGAATGTCATTTATACAGCTATAATAGTAAAGTACTGAGTACAAATTAGCAAAAGCTGAGATGAATAATAATGAAAGATGAAATGAGATAAGAGCATGAAATTCTCATCTTCCAAAATAGAAAGACGAATAGATATCTAAAATTGATGCACCAAGATATAATTTGTATAAGCAAATTATTTACAAGTACAGAAATAAACACCAGAAGAAATAGCTTAAAAATGGAAAGTAAGAGGTCTGGGGAGTGGGCTGGGGACAGAAGGCATGCAGGCAGGGGACAGCTGATTTTCCGTCTGTCCTTTTGCTACCATTTCACTTTTTTTTCTCTTTTTGCTATGTGCATTTATTACTTTGTAAAAATAAACATTAATTTAAAAAAGAAATTCAGTTTAGTTTGAGCTGCTCAATAAGCCCCAGTTTAGGAATCTATTAATCACTTTTATGTGTCATTACCTAACATCTTAATACAGGAAGGGGGAGGAAGCCATTTTCTATACAATTTAACACTACCTTTGGTATGGAGTTATCGCTTGTGTCAGGGAGATAAATTTAATCACCCCTTTGGTGTCCTATTGTTATGAAGTGACAAAGTTAATGCAATTTATTCAGCACTCTTGGAAGTTTCATTATTAATCTGTCACTCATGATAAGGCTCTAATTTTGTGAAATGACTTAATTTTTCTTCTTGGTTTTAAAATCATATTTATTCTAGTTTGCCTTAAAAAAAATTCAGGAATTCAAATGAGAAGTTCAGATCGAATTCCCTAAACTGCTTTAGTTCAGGGGGAAATAAAAACTTTCCTTGGTGAGAAAATTTGTCATTTACTTCTCCTAAAAAATTGGCATTTATTTCTACACTTATTTACACCTTTTATTCCTATTTTTTATTTACACTTTTTATTTCTATTTTCTTATTTACACTTTTTATTTACGCTATTTATTTCTCCACTTATTATAAAATTCAGGCGAAAGAATCCTTAATAATCACCCAATACAGACTCTTTATTTGGCACCCAAGTGAACCATTGCAGCAAGGAAGGTTAGAATTACATCAGTATTGTAATGATGCTACAAAGTAACCAGCTCCCTCAATGATCCAATTTTTTAGCTACCCATCCTATTTTGGTGCTTTGGATTTTGGCTCAGGTTGTAAGACAGCCTGAATGCTCTCTTACACCACGTGCTGTGGGTGCCTAGTTAATATTCCCTCATTCCGCAAATATGTACTTGGTTTCTGTCATGCGTACAAGACAGTGGATTGAATGGTAAGCCCAATTCTCCATTTTGAGAAAAAGAACATAGGAGTTTACATGAGACCTGGGACTCTTCACTCCTTTGTTGCCCTGTGCTGGGTATACAAATACTCCACGTGGCCAGGAAAAGATTGAGGTGTTCACAGCAATCTGTACTTGCCCTCCTGCCCCTAAGGAGGAGAGCAATTCTTCAGAAGAACACTGACAATTGTCCCCTAAATGGACTCTCCTTTGTCAAACCAAGGTTACCAGAGTTTGTGTGGGAGGGGTAGGGTTTTGCACAAAGTACCAGACACAGGAAGTTACATGTGTGCCCTTGGGATCTCTGCAGCTGTCTAGGTGTGCATGTAAATGGGCCAGGACCAGCTGCCTGGGGTAAAAGCTCTCCCAAGCATTCCAGTATGGAGTGGTGAAAGGGGGCAAAATGGTTATACGGACAATAATGCATTGGATAATGTGGAAAATTCGAAGTAACTCCTTTTTAGATCACGTTCTTTTTGCTGCTGTTACCACGTTACTAGCGAAGTATTGAGGAAAGAACACACGCTTTGAAACCAGACAAATCTGGGTTCAAATCCCAGCCTCCCACCTTAACCCAAATGACACTGCACAGATTACTGAAGGGCTCTGAGCTGCAGTTTCCCCTTCTGTGAAACAGAGATTCTGTCCACCTCATGTGTTGTATGTAAAGCTTTGAAACACAGCAAGCAGCCAATCAATGGGAGATATTAAGTTGTGTATGTGGAACACCAGCAGGATTCAGTATAAAACTTGTAGACAGGAAAGATGTCATCAAGAACATTTGAGCTTTTTTTTTTTTTTATTGAAGGAGTGATAATTTTTCTAACTCTTGGTGCACTCTCGCTCCTCTACAACTTGCAAACTTAGCCCAGATTTCTGACAGGGGCCTCTGAGTAGCCATTGCCAATCAGAGATCATGTTCCATTTTGTCATCTGTCCCCAGAGTTCTATCAAGTAAACAAGCGAACACCTCCATGAGCTGGGAACCAAGAAGTCTTCCTACCTGTGAACTACTTTTCGATGGTCTCGAAGTGGTATTTATTTGAAACCAGATTGGTGTACAGCATTGTTTGTACCCATCTTTCATGCAGGCTGCCGCCCTGCCCCACCATGGAAGGGAGAAACAATAGCCAGGAGGCAGGCAAAAGACCAAGGACTTCTCAGGCAGGGAGAGAAATGCAGGTGGTTTTGCGGTCAGGATCAGAGGGGACACAGGAAGGACTGCAGGACAAAGGAAGTTGCTGTTTAACCACTGCATGAAATGGAAACTGTTTTGAACTTTCCTGAGAATTGGACATGGAAAGAAAAAGAAACCAGACATAAGGGGAGAAGAAACCATAAAGGGAAACTTGAACATAAAGGAAAACTTGTTCAAGTTTTTTGTGTGTGTGTGTGTGGAGATCTCATGCTTATCTAAATTGCGGCAGCTTTCAAGGCCAGTGCAAATGCCCATGCAGCTGGGAAGCCCAAGTTATCCTGAGCTATAATCATTTGGGTAAGGGGGATACTTACTCCCTTTTATCCCTAGCTCAGAGTACACGCGCACATCCTACGCCAGCACCAAGCACAGTTATGGTGGCCCACAAGTGTGCAAGAAGGTCCTGGGGAATTGTGGCCAGAGTGTCTGGAGATGAGTGCTTGAAGCACAGACAGGGCCAGCAGCCCACTCGTGCCTGGTGAATGGCTCTAAAGCCCTAGGTGCTGGAACCCACAGTTTCTGGACAGGCACAGCACACTCATGTATCACCCCCACACCATGCTTCTTCTTGGGGTCTGCTGCCCCTGGCACTTACAGAGCCATGGTTCAACCAGAGTCCAGCTCTCAGGAATAGACACCCTCAGACTCAGGGTCCTTTTTTCCTATCTGCTTCTTGGTTTCCTACCCATTCCCTTTTTTGGCCGCACTCTCAAAAGCCCTTATTCTTCTCATTAACTTTTTTTTGTTTCTTTGTTTTTTTAGCCATAAAAGGGCTTGATGGATCTCTAAATGAGCTTGATGGTTGATGGTGGGCTAGAAAGTTTGTAAATCCTTGGCAACACCCTAATACTTGTTAGCCCCCACAATTCCTAGAAACTCAATCAGATCTCTTGCCAGAGTAAAACAATGTTTCCAATCTTTCTGAATTGTCATCATCCCCTAGGGATGGACAAAGGGACTTTTTTTCTAGAGAAACACAACATAAACAAAATAGAAACAAAACAAGAAAACCCCCACAAACAGATTCCTTTTTTTTTTTTTTTTTTAAGAGATAGGGCATCTCGCTATGTTGCCCAGGCTGGCCTCGAACTCCTGGGCTGGAACAATCCTCCCGTGTAGCTGGAACAACAGGCATGCTCCACCATGCCTGGTCCACAGATAGATCCTTAATAAACGACTGCAAGCTAAGTCTGGTGAGTTACCTTGTATATATCCACATACATTTATATAAATGCTCCTTATCTCTTAGGAGGGCAAGGAAATGCGTCCTCATGTATTCTACCCTTTCTCACATAGCATTGTAACTTACACCTAATAAATGCTTTCTAAATATCTGAATTCCTTCTCGTATCTATATTGACATGTCTTTATATGACATGTTTTCCAGTCCCCTCATCATTTCATTGCTATCCCTGGCATGCTCATCTATGTCTGTAGCCTTCTTCAGATGAGGCCCTTGGAAGAAAATTAAGTATTTCAGCTGTGATTTGACCTGTCCGGAGCATGGATTATAACAGGGCCATAATATTAAAACCTCTCTGTAGAGATTAAAACCAACACATTACTCTGCACCCTTATGGTCACTCAAGCAGTTATAAACCCACCTAATTATTCTTGGCTTTAACTCATCTTTCTCTATCTTGAGCACAAGGATACCTATAAGAGATTTTAATAAACACTGTTGAAGTCCCAAAACATTCTGTCAATTACAGTTCCCTGGTCTTCCCTGAGTAATGTATTAAGCAGGATATAATTCTGTCTACGTATCTTAAACAAGACAGAAGTTTGTCTTTTTATCATGTAAAAGTCCAAGCTGCTATGGTGGCCTTGCTCCAAGAAATCTGCAGGGGCGTAGGCCCTTGTGGCTGGGCCACACCCAGGTACTGGCCTCATCTGCCAAGTCCAAAGGGCTCACTCATTCATGTTTCAGCAAATAGCAGGTACTTTCCTCGAAGAGCAAGACTTAGAAGGACAACACTTCCCTTTGGCTCATATCCATTGCCAGGGCTTGGTCATGTGTTCTAAACGCAGCTGCAAGTGAGGCTGGGAAATTGAGTTTTTATCTTGATAGCCGAAGTAGGCTGAAAAGCGCCCCCCACCCCCAAATGCTCGTGTCCTAAACCCTGGAAGCTGCAAATATGTTACTTTACATGGAAAAGGGACTTTGTAGATGCAATTATATTAAATATTTTCAGATGAGGAGGTTACCCTGGATTGTCTTGATGGACTCAATGTAATCAGGAGCATCCTTCTAAGAGGGAGGCGAGAGATTCAGGTGAGAGAAGACAGAGGATGGAAGCGGAGGGGAGAGAGCAAAAGCCATCTGAAGATGCTATGTTGCCGACTTTGAAGATGGAAGGAGTGGCCACAAGCCAAAGAATGCGGGTGGCCCCTTTGCATTCTCTGTTTGTTCTGCTAAAATTTCTGTTACTATGGAAAAGACAGAGAACAGATACTGAGGGATAATTAGCAGTCTCTACCATGACTCTTTGTGTGTGTGTGGTGATCTCGTGCCTATTCCTGAAGATCACCTCTTTCACTTTAAGTGGCTCACACATTCTTTTTAAAAATCCCATGGGCCGGGCACGGTGGCTCACAACACCAGCACTTTGGGAGGCCGAGGCAGACAGATCACGAGGTCAGGAGTTCAAGACCAGCCTGGCCAACATGGTGAAACCCCTTCTCTACTGAAAATACAAAAATTAGCCGGGCAGGTGGTGCACGCCTGTAATCCTAGCTACTCAGGAGGCTGAGGCAGGAGAATTGCTTGAACCCGGGAGACAGAGGCAGCAGTGAGCTCAGATCACGCCACTGCACTCCAGCCTGGGCGACAGAGCGAGACTCTGTCTCAGAAACAACAACAACAACAACACCACATCCCATGGTTTATCTTGCTTGGGTGCATTGCCAAAAAACAAAACAAAAAAACAAAAAACAAAAAAAACAGGTCTGTAGCTCCAGGAATCTTCTCTATTTCTGAAATAATTATTTTCCAGTACTTCTTTTTTTTTTTTTTTTAAGATGGAGTTTTGCTCTTGTTGCCCAGGCTGGAGTGCAATGGCGCAATCTCGGCTCACAGCAACCTCCACCTCCTGGGTTCAAGCCATTCTCCTGCCTCAGCCTCTGGAGTAGCTGGGATTACAGGCATGTGCCACCACGCCCAGCTAATTTTGTATTTTTAGTAGAGACGGGGTTTCTCCATGTTGGTCAGGCTGGTCTCGAACTCCAGACCTCAGGTGATCCGCCCGCCCTGGCCTCCCAAAGTGCTGGGATTACAAGTGTGAGCCACTGCGCCTGGCCTCCAGTACTTCTTTTAATGTTCCTGATGCATCAGAGATAACCAACTGGAGTCCAACCATCTTACTTACACATTATCTTGGTATTTGGAGGTGTAATTTGCATGGACTCAAAACTTGAAGCCATTAAAGGATTAAGGTGTTTCACAGTTCACTCATGCATCTTGGAACATCTATTCCCACCTGTGAATGGTTATTCATCATTTTCAGTCAAAAGATCATCTTCTGAGACAGAATTCAGAAACTACATAGATGCTGAGGAGTTCTGCTTTCTTTATGTCACCCATCAGCATCCAGCAACAGATTTTGAAGTTCTAGCTTAAATTACCTTTGATGGTATCACCTCACCTCTACAGGATTGATGGAAGTGGGAGCCACTGCTGTTCTTTCTTCCCCATCCAGAAAAATGCAAGGGATTCTGATTTCTCTACAGGCCTCTTAGCAATTGTCTAATTGCCTTCCTAGAGAGTTCAAATGCCTCCGTTTCCAAGCCTCCATGCCCTTTAGGCCTCTGCTGTCCATACTAGCAATAGTTTCAGGATTGCTAAAACTGATGCGTCGGCTCACCTTAGCTCACCCAAGACCCACCACTTCTAAGAGTATTTGTTCTCAGAGAAACAGCTTATGGGATGACAGCCAGGATAATGAGAAAATCGAATAATTCTAAGGCTTACGGTTTCCAAGAGATGAGCATATTTCTTTGTTTTGTTCTCCTCACCTGCTCTGTGTTCTCTCTGCCAATACTCCCTCTGCCCCAGATTTGTTGGCAGTCAAGGCAGGAGCCAACTGCCTGCCGAGGCGTCCTCATTAAAATGCACTGCTCTTGCTAATTAGGAGCCAAGGTTCTCCCACGGTGGGCTTGGCCTGGATATTGCCATTATCTTCATAAATAGACTCTTTACTTTGCAAATGGTGCTGTCATACCCAGGCATTCCCGACCTGGCAAATGCTCTGTGCATTCTTAAGTGGCGGAGGGAATGTGTTCGCAAGAGAAGGCAGAGGCATTCATGCTGAAGCAGGGCTCTGTCCTGAGCTCACCCCGCTGTCTGGGCAGCAGGCAGCCAACACAATGGCTGACTCTGCATGTACAACCACAATGGGAAGCAACATACGGCCCAGATTTGCTGGGAGATCTTATTTCCTGCCATTTTAATCTTTACAGCAAGGACGACTTGTTAAATGCATAAAATGCATAAATATTTTTTCAGTGATCAAATTGTTTTACCTTGGAAAAGAGCATTCCTATCAATAAATTCACAAATCAGAGGAAGAAAATCAGATGAGTTTTTAGTTTCCAAATATGCCCTTATGCGATCTCATCTCTGAGAATGTGTTTACTTATTTAATTTCCTTCGCTTACAAAACTCTTTCTCTACAATTTCTGCCTGTCTGATGCTAAACTGCCATTGCTAGTCTAGCTCTTTCACAGGACCTGTTTTGATTCCCTCAACTAAATGTAACCTCTTTCTCTCCTGCGCTATCAAAGTATGTTTATGATTATTTACCATTACAGCTACCCCTTGTGGAGTGCTGGCCCTCCCAGGAGCCATGCCGAGTACTTTTTACACGTTATCTCTAATCCTCACAGGGAACCTGCAACCGGGGTGTTATCCCTATTTTATAGATGAGAAAAATGAGGCTCAGTGACATTGAGAAACTTGTCCAAGATACTCCTTGGCAAGAAGTAGAGCAAGGCTGAGAGCTCTGAGTTACAGTTCTCCTCTCCTTTTACCAGATTGAGGCTCCTAAAGGAAAAGATTCTGTCTCTGTCATCTCGGCATTTTCTTTCTGCCATTAGGTGTTCAAGAGTAATGAATCAAGGAAACAGACTCCTTGATTACAATCTAATTAGGGTAATAAGACATGTTGCCAAGAAAAATAGCTATATTAGTTGGTAGTCTAGAAGTATAATTGCTACAAGCATATACCTTCTGCAGGTGAACTCACTTTCTACAAAAGTTACCATTAAAAGGTTCATATACTCTGATGAGGTTATAAGACAAGTTGTTAGCCCCCACCACTAATACCAGTGCTATAATTAAGCATGTCTCAAACTTTAATATGCCCTTGAACCATCTCAGCATCTTACTTAAAAGCACATTCTGATGCAGGTCTGGAGTGGGACTCAAGTATGGACATTTCTAACAAGCTCCCAGGTGATGTTGCAGCTGCTGGTCTGCTGGCCATACTTTGAGTAGCAGGGATATAAGAGACTGTACTATAAACTATATCATTGAGACAACCTGGAATGTTTCACTTCTTACTAGTCTCTTGCCTACAGGCCTCCATGCCTTTCCCTATGTTGCCCCCTTTACCTGGAAATCCCTCGCACATCCTTTCACCTGACAAACTTGCATTCATTTTTTAAGACAGCTCAGAGGTCATTGTCAGTAAATTTTGCTGAACCTGTAGATAGGGTTGAGTGCCCCTTTCCTGTGTGTTCATGACGGTCAAGGCACACTTCAGTTCTGTCCACCTGCTTCTTTTTAAAAAAAATTTTTTTATTGTAATAGGTTATTGAGGAACAGGTCGTGCTTGGTTACGTGATTAAGTTCTTTAGTGGTGATTTCTGAGATTTTGGTGCACCCATGACCTGAGTACACACAATTTGTAGTCTTTTATCCCTCACCCACTTCCCACCCTTTCCCCCTGAGTCCTCAAAGTCCATTGTGTCATCTCTTATCCCTTGGCATCCTCATAGCTTAGCTCCCACTTATGAATGAGAACATACAATGTTTTGTTTTCCATTCCTGAGTGACTTCATTTAGAATAATAGTCTCCAATGTCATCCAGGTCACTGCGAATGCCATATATATATATATATATATATATATATATATATATATATATATCTCACAGTTTCTTTATCCACTTGTTGATTGATGGGCATTTGGGTTGGTTCCACGTTTTTGCAATTGCAAATTGTGCTGCCATAAACATGCATGTGCAAGTATCTCTCTTGCGCAATGACTTCTTTTCCTCTGGGTAGATACTCAGTAGTGAGATTGCTGGATCAAATGGTTGTTCTACTTTTAGCTCTTTAAGGAATTTCCACACTGTTTTTCATAGTGGTTGTACTAGTTTACATTCCCACCAGCAATGTAGAAGTGTAAGCTTTTTAACCACATCCACGCCAACATCTATTATTTTTTGATTTTTTGATGACGGCCATTCTTGCAGTAGTAAGGTGTCCACCTGCCTCTCCACATGACTATCCATTCCTTGTGGTCAGGGGCCATGTATGACCATGGGTGAATGATCAGACACATGATGGGTGTTCTTTAACAAGCTGAGCTTACAACAGGGACTGAGGAGTTGTATGGGGGAGGCAACAATTTACCTCTACCCTCTTAGGGTTTTTCAGCTGGGCCTAAGAATTAAATTGACATAAGACACATCAACAGGAGAAAAGCAAACAAATTTATTTAATAAAGTTTTCCATGGCACAGGAGCCTTCATAAGGAAACAAAGAGCCAAAGACACAGAGTTGAACATTTACATGCTGACCAGGACAAAGAGTAGTAAATTATGAAAATGCGACAAGGCAGAGGAGATTGGGCTAGAGTAGTTGTTGGGTGGAGAAGTAGCTAGGCATCTAGGTTTAGTCTAACAAGATTTGTTTATATAGATTCCCTTCCACCTCAACTTTTTGTCCTTGATGATGAGAATGATACTTTCCTTCTGGTATCGGGAGGACATCTTTCACATGGGAATTTCCTCTCCTTCTTTTAAGAAACAGAAGCAAAGTCAGAGTGATCTTCTCGCACCTGCTGGTTTTTGTTTTTGTTTTGTTTTTTAAGATGGAGTCTCGCTCTGTGGCCAGGCTGGAGTGCAGTGGCGCGATCTCAGCTCACTGCAACCTCCGCCTCCTGGGTTGAAGTGATTCTCCTGCCTCAGCCTCCCCAGTAGCTAGGACTACAGGCACACGCCACCATGCCCGCCTAATTTTTGTATTTTTAGTAGAGACGTGGGTCTCACCATGTTGGCCAGGATGGTCTCAATCTCTTAACCTCATGATCACCCGCCTCGGCCTCCCAAAGTGCTGGGATTACGGGCATGAGCCACTGCGCCCAGCCGAACCTGCTGTTTTTAATGTCCCTTTAATTCAACATAGTCAGTATGTCAGAGAAACATATTACAGACAGTGAGAAGGCAACAGTATAGTACTAGAGGTGGGAAGGAAAGAAGCTAAGACAGCCATAGAGTTCCGTACCTGTCATCTACTGCCACAGTAATGCTACATAAAAAATGGTCATGAAATCCAGTGGCTTCAAACAATAAGCTTTTATTTAACTCATGAATGTATAGGTCAGCTGGGCAGTTCTGATCCCAGATAGACTCCCTTGTGTCTTTGTGCTCAGTTTGCAGGTCAGCTTCAGGGTAGCTTTGCAAATCTTAGCTGGGCTCTCTCACATGTCCAGGACCCCAGCCTGGGTCCATGTAGTCTCTCATCCCAACAGACTAGTCCAGGTTTTGACTCATGGCCAAGGCAGATTTCAAGAAAGGGAGTAAAGTTTCCATGACCCTTTAATGCCTAGGCTTGGACAGGCACATCTTACACCATTACTTTTGCTTCATTGCATTGGCCCAGCAATCCAAAAGGCCAGCCCAAGTCAAGAGGCAGCGAAGTAGACTCTACCTCCTGATAAGAAGAGCTACGAGCTGAATTGTAACAACAAGGTTACAAGGATGGGAATAATCAGGGCCATTTTTGCAATCAACTGCCATAGTTTTACATTGATTTAGACTCTGTGCAAATGCCAGGGCACTGTTGCAATGGGTCTTAACTTTAATGCTGTCAACTTCAGGAGGCTGCTGGGCTGCAAACCCGGGCCACTGTTCATTATTTGCACATCAGTCACCCAAAGCAAATGTTCTTTTCTAGACTGTCTTCTTAGCTGCTTCCTCCTACTGTCCAGCTGGTGTGTGTTCATTTAATTCAGACTTGGTCTAAAATTAGGGTGAGCAAAACATGATTAGAGAGGCAAATCTGTTGGAAAAAAAAGTAAAACCAAACTAAAACTAAATTTAAATACTTTTAAGTTAGCTCCATTCATATTACCTCTGTTCCCAAAATCAATGTAGACACTTGAGTTGTTCATGTGTACGTGTATTTTTAATTTAATATTTTGAATACGTAATACATTAACTAAAGTTTAAATGATTGCATGTGAATCTTCCTTCATATCCTCTGCCCTAGTCACTTAGTTCTCCTCAGAGGCAAATAATGTTATTTTTATGGGTATTTCAGAAATGCACATATAATTAGATATAAACAAATACATACATATGTTCTCTCTTTGATTCTGTTTTGCTTTTATTTTTTCAATTAACATCTTATCCATAAAGATCTTTCCAAATCAAGGCATAAATACTTTCTCATTCTTTTGTAGGTCTGCATACTTTTCCATTGTATAGATGTATCATAACTCATTTCATCAGTACCCTATTGATAGCTATTTAATTTGTTTCCATTCTTTTGCTATAGTATAATTAAATCTAGAGAGGAGAGGGCTTGTAACACAGTGATGAATTCCAAAATTTGGCCTTATAAGTGGATTGATGACAATGACTGCTCTATTGTCTCCTGATTGGAGTCTTTGTCTTAGTTTGTCATCTTGTGATATGAAAAACAAACAGAAAATTCCATGAAGACCTTGGTTTTGGCATGTGCCCTGCATTTTTGGAACTTTATGTTCTAAAAGACTTCTAGAGGAAGCCATATGGGATAGTGGAGAGATGGGAAGGAAGCAGAATGATATGATTAAAAATATAATCAGCTGGCCAGGTGCAGTGGCTCATGCCTGTAATCCCAGTACATTGGGAGGCCAAGGCGGGAGGATTGCTTGAGGCCAGGAGTTCAAAACCAGCAACACAGCGAGATCTCATCTCCACAACTTTTTTTTGAGTTAGCTGGGCATGGTGGTGTGCACCTGTAGTCCTAGCTATTCAGGAGGCTGAAGCTGAAGGATCGCTTGAGCCCATGATTTAGAGGCTGATTTTATATTATATAAAATAAGCTATGTTGCATTTTCAAAGGGCTGTTGAGAACTGTTCAGGGGAAATGCAGTTTGTCAGGTGTCTCTTCACACTTAGGGCTCTGCCATGTCAGCCAGCTGTGCGTTGCTGCTGTGGTGCTTTCTGTTCCAGGGAGTGAAATGGAGCTGTGCAGAACGGGCATCCTGAAAAAACTGTGATGCGGCCATGATAACTGGATTCTTAGGGATCCTAGAAAAACTCAGAATAGCCTAAATCAGGGGTCCTCAACCCCCGGCCACTGACCAGTACCCATCCGTGGCCTGTTGGGAACCGGGCCACACAGCAGGAGTTGCGCTGTGGGCCAGCAAGCATTACAGCCCGAGCTCCGCCTCCTGTCAGATTCTCATAGGAGTGCAAACCCTATTGTGAACTGAGCATGCGGGATCTTGTGCACTCCTTATGAGATTCTAATGCCTGCTGATCTAAGACGGAACGGTTTAATCTCAAAATCATCCCCTCCCGCCTCCCCCACCCCATATCCGTGGAAAAATTGTCTTCCGCAAAACCGGGTCCCTGGTACCAAAATAAAATGGTGAACGCTGGCCTAAATGACACAGTCACCACCTAAGATGCTAGGAGGCCACTGGTATCTTCATTTATCCAGCACCACAGTGTACACCAATTGTTTCCAAATGCTAGCTCGTGTACCTGCTGCCTCAAAATCACCCCAGATCTTTTGTAGAGCCCCAACTTATCAGACTCATGGAATCAGCCTCTCTGGAATCTAAAATAAGCTCGCTAGGTGACTCGGAAGCATCGTCAGGACTGGGAACTCTACCAAGGCAACAGTGCAGATAAACATGACTGCATTTAGAAACCAGGAAGCTCAGACCTTACAGGCTCTATATATGGAAGACACCAAATGTTCTGAGCTCTACCAGCCTGATGCTCAAGCATGGAAAGGACTTAGCATTCTCTCTGGCTTCAAAAGGTTCAAATGTGAGGCTGTGTCTCCTCCCAGCTTCTTGTTAGTCAGGTTTCTGACTGGAGCCCTGGATGAGACTCTGAAACAGTGATGTGTGAAGGATGTGGTAGGACAGTGCTGACTGAAGGACCAGCCTAAATCTCCTTCTCTGGCCTTATAATAACAGACGCAAGCCCTTTTGGGGAGCAATGAATGGTAGGGAGGAGGTTAAATTAGACACTGGGATTGGTTCAACTGGCTAGAAAACTGGTGTGAAGATGGGTACTAGGTCTAAGGCTGGGCCATGGTGCTCCTATGGGGTGGCCCTGCCCAAGGAAGAGCAGCTGCTTTCTCAAGGAATTTGTGCAGACTTAGGCCATTGGGTAGTAGTGGGAGAAAGGAGGTATGCAGATTCAGGGGGAATTGCCTGGTCTTAAAGCTCAGAATCAATTTTAGGATCTCTGCTTTCTCTGGGAGAAACTAGTTCTCCTCACTTGATCAAAGTGAGCTGAGGCTCAGGTAGGCCTGCGTCCAGACTGTAAATGGAGATGTTGGCCCTGGAGGTGGATCATCAGGGGTAGCCACCTTCTCCTAGACCTAACCTGCCCCTTCATAGAGGGAAGAGAAATTTTCCTACTTCTATGTAAATGCACTGAAGGTTTAATTTCCAAGCTCCAACTGGGATTCTAGAGAAGCAGGTGATAACACTTTGCTATTTTGGGATGTAGCTGTGCAAATAAATCTCCTTTTAAAAGTTAAAAGCAGTTTCTCAAAGTCCTAATAGTGCTCTGCATATAGTTGGTTGTCAATAAATGTATGGCAAATTAATGACAATAGGTCAATTCTCACCCTGAAAGTAAGTGATATCTAGATATAAAAATATAGCCTCTCCTATGATGCGGGGCATGCTAATGTCAAGTATTTTCTAGTGTCCTGAATCAACACTAAACTATCTGCCCACAACGACTTGCAGTAATTCTTTGTGCTTTGAAAGCATGCCACTTCTGTGGAGGAATTGGGGACTTATTCAAAGTGAAGTAACTCAGGAATGGAAAACCAAACATCGTATGTTCTCACTCATATATGGGAGCTAACCTATGAGGACACAAAGGCATAAGAATGATACATTGGACTTTGAGGGCTCAGGGGAAAGGGTCGGGGGGTGATGAGGGATAAAAGACTACACGTGGTGTACAGTGTACACTGCTTGGGTGAAGGTGCGCCAAAATCTCAGAAAGAATTTATTCATGTAACCAAACACCACCTGTTCCCCAAAAACCTATTGAAATAAAAAATTTAAAAAATAAACAGGTGCAGTGGCTCATGCCTGTAATCCCAGCACGTTGGGAGGCCAAGGCGGGACAATTGCTTGAGGCCAGGAGTTTAAGACCAGCAACACAGTGAGATCTCATCTCTACAATATATTGCCTGAGCCCAAGAGGTCAAGGCTGCAGCGAGCCATGGTCATGCCACTGCACTCCAGCCTGGGCACAGAGCAAAATCTCTCTCTGTCCCCTCCTCCACCTCTTACTCCCTCCCCAGCCCTTCAAAGCTCCCTTCCCTAGAGCAGGTACTACATCCTTCTCTCTCCCTATGTGAGGGATCTCTCTTCCCTCCAGGCTACCTTTGTCTTTTCTCATTTCTCCGGCTCTTCCACATCTCCTAAAATCCTGTTCCCATTCGTTCCCAACTCAATAAGACAAGAGCTTGTGAGTCTGCTCAGGCCTCTGCTTGGGAACCTTGGTTCACTTGGCCCCAGACTACAGGGACTGTGGGAAACAGTGGCTTCCTGTTGCATGGGGTTTAACCATATATCATATATATGATGTGTATGTGTGTGTATGGAATACTACTCAGCCATCTTGATTTCATTGTTGACCCAACTATCATTCAGGAGCAAGTTATTTAATTTCCATGTATTTGCATGGTTTTGAGGATTCCTGTTGGAGTTGATTTCCAATTTTATTCTACTATGGTCTGAGAGAGTACTTGATATAATTGCAATTTTCTTAAATTTACTGAGACTTGTTTTGTGGTCTATTATATGGTCTATCATGGAGAATGTTCCATGTGCTGATGAATAGAATGTATATTCTGGGCCAGGCGTGGTGGCTCACACCTGTAATCCCAGCACTTTGGAGTCTGAGGCAGTTGGATCACCTGAAGTCAGGAGTTCGAGACCAGCCTGACCAACAAGGTGAAACCCCATCTCTACTAAAAATATAGACATTAGCTTGGCGTGGTGGCAGGCACCTGTAGTCCCAGCTACTCGGGAGGCTGAGACAGGAGAATTTCTTGAACCCAGGAGGCAGAGGTTGCAGTGAGACAAGATTGAACCACTGCACTCCAGCCTGGGTGACGGAGTGAGACTCCATCTCAAAAAAAAAAAAAAAAAAAAAAAAAAGAATGTGTATTCTGCAGTTTTTTGGGTAGAATGTTCTGTAAATACCTACCCATTTGTTGTAGGGTATAATTTAGTCCACTGTTTCTTTGTTGACTTTCTGTCTTGATGACCTGTCTAGTGCTGTCAGTGGAATATTAAAGTCCTGCACTATTATTGTGTTGCCGTCTGTCTCATTTCTTAGGTCTAGCAATAATTATCTTATACATTTGGGAGTTCCAGTGTTAGATGCACATATATTTAGAATTGTGATATTTTCCTGTTGGACTAGTCCTTTTATCATTATATAATGTCCCTCTTTGTCTTTTTTAACTGCTATTGCTTTCAAGTTTGTTTTGTCTGATATAAGAATGGCTACTCCTGCTCACTTTTGGTGTCCATTTGCATGGAATATCTTTTTCCACCTCTTTACCCTAAATTTATGTGAGTCCTTACATGTTAGGTCAGTCTCCTGAAGACAGCAGAAACTTGGTTGGTGAATTCTTATCCATTCTGTCATTTTGTATCTTTTAAGGGAGCATTTAGGCCGTTTACATTCAATGTTAGTATTGAGATGTAATACTATTCATTGTGCTATTTGTTGCCTGAATACCTTGGATTTTTAAAAATTATGTTATTGTTATATAGGTCCTGTGAGATTTATGCATTAATTAGGTTCTATTTTGGTATGTTCCAAGGATTTGTTTCCAGATTAAGTGCTCCGTTTAGCAGTTCTTGTAATGCTGGCTTGGTAGTGGCAAATTCTCTCAGCATTTGTTTATCTGGAAAATACTTTATCTTTCCTTCATTTATGAAGCTTAGTTTCACTGGATACAAAATTCTTGGCTGATAATTGTTCTGTTTAAGGAGGCTAAAAATAGGACCCAAATCCCTTCTAGCTTGTAGGATTTCTGCTAAGAAATCTGCTGTTAATCTGATGGGTTTTCCTTTATAGGTTACCTGATGCCTTTGCCTCACAGCTCTTAAGATTCTTTTCTTTGTCTTGACTTTAGATAACCTGCTGACTATGTGCCTAGACAATAATCTTTTTGCAACGAGTTTCCCAGGTGCTCTTTGAGCTTCTTTTATTTGGATGTCTAGATCTTTAGCAAGGGCAGAGAAGTTTTCCTAAATTATTCCCTCAAATATGTTTTCCAAACTTTTAGATTTCTGTTCTTCCTCTGTAACACCAATCATTCTTAGGTTTGTACATTTAACATAGTCCCAAACTTCTTGGAGGCTTTGTTCATTTTTTAAAAATTTTCTTCTTTGTCTTTGATGGATTGGGTTAACTTGAAAGCTTTGTCTTTGAACTCTGAAGTTCTTTCTTCTGCTTGTTTGATTCTATTGCTGAGACTTTGCAGTGCATTTTGCATTTCTCTAAGTGTGTCCTGGATTTCCGGAAGTTGGGATTATTTTTTATTTATGCTGTCTATTTCACTGAAGACTTTTCCTTTCATAGCCTGTATCATGTTTTCGATTTATTTAAGTTGGACTTCACCTTTCTCTGGTGCCTCCTTGATTAGCTTCATAATTGACCTTCTGAATTCTTTTTCCGGCAATTCAGAGATTTTGTCTTAGATCCATTGCTGGTGAGTTGGTGTGATCTTCTGGGGGTGTTAAAGAACCTTGTTTTGTCATATTACCAGAATTGTTTCTCTGGTTCCTTCTCATTTGGGTAGACTGTGTCAGGGGGAAAATCTGGGATTCAAAGGCTGCTGTTCAGATTTTTGTGTCTCACAGGGTGCTCCCTTGATGTGGTGTTCTCTCCCTTCCCCTATGAACAAGGCTTCCTGAGAGCTGAACTGTAGTGATTGTTTTTGTTGTTCTGGGTCTAGCCACCCAGCAGAGCTAGCTACTGGGCTCTGGGCTGGTACTGGGGAGTGTCTGCAAAGAGTCCTGTGATGTGATCTGTCTTCAGGTCTTGCAGCCATGGATACCAGCACCTGCTCTGGTAGAGGTAGCAAGGGAGTGAAGTGGACTCTGTGAGGGTCCTTGGTTGTGTTTTTGTTTAGTGCGCTGGTTTTGTGTTGGTGGGCCTCCAACCAGGAGGTGGCGCTTTCAAGAGTGCATCAGCTGCAGTCCTATAGGGAGAATGCAGACTTGCCCTAGGTACACCTGGTTAAGCATTCAGGTCTCTCAGGCAGTGGGCAGGGTCATAGAGCTCCCAAGGGGTTATCACCTTTGTCTTTGGCTACCAGGGTGGATAGAAAAAGACCACCAGGTGGGGGCAGGAATAGGCCTATATGAGCTCAGCCTCTCCTTGGGCAGGGCTTGCTGTGGCTGCTGTGGGGGATGGGCATGTGATTCCCAGTTTAGTGGGGTTATATTCTCAGGGGGATTATGGCTGCCTCTGCTGAATCATACAGGTCACCAAGGAAGTAGGGGAAAGCTGGCAGTCACAGGCCTCACCCCACTCCCATGCAGTCCACAGTCCTAAAAGCCAGTCTGACTTCCACCATGCTCCTCCAACAGCACCGAGTCTATTTCCAGGCAGCCAGTGTCTATTTCTCAGCCAGGGCTGAGAACTTGCCCCAGACCACGAGCCTCCCCATTGAGAAAGCAAGCAGACTCACAGTTTTTCAGTGTTTTAGGGAGCCTGCAGGGGTGATCCGGTTTCTTTAAAGGGTCTGTGGATTCTCTTGGCTTTCCTGGTATGTTTTTGTGGTAGTTCTTGGAGCAGAAGTTCACGATGTGAGTCTCCACACACTGCTCTGTCTGTCTGAGTAGGAGCTGCAAGCTAGTCCTGCCTCCTGTCCTCCGTCTTAATCCATGCCTGGCTAATTTTTAAATTTTTTGTAGAGATGTTGCTCAGGCTGGCCTCAAATTCATGGCCTCAAACAATCCTCCCACCTTGGCCTCCTAAAGTGTTGGGATTACATGTGTGAGCCACCATACCCAGCACCAATAATTCTTTAATATCATATACTATCTAGTCCATGATCAAAGTTTCTCCCCAAATTTTCCTCAAAATATTTTACGACAGATTTTCTTCCCCTAAATCAGCATCCAATCAAGTTTCAATCATTGTATTGGCAATTATTCTTTTTAAGTATCTTCAAATATAGAATGGTCTCTTCTCCCTGCCTTTTTGTCATGACCTTGCTGTGTTAAAGAAACTAAACTATACCAGCTGTCCTGGATTGGTCTTTGTATTTTGGGTAAGCTTTGGCAGTTTGTTAGATGTATGTGCATAGTGTTGTTTATAGTCTTCCCTTACTGATTGTCTGTTTAATGTCTGTTTGGGTCTGTACTGATATCTCCTCTTCAATCCCTGATATGAATAACCTCAGACTTCCTTGTTTTTTCTTTATCAGTCTTGTTAGATGTTTATCAATGTTATTGCTCTTTTAAAATAAATAGCTTTTATTTTCTCTATTTCCTGTTTTCAATTTTGTTGGTTTTTTGTCTTAGCTGTGTTATTTCCTGATTTCCTGATGCTCTCTCTCTGTCTCTCTCTCTCTCCTTCCAAGATGTTTTTATTTTTTAGTTTTCAGCAATTTGATTTTAATATGTCTTGGTACGGATTTCTTTGAATTTATGCTCTCTGGGATTTGCTGAACTTCTTGAATCTACACATTCATGTCTTTTACCAAATTTGGGACATTTCTGCTATTATTTTTTCAAACTTTTTTTCCTATACATCATTCTTTCTACTCTTTTCCAGGATTCCAATGACATAAATTTTAGACTTTTGGTATTGCCTCATATGTTCCTGCGGCTCTGTTAATTTTTTTCCTCATCTTTCCCCTCTTTGTTCTTCAGATTGAATAATTGAATAATTTCTATTTATCTATTTTCTTTCTTTTTTTTTTTTTTTTAAGACAGAGTCTTGCTCTGTTGCCCAGGCTAGAGTGCAGTGGTGCAACCTTGGCTCACTGCAACCTCTGCCTCCTGGGCTCAAGCGATTCTCCTGCCTCAGCCTCCTGAGTAACTGGGACTACAGGCACACGCTGCCACGCCTGGCAAATTTTTTGCATTTTAGTAGAGATGGGATTTCACCATGTTGCCCAGGCTGGCCTTGAAATCCTGAGCTCAGGCAATCCACCTGCCTCAGCCTCCCAAAGTGCTAGGATTACAGGCGTGAGCCACCACGCCTGGCCTCTATTGATCTATTTTCAAGTTTATTAATTCTTTCCTTTGTCATCTCCATTCTGTTATTAAGCCCAACTAAAATGTTTTTACAAAGTTTTAAACTATTATATTATTTAGTTGTAAAATTTGCATCTGGTTATTTTTTAAAATATATCCTATTTCTTTGCTAAGGCTTAATATTTTCCTATTTGGTTCAAAATTGTTCAACCTTACATCTTGGAGGATTTTTATAATAGCTTCTTCAATGTGTTTGATTATTTCAACATTGGTGTCATCTTATGGTTGACATTTGCTGATTATCTTTTCCTGTGCAAGATTTGTTTGTTATATTCCACATAATTTTAGATTACATTCTAGACATTTTCGATATTATATTATGGGCCTGAGTCTTATTTAAACCTTATGGAAAGGGTTTATATTTTTGTTTAATAGGCAGTCAGCCTGGTGGGGTTCAAGCCATATGTTCCAACCACACTTCTCTATGTGTGCTTCCAATGTCAGTACAGTTTTGAAAGCCTTTAAATGCTGTCTCCACATGTATACCACCCAGAGACCAATCTGGATGGAGCAGTGAATTGAGACCACAGTTCAGTTTTCAAGGTCTAGGGTGTTCTGTTTAGGGCCAGATCCATCCATGTGCACCTTGTGGGTGAGCTCAGAAATTCAGAAACAACTTTCTCAAGTTCTTCCCTCTCTGTGATCTCCCCAGTACTTTTTAGATCCCTGTGGTTCCACTCTTTGCTCCTCCAGTCAGAAAGCTGGGGCTTAGTTGCCCCACTCTGCTGCATACTTCTATGAGTGTGCCTGCATCTGGGGCCAGGTGGCAGAAGGACAGAGATAGAGAAAACTAACAGGGGTGCATCCATGAAATTGGGACCAGAGCTTCTCCCAATCAGAGAGGGAGGTTCCTCTTCATCAGAGTTTTAGGTCCACGTGGGCCCTACTGCTGCCATTGCCACAACCACCTCAGGATTGTATGGGGACTGGAGCACAACAAAATGGAGGAAAAAGCAGAAGAAAAGTCGACTGCTGCCGCCACTTCCCCTAAGTGGTAGGAGTCCCATTTTCTGTTTCCTCTAGCCAGAAGTAGCAGACCTCTCCTGGAACAGTCTCTGTCTCTTTCTGGTTCTCACAGTTTTCAGGCAACCTTCAATCCAGGCCAGAGGATACCAAGGAGAAAAAGGGTGGGGGACAACAACTTACTGCTGGTTCTGTGATATTTCACATTTTGGTCTTATTTCCCAATCCACCTGCTATCATTTACTTTTCAGCATCCTCAAATAACTTCCATGCATTCTTTTCTGTTTTTTTATTTTTATTTTTTATTTTTATGAGACAGGTCTTACTCTGTCACCCAGGCTGGAGTGCAGTGGTGTGACCGCGGCTCACTGCAGCCTCAAACACCCAGGCTCGAGCAATCCTCCCTAGTAGCTGGGACCAAAAGCGTGCACCACCACATCTGGCTATTTTTTTTTGTTTTGTAGTTGTGGGGTCTCCCTATGTTGCCCAGGCTAGTGTCAAACTCCTGGCCTCAAGCAATCCTTGTGCCTCAGCCTCCCAAAGTGATGGGATTACAGGCAGGAGCCATTAAGCCCAGCCCTTTTCAGTTTTTGTAGCTGCATTCACTGGAGGAGGCAGGGTGGCGTCTGGTTACTTCATCTTCTATGCTTCTATCTTGCTTTCTGAGGATTCTATCTCTGCCAAACAGATTGTAAACTGATGTAGGGCAGAAAGGGGGTGATCCCTTTCCTCCCCATCATAAAGTGTTATGGCCTACATCCCTATAATAAAAAACAGGTCAACAAGAGAAAAGCATAACAAATTTATTACATGCACATGTATGCATGAGAGTCATACAAAATCTGAACTCAAAGAGAGGCCAGATGGTTGAGACATAAATGCCCCCTTCATAGGGGAGAAGATAATGGGGGAATGAATAGGCCCAATGAGGACAATTATTAGTAAATGATTCTTTTTGGGAAGGTGAGGGGCAGAACCACACAGAAAGAAAGGTTGTCTTATCATGCAGATAAAGTCCCCCAGGTAATCTCTCTGAGGTGCTCTCTGAAAATTCTATGAAAAGTCTGTCTGGGTGTAGTGATGACTCCAGTCTCTTCTCTTCTTAGGTGGTTGATCTTTGCTGGTCATTTGATGAGATTCCTAGGGAGAGGGTCTTAAAATTGCATTTCTTCTGGAAAGAAGCTTGCTTTCTTATTCAGATAAGGAAAGTCCAAAGAGAGAGAGAGAGAGTCTCTCCCTGTACCCAGTGAAGGATTTGGGAAACAGTGGACAATAAGACAAGGTTAGAGGAACCTTGATTCTGAGGCAGCTTCAAAGGCCTCTCAGCATGTAAAAGTGCCAGTCTTTGGTGTATTGCTTTCTGAGCTCCAACACTGACGAACTAGGCTTTTAAATTTCACTTTTTTTATTCTAAGATAACTTTACAAAAGCAAAAATCACTAAGAAAAAAGTTGACCTCTCAAGGGAAGTAAAATATGTTTAGTTTCTTGGCTTTTCAGATTACTTTGCTTCCTCTTTAAGATCATGGGCAAGAGAAATCCAAGACAGAGCCTGGTTATTGTACACCATACATATTGTGAAAGGAAAATAAATCTTGTGACCTCAAACTCACTAAGCCAAAGGGAAAAGTCAAGCTGGGAACTGGGTCATGCAAACCTGCCTCCCATTTTGGTTCCCAAATACAATGGCTACAAAATGAAAAGCTACACCCCTCCCTCATATTTTGCCCACAAGGAAATTCCTTGTGGGCCCCAAGCTCTTTACCCCAAAGCATTTCTGTTAAAATTCACCAGTGCAATGCAAATTGATGGCTTATCTTCACAGGTGCAGGGCCACATAGGACAGAACTCAAGTCATCCCTCTGCCTACCTGACACAAAGGCAGATCTGATTATTTCCTCTGCCCTATTGTCTATATCATCTTATGTAAAAATGCAGATTCACTGAGCCAGACAAAGGCATGAATGACTATTTTCCCCCTACCCCCCTCTTACATGAAAATTGTGTATTTCTCAATATCCCGTCCTTTCCCTTTTAAATTTGAAGCCCTCAGAATTATCTTCAGAGAAAGACATAGGCCTGTCTCCAGAGTGTGAGTCCTTACCTTTGGCAAATAAACCTCCTAAAATGAGTGAGACCTGTCTTGTCGTGTTTCTCGATTGACATCTGGTAACAACGGAGGGATCCTGAGTAAAGGTGGCCCAGGCCTGCGGCTGCCCTCCTGTCAGTACTTGGTACTGGCTTGGGCTCTTTATAGCTCACACCGATAGGACAATTTGCCAAGGTCTAGGGCCTCTTTCCTGCAGGGATCCCTGACCTCCCAACATTTTTAGTTGGGTGTCTGAGGTTAATTTGCTGTTAGGGAAAACTCCTTTTTGCTGGGAGTTTCCACTTGCTTCTCTCACGGAAGGTGGGCTTGTCTGCTTCTGCATTGGCAGAGAGCGGTCTTCAGCTTGGGCCCCATCAGTAGGTAAGGAGCTGAGTTGGGATTCTGTTTTGCAAATTCTCTTTAATGACTAAAGTTAGTGTTAACAACCAGCTGGTCTTAATTTCTCCTTACATTTAGAGCACTCAGAAATGTATAATTTGTGTGATCGTTGTTTTGCTTAGCTGTTTTGTTTGTTTGTTTTCTGTCTTATTCGGGGGTTTTTCTGTATGTTTTCATCCTTCTCTTATTAGATTTGACCAACTCGAAGCCCCTCTCGCTTATGAGTGTGGAATTTTCCACTCCAAAGAAATAAGAGCACCATGCTCCCCTCAGCCTTTCAGGGCATTTTCAGGCAACTGAGAATCATATGAGAGGGTCTCGGGGGAACGCTCCCTAAGACGTGCAGCGGCTCTGAGTAGGTTACCCCCTCAGAAGAACACACTTCGAGCCTAATCTCAGCTGGCAGGTGCATATACGGAGCTGACCCCTCCCGCACCTTGAGCCCCGACACACTGTGCCACACAGCCATGACACAGGTGGATCGAATTGGTTCAGGGAGTAACAGCCCTGAAAAGCTAGGTCTGCAAGCAGAACACCCTGGGTCTGACACTTCCTGACTTGGTAAATCTGAAAAAGAAAGTAAATTATGGGGAACAAGACCTCTAGGTTGGCTAAAACCCAGCAGCTGTGCAACATAAAGCTCCACCTTTAGAAACTCCAGCCGGGTACCTGCAAAATACTTATGGCGAGTTGTCATGCAAATGTTTAACCAAGTGGACCCTTATAACCAAAGCAGACTCCAAGTTACCATGGCCTAGATGGGGATCTTTTGAGATGCACAAATTAGCATACCTGTGAACTAGGATGGAAAACACAGGCACAAAAACAACCAGGATGGGAGAGCTACTTTCAGTGGTACCTGGAGAGTAGCAAAGGCGGGGAAGATCACCTCACCTCCTCACAGGAGGCCAACAAACAACTCAGAAGTGCTAACCAAAGACTCTCTAATGTTTTATCTCTTTTAAAGGAATCCTCTAAATCCCTTCCTTTCCTCTTGGAGATCCCCCACCTCCCCCTCTACCCTGACCTCTCTGAACTTCCTGAACCAGATCTGTTCCCTCCTTCTCCTGCATGTTCCAGTCCACCATCCCCCCACTTCCTTGTCTGCCACTCACTCAACAGAAGGTAGTAGGGGGTCTAACTCCCAAGACCCTACTTACTATGGGTTCCCTAGTAACCCTGGTGGCAGCCTCTCATCTGGAAGATGTGGAGAAGGAGGACACTGTAGGGTTCCTGCAGTTTTTGTGCTTCATTTATCATCTTTTTTTTAAGAAAAAAAAAAAAAAAACAAGATTCAGTAAAGAATTCCTTTCACAGCACACAGCCTGAAGATAGGGTTCCAGGTATATGCTGCAGCCTGGAGACTTTGTCTACTGGAAAAGACATTTAATGAAGGACTCCCTTCAACCCCAGTGGAATGGCCATACCAGGTACTATTGGCCAATCCATGTAGCACAAAATTAGAGGGTATAGACTCATGGATTCACATCTCTCATCTTAAAAAAGGCACAACCTCCTGAGTGGACAGTGACTCCCGCCAAGGATCTTTGCCTTCGACTCACTAAACATTGAACTTTGACTCAGGACTAGAAGCAGATGACAGCTGTTGTGGACTGCTTAAACCCAAGACACAGGGCCAGGCCTGTATACAAAAGAACACCTGTGCTTATTTTATAATAGCTATTATGACTATTGTCCTAGAGATACTGGCAACTGCTGTCTTACACAGAACAAGGCACTTGCCTTGTCTGACTTAATGTCCTTTTAGTAGCTAAAATCAATTTCACAACCTTGCTTTTATTTCTCCTATGTCACTACGCCTTCTTGCCACTGCCACCCACTGTCACCCATGAAACAAACCTGTTTCTGCAATGGGCTCAGGATTATGCATACAGATTACAAAAGGAGGCCTGCTGGATATGCGGACTCATGCCTCTTTCCAGGGGCTCCAGCCTGCCATGGCGGATATCTGTCTTCCAATGGCAGAACTGGATAAAATATCAAAAATGTATTACATCACAGAAACAGTCTGGTATCCTTAGTGCTGGCATAACAAAAGACAATATAAGTAACTGACCCATTAAAAACACTATTAAGAGCAAGAGACAGGGGAAATGTTTTTTAATGGAAAGGATCAGCTCACTAACTCTCACTTTAGCATCTCCCCAGCTAAAAGAGAAGGTGACAACTATGCCCCAAACAATGGCTCATTTTCAAAATGGGATAATGAAAATTTGGGATGGGACTCTGTGGCTCACCCCTTCATTAGGTCAGCTTAGCCGAAATGCTCCTTTATGTTGGGAACAAGGAAAACACACCAACGACCAATGGCCAAACAGTAGAAGAGATATGGGGTGGATACCTGGAGAACATTGTGACCACATTATTATATGACAAGACACAGACTGGCATGCCACCAATTGGGTACGGCAACCAGGTATTTATTGGCTACCTCCAAATGGGACATAAGGGTTATGTGGCACTAACATGGCTGTGGTTACCTCCAGGATGTTATGATGAAGTTCACTAGGTGGTTATACTTGCACACAAGGATGAATAATTCAGACCCTACCAAAACCAGCAAATCTTTTTCATTTACAATCCTGCTGGACACATTCGGTATTCCAATGGTATGATCACTTAGCTTCAATCTTTGTACCACAAATAGGTATTGAAGATGTTATATGGTATATAGAGGCCTAATACGGTTTGACTGTGTGTCCCAACCCAAATCTCATGTTGAATTGTAATCTCCACGTGTTGGAGGAGGGGCCACGTGGGAGGTGAATGAATCATGGGGGAGGTTTTCCCCTTTGCTATTCTCGTGATAGTGAATGAGCTCTCATGAGATCTGGTTGTTTCGAAAATGGATAGTGCCCTACTCTTCTTTGTTGTCTCTCTCCTGATACCATGTGAAGAAGGTGCTTGCTTCCCCTTCGCACTTCTGCCATGATTGTAAGTTTCCTAAGGCTTCCCCAGCCATGCTTCCTGTACAGCCTGCAGAACTGTGAGTCAATTAAACCTCTTTTCTTCATAAATGACCCAGTCTCAGGTAGTTCTTTATAGGAGTTTGAGAATGGACTAATACAAGGCCCTAACAAGTTACACCCAAAAGGCCCTAAATGACAGCTGCATGAGTATCTCTTTGCTAAAAAAAAAATGAGGTCTTATGACGAAAGTTCCTTATGAGTTCCTTATGAGGAAAGCTGTGCGGCCAAATTGTATGGCCTTAGACATACTCACTGCAGCCCAAGGTGGGACCTGCACCATTATAAAAACCGAATGTTGTGTTTATATTCCAGACAAATCAAATAACATAACCCGACTTATGACCGATATAAAAACCCAGATAACTAACCTGTCAGATCCAAAACCCTCACTTATTGATTGATAGGTTGGCTGGTTTGGGTCCTGGGGAACTTGGTGACAGAAGCTATTGCCTGTAATGAGAATAATTTGGGTTTTGTCCTGTTTTTGCTTACAATGGTGTTATGGTATGTGCGTGCAAATAAGTCAACATGCAACCAAAAGAGCTAGAGTAATGATTGCTCAAAGAATTGCTCTAATTAAGGAGGCAGTAGTATAGCCTGAACCAGCTTCCAGGTTTGCTACCCCTTCGTTGCTATATATCTGGCCTAGGTCCCTATATTTTTCTTTCCATTTCCATCTTTCCTCCCCCTATTTTTATCCTCATGGGACACGACTTCCCAGGAATGAGTCTTCCTAGCAATGCGGGACATGACTTCCTAGGAAGGAGCCTTCCTAGCAACATAGGACCTGAATTTGTAGGAGTAAACCATCCTAGTGATGAGGAACCAGCTCAAAAAATAAAGAAAAAGGGAAAAGCAACCTGAGATCAGAGACACATTTTCCTTCTAAAAATGCTTTCTCCAAAAGATTTTAAAGAAAAGCTGGGGGTGGAGGATGTGAAAGGAAAAGAAATCTTGTGACCTCAAACTCACTAAGCCAAAGGGAAAAATCAAGCTGAGAACTGGGCCATGAAAACCTGCCTCCCATTTTGGTTCCCAAATAAGATGACTACAAGATGAAAAGCTACACACCTCCTTCATACTTTGCCCACAGGGAAATTCCTTGTGGCCTCCAAGATCTTCACCCCAAAGCATTTCTGTTAAAATTCACCAGGACAATGCAAATCGATGGCTTATCTTCACAGGTGCAGGGCCACATAGGACGGAACTCAAAGTCATCCTTTCTGCCCACCTGACACAAAGGCAGATCTGATCGTTTCCTCTGCCTTATTATCTATGTTATTTTATGTAAAAATGCAGATTCACTGAGCAAGACAAAGGCATGAATGACTATTTTCCCCCACCCCCCTCCTACATGAAAATTGTGTATTTCTCAATATCCTGCCCTTTCTCCTTTAAATTTGAAGCCCTCAGAATTATCTTCAGAGAAAAGGCATAGACCTGTCTCCAGAGTGTGAGTCCTTAACTTTGGCAAATAAACTTCCCAAAATGATTGACGCTTGTCTCGTCATTTGCCTCGATTGATAATTACCCACTGAGATAAATGCCTGTGATGCCTTAAGGTGCTCAGAACACAGAGTAAGTCTAGGATCTTAATGTCAGCATTGTGGTTTAGGGGAAAATAAAAGGTTGCTGTTCATACAGAGTGGTCTCTCATATATGCCTCGGGATTAAACTGCAATTCACAGAAAACCCTAACAATCTTGCTTTCTGAACGCTTTTTGAAAATATGCAGTGAATTGCCAAGACCAGGATGTTCTTCATCAAGGACTTCCGAGGAGATAAGATTTAATTTGCTTTTTTGTTGGTCTTCTTGGGGCGGGTGAACTCCAGGGAGTGATGTGTGTTTTCTGTAAAGTCAGCAAGCTATTGTTGAACAGAATTTCTGCAGATATTGTCAGTGGGAACATAATTTGGGTCAATGAATCATAAATTCTATTTTGGTAATTTGCCGAAGACAACATTGAAAACAGAGCTAGCCCAACGGGGAAAACTGGAAAGAGACACACAGCTCAATAGCATGGCAATAGGGCAGAGGGGGAAAGAAGTGAGACATTCTGCCTAACAGACTGCAGACTTCTCTTCAAATGATTAGCCACCAAGCAGGTTGGATTTTTTTTTTCCTTCCAAGTCCTGGGAACGACGGCAAAGCAGTTAACACAGACTGCACAGTCACAAACCAACAGAAACATGACACTTGAGGTAAGTCCCCTAAGATTCTCAGATAACTACCTCTGTTCAGTTCATCAACCCACAAACAATCCAAACTTGTCTCTTGGAAAAAATTCCCAGACCTTCAATGCAACAGCCTTGTGCTGCTCACATTGTTCTAGTTTCTGTAGGTTACAGAAAACAGTCAGCTCACACACTGGCTTCATCTTTCCTTCCTTTTGGTTCAGGAAATTCAGGTGCAGCTATTGGTGGTGGGAGGTGGATGGAGGAGCAGTGAAAATGAATGCAAATGAGGATGATTTTTTCATTAGATGTGGCTTTTCCTTAATACAATTTTATTCAACTTTATAAATGAAGAAACTGGAGATGAACAACAGTAACAAATAACCCCAAGTCTCCATTATTCATTCCAGGAATTAAATCTAGGACCTTCAACTCAGATGCCCTTTTGTTTAGCTCCTCAGGATACTGGAGGGAGAGAAAAATTTTACCTGAGCGTTTACTCAAAACCAAGGTCAGACAATGCTGTATTTACCTCTATCACCATCCTCTGCTCAGTCCTCAAGAGCTTTGTGCAAGTGAGAACAGCTGTCCTTTGTTTTAAACAAGGACAAGCAAGACAACTGAAGTTTAATTGCAACAGGATGCATTTGGATTAAGTGTGGGAAAAAAAAAATTGTTGGATTCCAAGTATTGTGAGACCAAGGAATGAATTACAGGGGAGAGTGACAACATTTTTTTTTTCTAAAGATTTTGGGGACAGCTCTGTTTCTGGAATGTCCGAAGATAGTCCATCCAATAGGACCAATTACCAGAATCCAGCCCCCAGAGCCTACCATTTCTATACTCATTCTTCTGGCTAATAAAGGGGGTTCTGCTTCACGCCCTCAGTACAGGTCTTTCAGCCATGACGACCAAGGCAGACCATTCTGGTTTCAGCTGGAGTGTTTCTGTTCTCATGAGACACCAGTCCACAGGGGTTCTCTGTCTCACATGTGGAAGGGAAAGTGAAAGTAGCTTCTTTTAAAATGAACAGTTACCTCCTTCTCATTGGCAAAAGGCCACTTAAATTTCCCAAGGGGGACAGAAAACCATCTTGCAAAGTTTAGAAGATATTCGTAGCAGCTGACCCGCAGCAATGTCCTAAAGCTGGGCTTTCAGAATCACTGGGTACTTGGCTCCATTCCAGTCTAATTAAGTCTCAAGGCTTGGGTAGTAGGACCCAGGCATTGATATTTTCGAAAAAGCTTCTCAGTTAACTTGAAAATGCTTCCAGGGTTGAGAAGCACCATTCTGAGTACAGTTGATATGCACCATCCTCTTTCAGAGCTTTTTAGGAGTTCAAATTTGGCTAGACCAAGGGAAGGACAGTACAAAGTGTCTACTTATATGAACTGTTCCAGTTGACTGCCATTTGATTGATGTGTTGGAGGATTAGGGCCCCAGCCATCCTATTAAGAAAGCAAGTGGACCACTGCCTGGCTGTGAGCCTGGAGGAAGCCACTTCAACGGCTTTGTTTCAAGAGCCAGGGAAGACAGAACCCGAGAGCTGTGTCTTGAAGGCTTCCTGCAGGGAGTGGGAGCTATGATTTTATTGCTAGAGAAAGAGTCTCCAAGCTGTTGATGGATTACAAGCTGCTGATCCGTCTCCAGCCCTCAGAGGGCAGAATGTGGAGAATTCCAAAACACAACATAACAGTTGCCTCTGGTACAAAGAAGACGCAGTAATTTGTGGAGGCCGCGTGGCTAAGAATGTAAAGGCAACCAAGCACTGGGGTTAAGAATTAGGAATCTGGATTTGAACCACCCTAGGTTCACATCCTACCACTTACTAGCTATGTGCCTTTAGGTATATTAATTAATTTGGGCTTCACTCTCTTATCTGTAAAATGAGGATAATAATAGTAATTACCTCATTTAATTGCGATGATTCAGTAAAATAATGGACGCTAACACTTATTTAAATATATAATGCATTCAGTAAGACTTGCCTGTATGTGTTTTGTTGGGGCAGAAGCTGCAATGGAGTCTGTGCTGATGAGGGTAGGAGTGGAGAAGGTGTTTCCTCGTCACCAGGGCAGCGGCATTGGAGATCTAGGACGAGCTAGGAGGGAAAGGTGTTCTCCACGACGCCAGGCTTGTACTGACAGGATTCTCTCAAAGTTGAGGTACCCAGTTGCTGGGTACAACCCCAGCACTTGGTAGGGAAGGAGAGCAGCTCTCATCCCAGGCTGTGCAGCCTGCGTCCGCTTAACCTTTAAAGCAAGTGAAGTTGTCACCTGGGTCTTTGTCCTCCTCATCATCCCTAGAGATTCTGAGTAAGAAAGTCTGGGGTGGACCCAAGGAATCTGTATTTTCTTAAGAGTTCTCAGGATGATTTAGCAGCATGGGCAGGGTTGAGAAGCATGGTGCAGTCTGCTCAGTGCAATTAAAAGGGTCATGAACACTCCTCTGCCCGACCTTGTTGGCGCACTGTATATTATTTTACTGCCAGAGATCATCAGCCCTGCAATTCCACTAAACGGGCATTTGTTTCAATTAACAAGTGGTCTCTTTAAAATGCACTTGATGTGAAACCCTACAGTTCTAGCACTTAAGATCAAATTCAGCAAGTGTTCAGAATTCTGAAGAGAGAGAAGGGCAGGAGGTGATTTGGGGACAGGGGGTGATGTGGGTACAGCAGACCTGGTCAGGGACTGAGAAGAGGGAGCTTTTGGCAACATGAAAGAAGAGGCCTTATGGCAGATAAGCAGAGGAAGTACACCAAGAAGTGGAAGAGGGACCCAGAATGAAAGGATTGACAATTCCAAAGACAAGGAAGGTGTTTTTAAAACCAGCTAGATACTGCCTTTCAACTGCCGTTTACAGAGCTCCTACTGGATGGCAGGCATTGGGCCAAGCATTTTTAACGCCAATTTGATCTTCACAACTGTTCAGCGGCCAAGTTATTGCTATTTCTACCTTACTAATGAGGAAGCTGAAGTTCAGCTACCTCATCCAATGGAGCAGACAGGTGACATTACATCCCTGTGTCTTACGGAGTGGAGGTGAGATTGGGTGTGAGGGGCAAGAGCCAGCATCTTTGGAGAAAAGCTCTGGCTGGCGACCAGGCCTCCTGTCATCTTCAGTCCTTTGTTTTCCCAGACCCGTCCCACTGCAAGCATGTTCAGCCCATCCTGTTCCTAAGGATGGAGGGTGAGAACTAACCCCAACTGAGCTACCATCTGCTCAGCCCTGTGTTCAGAGATTGTCAGGGCAGGGAGTGAGCTAGATCTTGTCTTCTCAACTCCCAACCAGCAGAAATAGCAAACATCTTTGGAGATTCCCTTTATTTGGCTTCTGGTTCTCACTGCTAAGCATCGCTATTAAATCTCAGGACCCTTTCCTGTGCAGGCATGTCTGCCTCAGACGCTATCTATCTCAGTATATCAATTCCTAACAACCAGGTGTGGTTGGCACCTAAGTTGAGACCTGTGAACTGTTCCTACCTAGTCTACATCCTTGGACTAGTTGCCCCTGATACCGATGTCTTGTCTTGAACCTCCACAGACATGGCTGGGCTCCTGATGCCACATCTTGTTCCCTTTAGCTGAGCCCTGCCGCCGAAGTTGGTCTGTATCCTCTATACTGCTGCTGTTCCAATGGACTCATCACTTATAGACTTAAATATCATTGCTCTTTCAGCTTAAATTTAGTGTTTCCTGGAACTTCTTTCTTCAGTCCCCTACCTACTAGATTTAATCTCTTGGGATACCAGTGTGGCCCGAGTCAACCCCAGGTGTGATGGTTAACACTGAATGTCAACTTGATTGAAGGGTGCAAAGTATTGATTTGGGGTGTGTCTGTGAGGGTGGTGCCAAAGGAGATTAACATTTGAGTCAGTGGGCTGGGAAAGGCAGACCCACCTTTAATCTGGGTGGGCACAATCTAATCAGCTGCCAGCACAGCCAGAATAAAAGCAGGTAGAAGAACGTGAAAAGACTGACTAGCTTAGCCTCCCAGCCTACATCTTTCTCCTATGCTGGATGCTTCCTGCCCTTGAACATCAGACTCCAAGTTCTTCAGCTTTGGGACTCGAACTGGCTTCCTTGCTTTTCAGCTTGCTCTTTAGCTCAGCCTATTATGGGACCTTCTGATCATGTGAGTTAATACTCCTTAATAAACTCCCCTTCATATATATCTGTATATATATATTTCCTATTAGTTCTGTCCCTCTAGAGAACCTTAATTCTTTTTAGTTCCTCCTTCATTTATTCACTCATATTGACTGAGCCTTTCTTATGCCTATGGCACTCAACATGCAGTCAGCTAGAGTCTGGGAATATATGCTGAATAAAACAATCCCACATCCATGGAACTTTGAGTATAAATGCCTAGAGCAGACAGCAGAGGTACCTAATTTCAAGGATCATGGACGTTCTCAGAGGAAGTGCATTTAAGCTGAGACTTAACGAAAAGTTTAGCCAGACAAAGATGGAGAGAAAGAAGATTCAGGGCATAAAGAGAAGTACATGTGATGACTGACCTCAACATGAGGGGTGACCTACTGGGAATTAGGAGAGGTTTAATAGGGCTAGGGTATTGAGCATGCATGGTATGTTACTTTTCTTGATGCTTGCATCATGTTGGTATATCTAGCTGTCTCTCTTTCCTCACTAGCCTATGAGCCCTGTAAAGGCTACGTCTGTCTTTTTATCTTTATATTCTCAGAGGCCAGCCCAGGAGCAGACACACAGCAAATGTTCAATAAATGCTTGCTGCACTGAACTATGTGGAACCAGTAGCCCCCACCTTGGCCTTGTCTGGTGCCTCGTCCATTATTCTTACTTTAAAGATGACAAGGCTGAGGCAGTCAGGTTCCAAACTTCATGCTCTTACCCACCATGTTATGCTGCCTTCCTAGTGAACAAGGATTATTGTAGCAGAATGGAAAGAAAGTAGTCTTGAAACGGAAATATCCTGGCCTTGACACTTATTAATTGAGTGGTCTTGAGCAGGTTACTCAACTTCTCTGAGCCTTGGTTTCCTTACCTGTAAAAGAGGTATAATTCCTAACACACTGTAATGAGTAAATAAGGAAAAGCAGACGCTTTCATACCTCTGACTTTTTCGTAGACCATGAAAATTTGTCCCTAAATATGTGTTTCTGCTTATTTCTTCTGGCCTTACCCAGGCTCTATCAGCCTGAAGGCCCCTGGAAACCTAGGCCAGGACCCTCAAAGGCCACAGGTCTGAAAGCTCTTGAAAGTTTCTGGAGGACCAGTGAGGTCTCAGAACTGATGCTATTCCAAAGCTCCTGCACTCTTCTGAGTCCTCCAAGAAGCAGAGGCCAAGATGGAATTAAACATGCAAGGAATTTATTAATTAAGAGAAGTGGGCAGAGATTGGAATCCGCCTTCCGGGCTTGGCGAAGAAGGGAGGAGGCAGGAGCGAGGAGGGAGGAGGGCCAAGGGCGGGCAGGAAGGCTTAGGCTCGGCGCGTCCGTCCGCGCGCGGCGAAGATCGCACGGCCCGATCGAGGCGCGACCGGGTCGGGGCCGCTGCACGCCAAGGGCGAAGGCCGATCCGGGCCCCGCTTCGCCCCGGCGGCTCGCCGCGCCCACCCGCTCCGCGCCGAGGGCTGGAGGATGCGTTCCCTGGGGTCCGGACTTATGAAAATATGCATCAGTTTAATACTGTCTTGGAATTCACGAGATGGAAGCATAGATCAAAGCTGTTTGGAGAAAATCGGAAGTACAGTTTTATCTAGCCACATCTTGGAGACATTATTGCAAGAGCATCTCAAGCAGACGTCGTTACAATCGTGATTTGGAACGGATGAAGCATTTATTCCAGTTGGAGAATCACTAAAAGACCTTATTGACCAGTCACAAAGTTCTGGTAGTGGGTCTGGACTACCTTTATTGGTTCAGCGAACTATTGCCAAACAGATTCAGATGGTCCGGCAAGTTGGTAAAGGCCGATATGGAGAAGTATGGATGGGCAAATGGCGTGGCGAAAAAGTGGCGGTGAAAGTATTCTTTACCACTGAAGAAGCCAGCTGGTTTCGAGAAACAGAAATCTACCAAACTGTGCTAATGCGCCATGAAAACATACTTGGTTTCATAGCAGCAGACATTAAAGGTACAGGTTCCTGGACTCAGCTCTATTTGATTACTGATTACCATGAAAATGGATCTCTCTATGACTTCCTGAAATGTGCTACACTGGACACCAGAGCCCTGCTTAAATCGGCTTATTCAGCTGCCTGTGGTCTGTGCCACCTGCACACAGAAATTTATGGCACCCAAGGAAAGCCCGCAATTGCTCATCGAGACCTAAAGAGCAAAAACATCCTCATCAAGAAAAATGGGAGTTGCTGCATTGCTGACCTGGGCCTTGCTGTTAAATTCAACAGTGACACAAATGAAGTTGATGTGCCCTTGAATACCAGGGTGGGCACCAAACGCTATATGGCTCCAGAAGTGCTGGACGAAAGCCTGAACAAAAACCACTTCCAGCCCTACATCATGGCTGACATCTACAGCTTCGGCCTAATCATTTGGGAGATGGCTCGTCGTTGTATCACAGGAGGGATTGTGGAAGAGTACCAATTGCCATATTACAACATGGTACCGAGTGATCCGTCATACGAAGATATGCGTGAGGTTGTGTGTGTCAAACGTTTGCGGCCAATTGTGTCTAATCGGTGGAACAGTGATGAATGTCTACGAGCAGTTTTGAAGCTAATGTCAGAATGCTGGGCCCACAATCCAGCCTCCAGACTCACAGCGTTGAGAATTAAGAAGATGCTTGCCAAGATGGTTGAATCCCAAGATGTAAAAATCTGATGGTTAAACCATCGGAGGAGAAACTCTAGACTGCAAGAACTGTTTTTACCCATGGCATGGGTGGAATTAGAGTGGAATAAGGATGTTAACTTGGTTCTCAGACTCTCTCTTCACTACGTGTTCACAGGCTGCTAATATTAAACCTTTCAGTACTCTTATTAGGATACAAGCTGGGAACTTCTAAACACTTCATTCTTTATATATGGACAGCTTTATTTTAAATGTGGTTTTTGATGCCTTTTTTTAAATGGGTTTTTATGAACTGCATCAAGACTTCAATCCTGATTAGTGTCTCCAGTCAAGCTCTGGGTACTGAATTGCCTGTTCATAAAACGGTGCTTTCTGTGAAAGCCTTAAGAAGATAAATGAGTGCAGCAGAGATGGAGAAATAGACTTTGCCTTTTACCTGAGACATTCAGTTCCTTTGTATTCTACCTTTGTAAAACAGCCTATAGATGATGATGTGTTTGGGATACTGCCTAGTTTATGATAGTTTGTCCTGTCTCCTTAGTGATGTGTGTGTGTCTCCATGCACATGCACGCCAGGATTCCTCTGCTGCCATTTGAATTAGAAGAAAATAATTTATATGCATGCACAGGAAGATATTGGTGGCTGGTGGTTTTGTGCTTTAAAAATGCAATATCTGACCAAGATTCGCCAATCTCATACAAGCCATTTACTTTGCAAGTGAGATAGCTTCCCCACCAGCTTTATTTTTTAACATGAAAGCTGATGCCAAGGCCAAAAGAAGTTTAAAGCATCTGTAAATTTGGACTGTTTTCCTTCAACCACCATTTTTTTTTGTGGTTATTATTTTTGTCACGGAAAACATCCTCTCCAAAGTTGGAGCTTCTATTGCCATGAACCATGCTTACAAAGAAAGCACTTCTTATTGAAATGAATTCCTGCATTTGATAGCAATGTAAGTGCCTATAACCATGTTCTGTATTCTTTATTCTCAGTAACTTTTAAAAGGGAAGTTATTTATATTTTGTGTATAATGTGCTTTATTTGCAAATCACCCACTCCTTTACAACCATACTTTATATATGTACATACATTCATACTGTAGAAACCAGCTCATGTGTACCTCATATCCCATCCTTAAGGGAAGAAATGTTATAAAGTAGAACTAAATATAAATTTTCAGAATTAATGCATTCAAAGTAATATATCAAATCCAGGACTTTGTTAACTTCAGGCAAAAACTTCATTAGGGTAATATCATCTCAATTTTTTCAAATGAAAGGATTCTCTAATTAGAAATTTATATGTCAGAGCTGTTCTAAATTTATCAACTGTCAAATATGTTTTGGACAGCTAAATCATTTGAGATTTTTGGTTTTTTGATTTCTATTCCCTAACTTGTGAAGACAATGAAAAATCAGGCAGAAATATTTAGTATCTAGTCAGTATCTGTAGCTACACTGTATAACTGTTCTTCAATAAAATGGTTCATATTTAAAAAAAAAAAAAAAAAGAGAGAGAAGTGGCTGGGCATAGTGGCTCATGCCTGTAATCCCAGCACTTTGGGAGGCCGAGGCGGGCAGATTGCTTGAGCCCAGGATTTTGAGACCAGCCTAGGCAACATGGTGAAACCCTGTCTCTACAAAAAATACAAAAATTAGGCGGACATGATGGTGCATGCCTGTGGTCCCAGCTATTTGGGAGGCTGAAGTGAGAGGATTGCTTGAACCTGAGAGGCCCCAGCTGCAGTGAGCCATGACCACACCACTGCACTGCAGTCTGGGTGATGGCGGAGGTTCTGTCTAAAAAAAAAACCTAGGGAGGGGAGAAGTGCCTGTAGGGGAGAAAATGGAGAGAAAGCTAGGAAGCACTAGCTTTGGAGCTGGCAGATCCCAGTGTGAGTCTGACCAGAAATTGGAAGGTTGAGGGAGGCACCCTAGACATCCATGCAGTCAAAGGAAGATTTGGAAAGACTGTCAGGGGGTCCCTTGAACCAACATTTCTAGAGGACTATTGTGCCTTTCAGGATCTGTCTTACCAGCCCCACCCCTCAGTCATCAGCAGGGAGCAGCTTGTGGGAGGCATGTCCTCTTTGCATTGCCAGATTTCAGAACACAGCAGCTGGGGCTCTGGTCAGTTATGCTCAGTGTCCCTCCTATATCTAAGTGAGAGGTGACAGAGAAAAGATATATCTCCTTATTCCAGTACTTTTCTTCCAGCTAGGAAGCTTCTTTAAAGCAAAACATTGTGGATGATTTGGCTTTATCTTTGAGCAATTCCATCTTTCACATTATAACACTCCATATTCATATCTCAGAATTCTAGGATCTCAGAGTTATAATTTTAATTTCCTCTGCAATACCTCTGTGAAGGGGAGTCCATGGCAGACCAAGAGTCAGTTAGTTTCACTCTGGCTGGGGATGAAGAGATGGGGTTATCAGTGTCCTGGACAAGTGGCCTTCATTCCAATCTTGCCTGCAGGCTGCTGTTTTCTTCCTCTTCTGAGGGGTCGGCAGTTGCCTGATGACATACTTTCTGCATCATTGTCCACCAGTGTTACCCAACTGAGCTGTGCAACAGAATTATCCAAGGAGCTTTTTAATAATGCACATCTACAGGTCTATTTAATTGGATCTCCAGGGATGGGACGCAGAAATCCGCATCTCCAACAAGCTCGTAGATGATTCTCATGGTCAGTCGGGTGTGGAAACCATGATGAGGTTCACAGAAACTTCTGTAAAGGAAGACTGTGCAGATAAGAGGGATTTACCAGTGGCATATGGATCCCCAACCATGTTTTGTTCCCTACCTGGGAACTGCCCTACGTCTCAGCAGCCACCTACCCTACCTCCAGCTGTACAACTTTCCCAATTCAGATGTGTTTTTATGCAGTATTTCTCAACACATGGTTACAGAGTTGAATGGTTCTCTTTGTACAGAACTTGGCATCCTCAAAGGGAAGTAGTCTAGATGTGTTTCTTGCATGTTGTCAGAGGAATTTTACTAAAAACCTGGGTGTTCTGAAAGCTTATTAGCTTCCCTTAGTAGATGAGCTCCATCTTGGCCATTAGGCTAGTAGAGTGTAAAACCAAAATAGATATTAATACTCAGTAGAATCTGACACAAAAAATGCCTATTTAACATGCACAATCAGCTCTCCCTCCAACATGCCCTCCCATGGTATACCTCTATGTGATATGTGCATGGCAAAACTGAGCTCAGCTCCCTGAGAGCTAATGGGTCCCTGCTAGTTCTGCAGAGCTGTTCTTGGGATCTGATGCCTAACCGTGACCCCTGAAGGTGATTTCCATGGGAAGGTGTGATGGAGTTTATGACTAACTGTTTTTGTTTTGTTTTGTTTTGTTTTGTTTTGTTTTTGTTTTGAGATGGAGTCTCACTCTGTCACCCAGGCTGGAGTGCAGTGGCGCAATCTCGGCTCACTGCAAGCTCCACCTCCCAGGTTCACGCCATTCTCCTGCCTCAGCCTCCCGAGTAGCTGGGACTACAGTCGCCTGCCACCACGCCTAGCTAATTTTTTTGTATTTTTAGTAGAGACGGGGTTTCACCGTGGCCTCGATCTCCTGACCTTGTGATCCACCTGCCTCGGCCTGCCAAAGTGTTGGGATTACAGGTGTGAGCCACCGCACACGGCTATGACTAACTGTTTTGCAACCCTGTTTGTCCAAGTTCCTGGCAACAGTTCTTGGAAAGTGCTCAAAAAGGATCATTGAATAAATAATAGTTGTTCTTTGTTTTGGGCTATGGTCTCTGATGATGTATTGAACCTGCTTCATGCCAATACCAACCTGGTATTGCAAATAAAGAAAATAGTATTACTAAAAATGTCCTATTTGCCAGGCACACAGCTCCGTGCTTTTCATGAATCATCTCACTTAATCCTCCCAATGACTCTGTGAGGAAGGGACTATTACTGTCATTTTATGGTTGGGGAAGCCCAAGTTTAGAGTGGTGATGGTTTACTTAGCGTGAAAGCTACAAAGTGGAGGAGCCCATACTCAGTCATCCAGATCAGCAAGCTGCAAAGGAAAAGCTTCTCTCCTTGTAGGAGGCTGCTCTAATCTGGATAACCTCACTCACTGTGGATTTCTCCAGGCCTGCCTATTGGGAGCCCTCCTTTCCCAGGCCCTTTCACAGTCGTCATAGGTCTGGCTTGGTGTCCTCCCCAGCATAATGCCACCGACTCTCAGCCCTGCACCCTCATCCACCTGCCCTCCCGACCACCTGGTTCATCTCCTTCCTTCTCAGGTTCCCTGGTGCCCCTGCCTTCTCCCTGCCTGGTGGTCTTGAGGAGGTGTTGGCTGAGTGAGCTTGGTGGTGATCCACCTCACTGCTTCATTCTTCTCCCACACCCCTGCAGGCTTTGGTTTTCTCCTATGCCACAGGCACCACCAGTGAGTGACAGGGAAAAGAAAAGGCCCATCTTCTCATTCAATTTAACTTTTTAAATAGTCCTCAATTTAGTGACCTTGTGAAGTTAGATTCTGGTTAATGCCTTCCTGTCCCAACTATTTCATTTACTTGCATTTACTATAATAGAAAACATTCTTTTTCCTTCCCTGCCTCCCCCAACTTGACACAAGTTCCTTCAGGATCTTCAGGGCCAGTGGATAATATAAATATATTGTTCATCTCAAAATTGATCCTCTCCACGGCACCCGGTTAGAGCTTCTGACTGAGCTGGTGCATGCTGATGCTCACACAGCAGGGTGAATCTCTTTTGGTTTCCTTGAGCACAGACTCTGTCCCATTTACCTTCTTTGAGAGAGTGTCAGACTGACCAGAATGCCAGCTGCCTCTTTATTAGATCCATCTTTAGCTGTTGTCACCCAGAAAGGTAAAGAGGGCCGGGTGCAGTGGCTCATACCTGTAATTCCAACACTGGGAGGCCATGGCAGGAGGATCGCTTGAGCCCAGGAGTCTGGGACCAGCCTGGGAGACGTAGTGAGACCCCATCTCTACAAAAAATAAAAATATTGGCCAGGCATGATGTTGTGCCCCTGTGGTCTCAGCTACTTGGGAGGCTGAGGTGGAGGCTCACTTGAGCCTGGGAGGTCAAGGCTGCAGTGAGCCGAGATCACAGCCACTGCACTCCAGCCTGGGTGACAGAGCAAGATCTTCTCTTAAAAAAAAAAAAAAAAAGGGGGGGTTGAAGGGTTGAGGAGGGTAAAGAATGTCAGATCTCACGCATGGCATGGCGTGTAGCCTGACCCACAAGATTCTGATAGGGCTGATAAGGCAGGCTGAAGTCAGAGGCTGAGAACTCAGCCTCACATTTCTAACTGTGCTTGAGAAATGGAAGTCTTATGCCAAGAGGAGTCAATAGATGTCAACAGGTTTCAAAAAATAGAATAATGTGTCTGGGCAGGGGAAGATGACACATTGAAACAGCCAAAGAGCTGACGTCCTTTGTTGCTGCTCTGACTTGGACATGTGACCAGTCAGTCATGTAGTAAATATTTAGTAGATGTCCTCTAAGTACCTGGGAACATCATCATGAAGAAGACATGCAGGGTCTTGGTCTTCATGGAGCCAAGAGTTAGTGAACCCCGAATGTCTCTGTGCCATTCTTCCCTACTGAGAATGATGTTGAATGAGGAAAGGCCAAATAAGTAACTTTTTCTAAAATGTTTGGAGTATCTGGGAGTCTGAGGATACAGCAAAAGCAAACAGTTTCTTCCACTACACTCTCACAACACACTTCTGACACCAAATGTGTGGGGGTTTTCCCCACACACCAAGCAAGCAATCGATTCTGCAACCAATGCCAGCTGGATATCCTCTAATTCAATTCAACTCTTATACTACCTAGCTGGAGATAGCATCAGGTCCCACAGGCTGAGGGCTCAGTCCCACAAGCCTGTCTCCACTTATAATTACAAGTAATAGATTGTCACCTATATTTCCAACCTCACAGGCTATAAATTGGGGTTTCTACTATCCCCTTCTCAGGTTTGACTAATTTGCTAGAGCAGCTCACAGAACTCAGGGAAACACTTTACTTACACTTATAATAAATTGGCTTATTATAAAGGATATTACAAAGGAAACAGATGAAGAGATGGAAGAAAAGCACAGGAGAAGGCATGTGGGAAGGGGCCTGGAGCTTCCATGCCCTCCCTGGGGGCGCAACCCTTCAGGAACCTCCAAGTGTTTAGCGATCTGGAAGCCCTCTGAACCCCATTCTTTGTGTTTTTATGGAGACATCATTATGATTGAGTAAATCATTGGCCATTGGTTATCAACTTAACTTTCAGCCCCTCTCCCCTCCCCCGAGGTTCGGGGATGGAGCTCGAAGTCCCAACCCTCTAATCATGTCTTGGTCTTTCCTGTGACCAATCCCATCCTGAAGACACATAGGGGCTGACAGCCGTCAGTCAACTTATTAGCATACAAAAAAATCACCTTAGAGATTAGGAGTATTTAGGAGTTGTATGCCAGGAAATGGGGATGAAGACCAAATATATATTTCACAATATCACAGGGAGAAAAACTTGAATTTTACTTCATCAGTTATCCATGTCTTCCAGTTTGGAACAGCACAGTGATAAGATGGAGATAGAAATGAGGATGGAGAGAGATAAACAGGTAACTAGTCAAGCCTGCTTGTCCTAGATGTGTTTAAATGTGATTGTTGGCATAACCTCTCTGAGCCATGCTATCCTCAGGGTATACTCTTTAGGGCTTTTATTAACTCATTTGCTCAATCACTCATTTATCAAATATTTACTGTGTGCCTACTATATTAGGCACTGTGCTAAGTGCTGGGAGCTCAAAGTCAAGATGTGAGCTTTGACCCCAAATAAGCTTTTGTCCAGTGGTTGAGATTGTCATGTAAATAAGCCATCACATATACTACAATAAAGGTCTGTATAGGATATAGTGGGGCACAAAGGAGAGATTCACCAACTCTACCTGAAGAAGTCAGCATCTCTTGAGCTGGGGTCCAAAGGATGGTTATGAGTTCACCTGGCAGACAAAAAACAATGATGAGGGAAAAACAATATGGAAACAGCAAGTCAAGCTAAAGAAATGACAAGAATGTTTGCGAAGCTAGAGGATGAGATGGTGACAGTGTTTAGGAGCATGAAGAGGACAAGAGAGGTAATGATTAAAAGTGAGAATGGAGAAATAGCCACTAGAGCACAGGAGCCTAACATGTCATGATAAGGAGTTTGGACTTAATCCTGTAGGTCATGTGGAGTCACTGATGCTTCTTAAACAAGGAAATAACACTCTTGTTTGCATGTTATCTATATATATATTTTATAAATCATGATGTATTTTATGAAGTTTACTCTGTCAGGGAGACAGACTGAAGAAAGCAGGGTGAGACTAGAAGCAAGAAAACCATCTAGAGGGGTATTTGTCAATATTCCAGTTACAATTCACACACACACAAAAACCAACTTAAACTAGCTAAGCTAAATTTCTGGGGAGAGAGACACAGTCACATAATAGAGTGCAAAGGCTTCAGGCACAGCTGGATCCAGGAGCTCAAACAAGGACATCAAGTGTCTCTCCATTTCTTGACTCTGCTAGTTTTCTCTTTTCTTTATGTGTTATGTTCTCTAATACCACAGACAGATTATGTCCAATGGCAGGAAGGATGGTTGCTGGAAACCTCAAGTCTATATTTTTAATAACAAGAGCTATATAACTTTTGGTTCGGAAGTAAAAGAGACCCTCTTTTTCCCAGAATCCTTATATCAAATTTCATGGGAGCACTCTGATGGGCTCTGTGTAGAACATGTCTCCCAATGGACAAGAGTTTTGGGCACTATGATTGTCCAGGCCATGGTTATGTGGCCACTCCTGTGGACTGGGGCAGCAGGTGTATCTTGACCATCAGTTTCCTCAGGAAATGGAGGAAGGGCACTTCCCTAAAAGATAAACTGGTGCAGTTACCAAAAGAAGGAATAGCAAGTGTGTAGGACAGATACAACTAGATCTGCCAAAGTTAACTTCACTTGGGTAGAAACTAATGAAGAATTGGGCTTGAGAAGGACAACATAGATCCATTGACTTTTTTAAAAACAAATTTTAAAGAGTTAGAATGAATCAGAGTTTGCAATAGAATCGAAATAGGAAAGATAGGAGCAGAGGGCCTTTTGCAAAATCTTAGGGCTCTTACTTGGATGAATACGTTTGGGGCAGTGTATTTAATTGAAATTTAAAAAACTGGCCCAGCACCGTGGCTCATGCCTGTACTCCCAGCACTTTGGGAGGCTGAGGTGGGTGGATCACCTGAGGTCAAGAGTTCGAGACCAGCCTGGCCAACATGGCAAAACCCTGCCTCTACTAAAAATACAAAAATTAGCCTGGCATGGTGGCATGTGCCTGTAATTCCAGCTACCCTGGAGGCTGAGGCAGGAGAACTGCTTGAACCCAGGAGGCAGAGGTTACAGTGATCCAAGATTGTACCAGTGCCCTCCAGCCTGGGTGATAGAGTGAGACACTGTCTCAAAAAAAAAAAAAAAAAAAAAAAAAGCCTAGAAGGTAAGTAGGTTTGAGCCACTGGAGTGGGTAGATGCAGATGGTGAGTCCAGCTGTGAGTGCTCAAATGGCCTGCAATGTAGTGTTCGGTAAGGGTGCATAATTTGCACTGAGATTGGTCACGGGTTGGGTGAAAGGAATGGAAGGAGGGAGATGGTGGTTAAATGAGAATGAGACGTGGAGGGAAACTAGCAGCCCCTTCCTCAGGACTGACAGCTGTCTCAATCACCAATCCAGGGTCGAGTTAATTGCAGTGAGCCCCATTCGCTGTCAGTGCCAGGGTACTGATAAATATGCTTGATGAGTACATGCAAGATTGAAGGATATTCGCTTTCTTCATGTTTGTATCATATGTTCTGTGTGGAGCAATTCATATTCTGTGTGTAGGATACTTGTGTAGCTCATTTATGTTACAGTTTCTGTGCAAAGGCTACTGCTGGTTGCTAGAGCTTTAGAGGACTTGGTGTACTGAAGACCAAGAGGGCCTTTGTGGTTCGGGTTGCCTGTCAGGTGAGGAGTTGTCCTGGAGAAGGTTGTTAAGAAGCAGTAATTTCTGAAGAGCAGCTTTCTTGCCAGGCTTATTGGCAGAGAATGCAGTGATGGTGGCAGCTCCCTCGGGTTTGGGGAAAGGCTGGTTGGCAGGGCTACAAGAGGCTCCCAGCTGCTAAAACTCTCTCAACTGGCTTTATGGACTGAGAGAGAGGCAGTGGGAGCTGCCAAGGACATGACATTTCTCATGCTAATTAGGAAGGGAGGCAGCATCCACAGCTGTGTTGATTTATGTTTTGATGTTGGACATTAGGCCTTGTCTAAGTATAGGTGAGAACGAGGACCTCTGCTTTGGAATCACTCCCAGAGCTTTTGTGTCAATCTCCCCTGTCCTCATACACACACAGAGTGCCTGAGCTCAGCCTCTTTTCATGCCGCCTGTACTGGGGTCACCAGCCTCCCCCTCCTAACCCACCCTTATAACCAGAGCAGATCCGAGCTGAGACTGGGAGCATCTGCCAGCGTCAGGGCACACTGACATCCTTGTGCTCTTATTCGTTAGTTATGCTCACCCATGACACCAAGCTTTTTGACATATGCGGGCATCTTTGGGGGAAGAAACTCCTTCTGTTTGCAAGTGATCCTGATGCTGTGTGTGTGCACACACACGAGTGCAGAAGGGCTTGTACATTCTTGGAAAGAGGCCCACAATACATTGTTAAATGAAAAAAGCAAGTTTGAAAACAGTACATAGAGCATGAACCTGGTGTCATGAAATATATTATGAATACATATATGTGTCTATGTAGTTATATACAAAGCAAGCATGAGAGAATGATGCTAAAATGTTAGTAGTGGTTTTCTCTGTGCTATATGATTCAGGGTGGTTTGTGTGAATATGTATGTTTTGAATTTTGGCTTCTTTATTGTTACCTTCTAATTTTTCTTTAATGAGTATATATATAGAGAGAGAACTTATATAATAAGAATACTACTACTAATGATAATAATAATACACATCAGGCAACAAGAGACTTAAGTGACCTACTATCCTGATGCGTCTGCAACACCTGAAAAACAGTCGGGATGGACCTGTGAGAAATCAAGACAGAAAATGTAAAAGGATTCAGAGGACTCTGCCTCTCAGTCCTACTTGGGGTTTTTGTGCGTCTGTATCTAACATGCACGCACTTCTCTAAGTGTGTTGACCCATCCAGAGGATGTGTTGTCCGAGTCTGTCCATGCAGGGAGCAAGAGAAGACGGGGTGACTAAGCTGGATTGGAGGTGGGGGCGGAGGCAGTGGGGGCGAGGTAAATAAAAGATGAGCAGAACTTTGCTGACTATGTTGACTAACTGGGATTTTTGCTGCCAAATTACCTGTGAACAGTATTCATATGACTAGGCTATGCTACTCGAGCAAAGCAGGTAGGACTCACTCCATTAATTTTTCTTTTAATTTAGAAAAACCCTCCTTCTATTACCTATCCACCACGCCAACCCCTATTCTAGGATCATAAAACCCACCACAAAATTTGAGTCACTGAGTTTCTTGGAGTCTGACACAGTTGGAAGTGTGAAAGGCAGCCATCTGGCAGGCCAGAAAGCACGTGGTTTTGAAATATTTATTTCCGTGAAGCATTAGCTATGATTTTTAACCATGTGCTGGAAGTTCAGAGCAGAAGCAAAGCTTGGGGCTCTGGCCAGCCAACCAGGAATTGTTGCCTGAGCTTCTCCTCCTAGGAGAAAGTAGGTAACAGGGAGAAAGGGAAAAATTAATGCCTGCTTCCCTTCCCCCTGGGTAGGCCCTTTTGTGGCATTTTTGTAGGGATGTTGGTTGAGAGTAGAGTCTGCTGATGCCAAGATTAACAACCCAGGATACTCTTGGAGGCCCCGTGAGTGTTAAAAGTGTTTTACAGAGCTGGGTAATTAAGAGTGGAGGAGGAGAGTCCATCTTAATCAGCAGCATGAGTTTAAATTTTGAACTCCCTGGTAAAGTATCTGCAAGGGCCATTACCTTTCATTAATTACGCAATAAACAACTCTTCAGTGGAAAAAGACCACTGGCTACAGGAGGAAGCAGAGTTGGGGCAGTTCAGGTGCCCTCTGGGTGACAGTCACATCCTGGACCCAGGGAGACAAATCCTACCTGCTGCAGCTTCCTGCACAGAAGCTCAGCTCCTAGGGGACCAGCCCCTTTCCCAGGATGGGAAATGGATCCCCTCGTCCACATCCAATGGAGTCATTATGTGCTATTTCCCTATCTACAATTGTCAGAGAAAATGGGAGCAGCAAAGATGGAAAGAACAAAGACTTTTTTTGTTTTTGTTTTGTACATTTCCAGCTGAAGCAGTGAATATTGAATCACTTTTACATGAGAGATGTTCTTGGGACTTTTCCAGATTATTTCAAGAAGGCAGGCACTCTCTGAAAATGAGCATTCTGCTTTTGGGTTAATTTCTGAAGGCCATCTGTGATTGATTTACTAGAGTGCTAATAATATTTTGCTTTCCTCTGTTTTCTCTCCAAAGCATCCTAAACTTCTTCCCTAATCCTGTATACCCAGCTCAGCTGTAGAGAAGCCAAAGTCACAGACTGTAAGACTCCATGGTATTTACAGCTTTATGGGAAAGCTAACTTATGGGCTGGTGGTTTTCCTCCTAACCCTAATGTTAGGGGCCAGGGGGAGCACCTTCTATTAAAACAGAACTGTACCTGAGATCTGAGGATTTCTTTTATGGAATAATATCTTCTGTGCTACAGAAAATAAAGTCATAGAAAAAAATAGTGGTAGGGCTCCAGAGAAGCCAGTAAGAGGTGATATGTCAAACCTGGCTGTAACGCCCACAGCTGCTGATGAATATTGAGCCAGACACTGTGCTGGGCACTTGTCATGGATGATCTCATTCAATTCTTGACAGCTCCATGAGGAAGGTACTAACTAGTGTGACCACATCTCAGATGGGTAAACTGTGCTTTAGAAAGGTTAAGTAACTTGCCCAAGCCTTAATGTTAATGTGGGGTCAGGATTTGACCCCACATCATTCTATACAATAACTTGTGTTTCTTACACCCAACACTGTATTCTCTAGAATGAAGTGGGGAGGATGCATCTGGCAATTAACCCATCCTCTTTAGAAATTATCCTCTGAGTTCCAAGATCCATTTCCTACCTTTAACCCAACTCCTCCTTCTTCAACTCCAATTATAGGGCCCCACTCAGTGGTCTACATCAGTAGTCCCCAACCTTTTTAGCACTAGAGGCCAGTTTCATGGAAGACAGTTTTTCCACGGATGCGACGGGGGATGGTTTCAGGATGAAACTGCTCCACCTCAGATCATCAGGCAATAGTTAGATTCTCATAAGGAGCGTGCAACCTAGATTCCTCGCATGTGCAGTTCACCATAGGGTTCACGCTCCTATGAGAATCTAATGCTGCTGCTGATCTGACAAGAGGCGGGGCTCAGGTGGAAATGCTCGTTCATGCACCGCTCACTTCCTGCTGTGCAGCCCCGTTCCTAACAGGCCACAGATGCGTATTTGTCTATGGCCTGGGGGTTGGGACCCCTGGTCTACACGATCTTCACTCCCTTTGCACTATGGCTTATTGGTGTTAATAGCAGCCTATTTGCTTAAAGGACTGAGGGGTGTCCTGCCGGAGAACTTATCCTGAGGGAGAGAGCAGCGGGAGAGGAGCAATCCCAAGTCCAGGGTGGGGCCAGTCATTAGGATTTGTCCCTAAGTCCGTCTATGAATCCTATAGAGAACCAGAAAAGATCAATTATTTAATAGGTCTATTTTCATTCTTCTCTTGACATTACTATTGCACATGCGTGGCTCATTTCTAATAGAGAAACTTATTAGAGCATCATGGTCAAAGATACCTTTAGGTTTATTTGTCCAGCTAGCCCATTTTCCTTGACACTGCCATTTACAATTATGGAGGCGACTCTTGGCAGCTATGTGCCAGCCTTGTGCTGTGCCCACTCCTTCCTCACCCCACCTCACTACACCTACTGGTGCAGAGCTGAGCTCTCGGCTGAAGCTGGACCACAGTCCCTTCCTAGGAATTAGGAATTGGCACTGAGACAAGGTTAATGGCTGGACCTTAACATGTTAACATGGAAACCATTTCCACCAAGTAATTGATGCACCAAGAAAGCTGGTCTTCAGATAGAAAAAAATAAATCATTTACAGAGAGAGGAGCAGAGCCAAAGGTGGAGAACAAACACACCGGCTTTCCAGCTTCTGTTTCCAGTCCCCTTCTTCTGGCCTTTGGCTGTGGACACAATCTATTTTTTTTTAATAATTCCTTTTTTTCTTAAGCCAGCTTGAGATAGTTTCTAAACTTGCCACAGAGAATGCTAACCTTTCTCAGTTGTATGAGTTAGTACCCGATATAATCTGTTCATTGGAACCAGGTGTTAGGTTCATTTCCCCTCTAGATAAATTAATTTTGCTCAGTCCCGAAGCAAGAGTTTATCTTCTTATCTGTTTTCACAAGGTGGAGAAGAGGGTATGGATCAGCACCACTGGTAGATAAACAGCCTAAAAGCAAATGTACTTTTGATAGTGAGCATCTATTATCTTGGAATATGATTGACGGCACATTATCTAACCGTTTTTTCCCCCTCTTCGTGCAGCCTACCACCCTGAGGATGCTAGGTGAACAAATCTTGTAGACAAAAGCAGTTACTTTTCTTTACTTCCCTAGGAAGATGTAAGCCGGCAAGACTGAAAGTCTTTGCTGTTGTCACAAATCAAATAGATAAACTGGGAAGGCTGCAAGGATCTTAGCAGCTGGCCTTGGGAAAGGGGACGAGCAGAAGTGAGAGCCAGGCAGCTCTGGGGATAAATAAGCCAGCTGCAGGGTCAAAAGGACTAAAGTAAGCTGCAAAGTTTCATGACAGAGCAGGGCTGCAGTCTCCACCCTCCTTCCTTCACATCCCCTGGAGGGATAGCCGGGCAGGGATAAGGTGCCTGTATTCATTCCCTAGGGCCGCTGTAACTGAAGGACCACAAACTGAGTGGCTTAAAACAGCAGAAATGTATTGTCGTACCTTTCTGGAAGCGGGAAGTTCAAAGTCGAGGGGTTGGCAGAACCGTGCTCCCTCTGAAACCTGTGGGAGGATCCTTCCTTGTCTCTTCCAGCCTTTAGTAGCCTCCATAGCCTGCAGCTGCGTAACACCAATCTCTGCTGTGTCATCAGGTAACATTCTCCGTGTCTTCACGTGGTCTTCCATCTGTACAAGTTTGTGTCCAAATTTCCCTCCTCTTATCAGAACACCACTTTTATTGGATTAGGGGCCCACCCTACTACAATATGACTTCATCTTAACTAATTAGAATCTGTAATGACCCTATTTTCAAATAAGGTCACATTCCTGAGATTCTGAGAGTTAGGACTTGAACATATCTTCTTGAGGTAGGGGGCATCATTCAAACCATAACAGCCTCCACAGGAGTCTGGCAAATTTGAGCTTGACTTGAAGCAATGTAAATATCCCAAGGAGCCTGATGCAGTGGGTATATTCAGGGAGCTGATGAGACTAGTGGTCGGTCAATTGACCATAGTAACCATAGTAACTCAAATGAACCTAACACCTGGTTCCAATGAACAGATTATATCAGGTGCTAACTCACACAGCTGAGAAAAGTTAGCATTGTCTGTTGCAAGTTTAGAAACTATCTCAAGCTGGCTTAAGAAAAGTGACCACTAGTCAGAAGACAATTTTCATCAAGAGACAAGATTGCGAATTTATCCTAAAGGAGGAAATGACCAGGCATGTGACCCTGGGAAAAAATCTTGCTCAAAAAGAAGGGCAATTTTGAGGACAGTGTCTGGTCAGTTTCTTAGATTGCCTTCAGGTCTGGCAATTATTAGCATATAGGAATACAAGCGTCCAAAATGGAAAATGTGGAAAATTCCATAACATAGATTGGAATCCATACCTATGGATTGATATGATACCCAAAATGAGTTACTGTGGTTACCAAGATTCTATCTACACCCTCAGAATGGTGAGATCTACTTGTAGCTGCCCAATGGATTCACCTTGCCTGCTGCATAGACAGAGCCAATTTATCAAGACAAGGGAATTGCAACGGAGAAAGAGTAAGTCACGCAGAAACAAGAGACCGGAGTTTTGTTATTATTCAAATCAGTCTCCCTGAACATTAAGGGATCAGAGTTTTTAAAGATAATTTGGCAGGTAGGGGCTTGACAAGTGGGGAGTGCTGATTGATCAGGTTGGAGATGGAGTCATAGGGGGTTGAAATGAGGTTTTCTTGCTGTTTTCTGTTCCTGGGTGGCCATAGCAGAACCGCTTGAGCCAGATTACTGGTCTGGGTGGTGTCAGCTGATCCATGGAGTACAGAGTCTGCAAAATATCTCAAGCACTGATCTTAGGTTTTACAATAGTGATGCTATCCCCAGGAGCAATTTGGGGAGGTTCAGTCTCTTGGAGCCAGAGGCTGCATGACCCCTAATCTATAATTTCTAATCTTGCAGCTAATTTGTTAGTCCTGCAAAGGCAGACTGGTCCCCAGGCAAGAAGGGGGTCTTTTTGGGAAAGGGCTATTGGCAATTTTGTTTCAGAGTCAAACCATAAACTGAATTCCTTCTCAAAGTTAGTTTGGCCTATTCCCAGGAATGAACAAGGACAGCTTAAAGGTTAGAAGCAAGATGGAGTCAGTTAGATCTGATATTTTTCACTGTCATGATTTCCTCAGTTATAATTTTACAAAGGCAGTTTTATACTCTACTTACATCAAAATCAGACAGGTAGCAGCATGGGGCTAGGGAGGAGGAGATTGCAAGAGGCATCTCAGTTTGATCCTGGTTTAAGGTTTGACCCAGGAGAATGAAGTGGGATCTCTTAGTAGAGTTTCAACCAAGGGAGATGGGTCTCACGGCAGGGCTGCTATCCCAGCATAGAAATTGGAGTATGATTGAGAAATGCAGGCAGAAGTCCCAGGGAATGGGTTGGGCATTTGTGGTTGGGATTAAGGAAAGGAGGACTCATAATTAGATTCTGGGTTTATGGAAGCTTGATTGCTGGAATCCCTTATTTGCCTCTCCACCTGAAGGAATAGGATTCTGTCCTTCACATTTCTAGTCCCATCACAAAACTTAAGGCATTTTTCAAATCAAGGGCCCAATGGATATTTGTTGAATGAAGGAACACATGCACACACAACTTGGTCAGGAATGGCTCACACATAGGGCAGGATGAACCCAAGAAATTAGATCTCATAGTTGAGAGAAACAGAGCTTATGCTACCTATCCCTGGCATAGAGTGAAGAGGACAAAAACATGAGGCAGAGAACAGAGAGGATGCTGGGAAGCATTGTAACGCCTGCTGAGTTGAAGTTGTATTATTAGTTTTGTAATATATCAATAGCTACTCCATATTAACATGTAAGAATTTATTATCTCTGCAACCGAAAGATGAATTCAAATTATTCTTGCATTGTTTCTCTCCATTCTTTAATTAGTTATATTGATTTCTTCTGTCTGGGAAATATATCAGAACCAAAGCATAATTATCATGAAGTCTTATTCCTGTTAAAGTACTAGAAATATTCCTGGGATACTTAACACTCCATTGCATACCCCTGTTGTTACAGTTCACTAGTGTTAAACGCAGAGAATTTAGGGGAGAAATCCTGGTTTCCAGTCTAGTGATAAAATCAAAGACTTATAGCATTGGAGGTCATATTAGAGAGCTTTTCTAATTTAAAGGAACTCCCAATAAAGGAACTTCCATGAACTTGGCTGAAACCTGATCATCTACCATAATGAGAACACTTCCAGTGATAGACAGCTCACCTGTTTTCCAGGCAATCAACTTTATTCTTGGACAGCAGCCAGAGAATCTGACTCAGTAGGTCTGGGATGGGACCCAATAATCTGTATTGTAATATCAATGATATTGTGTTATCAACTTATAACAATGTTTGACCATGTTTTAGAACCACTGTTTTAAATTAGCAATTTTCAAAATTATTTTAGCAAGGTAGCCTATTTAGATAGAAAATCATATTTTACCCAGAAGCAGGACCTTCAAGGAAGGGCAGAGAGTAGGGGGGTCATTAGGCTGGAGCTCTGAATTCAAGGAATTTTCAAATATAGGTGAGTGTCTGGTGATGACGGTAAGGTCTGATTATAAATGTTTGTCCTAACCATAGCCTGTCAGCTTGTAATAGCTAACTCTAAAGATGGGAAAATAGACCTATGAGTAGGGCATCGACAAATCTAAAAATGGTCCAGGCACCACTTTGCTCTCAGAACACCCGTATAGTAGGCAAACACACAAAACCCATAAAAGAGGAGCTGGAATGGATTTCTAAGGCCTTCCTGCTCAGGTCTCTTCCGCCTGCCCCTCACCCCACAATGTGCCCACAGGGGCAAAGAACTCCCTGGTGTTCATGATTTGCAAACCATTGCTTGAGAAGTATTCATCTAGATATTTTCCTTTTGTCAACATCTCCCTTAATCTGTAGCAGTCAAAATGGTTCATATGCTCAGCAATCTATGGAAAGGTGCAGGCATAATTTATTATAAGAAGGAAACCAATGCATTATCATTTCACCACAACCACACAGAGACCAAAAGATGTCCCAAAGCATAGCTTTCTTCTGAAGATGTTTTCATTTGTTTCATTCCCTGAAGGCCTCATGGAGCCACTTCTCCCTTTGGTGTCCTGACCTCTTTACTCTGTGCCCCAAATTTCCTGGATCCTCCCTGAAAGGATGGATGAAATTCCTTACTTTCTGTCATAGGAGTATGTTTAAATGTTCCAAATTCATTAGGATGGAACAGTCCCAAATCTACCTTTGCACCATCTCCCATAGAATATTGTTGAAGAGTTGCTATGGTAAAAATATTGGCTTTTTTACTATGTCTTACAAAATATACTCTTCCCACCAGGGTGAAGTGAAGGAAGGAATGAAGAGGATGAGAGAAACAGAAATCTCAGCCTCCACATAGATGGTCCAGATAGGGTCTGGGTGAACAATCAGAAGGGATGAATACATTCTAAGACACACATTTTTCCTCACATTTTAGCATCTCTGAAATTGGGTGACAGCTTACAATCAATAGAGTATCTTAGTTTATTTGGCAGTTTTTGTTTCTCAGTTGTAGATAAAATAGTAGTGCATTTACAGTGGATGGTGACTTAGATTCAATGAAAGTCAATACTTTGAACTTGCTTTTCCTCTTTCTGAAAGTAGCTTATCCCAGTGACCTGGAGTCAACATTCTTGGGGAATAACCCTTCTGATGACTTTGGATTTGCTATGAACAAATGACAGCTTTTGTCAAATGCCTTGATGAATAAAAGATAGAGCATTTCTAAGATTTACCAATCTAGTGACTCTTTTTTTTTCCTTTAAAAAAAAAAAAAGGCAATTGGCTGGGTGTGATGGCTCACGCCTGTAATCCCAGCACTTTGGGAGGCTGAGGTGGGTGGATCACGAGATCAGGAGATCGCGACCATGCTGGCTAACACAGTGAAACCCCTCCTCTACTAAAAATACAATTGAAAAAAAAAATTAGCCGGGTGTGATGGCGGGTGCCTGCAGTCCCAGCTGAGGCTGAGGCAGGAGAATGGCGTGAACCCGGGAGGCGGAGCTTGCAGCGAGCAGACATCGTGCCACTGCACTCTAGCCTGGGTGACAGAGCGAGACTCCGTCTCAAAACAAAACAAAAAAAAGGACTGATTAACTCAATCAGCAAATTTTTTATTGAATACCTGCTATGTGCCAACTATAGTGCTAAATGTGAATGTATATCTATATCTATATCTGTGTTGAACAACACAGGTAACGTCATTGTTCTTAAGAAGCTTTTTGCCAGGTGCAGTGGCTCATGCCTATACTCCCAGCACTTTGGGAGGCCAAAGCAGGTGGATTGCTTCAACCTAGGAGTTCAAGACCAGCCTGAGCAAATGGCAAAACCCTGGCTCTACTAAAATATAAAAATTAGCTGGGTGTGGTGGCAAGCCCTGTGGTCCCAGGTACTTGGGAGGCTGAGGTGGGAGGATCACTTGAGCCTGGGAGACAGAGGTTGCAGAAAACTGAGATCAGATCATGCCACTGCACTCCCACTTGGGTGACAGAGCAAGACCGTGTCTCAAAAAAAAAAAAAAAAAAAAGAAGAAGAAGAAAAAGCCTTTTGTTTTCTAGGACATTGCTGTCCAATAGAAATATACTGGAAGCCAGCCGGGCACAGTGGCTCATGCCTGTAATCCCAGCACTTTGGGAGGCCGAGGTGGGCGGATCATGAGGTCAGGAGATGGAGACCATCCTGGCCAACATGGTGAAACCCCGCCTCTACCAAAAATACAAAAAATTAGCCGGGTGTGGAGGCGCACGCCTGTAGTCCCAGCTACCAGGGAGCCTGAGGCAGGGGAATCGCTTGAACCCAGGAGGCGGAGCTTGCAGTGAGCCAAGATCACGCCACTGCACTCCAGCCTGGTGACAGAGCAAGACTCCGTCTCACAAAAAAATAGAAAGAAAAAAGAAAAAGAACAAAGAAATATACTGGAAGCCACACATGTAATTTTATTTTTTGAATGGTCACATTACAAAAAGTGAGGAAACAAATAAAATTAATTTTAATAATAGATTACATTTAACTGAATATATGCAAAATATTTATTAATGAGGCATTTTGCATTTAACCTGTTATTCGAAAACCAGTGCGTATTTCATCTGCAGCACATCTCAATTAGGACTAGCCACAGTTTAAGTGTTCAATAGCCACATGTAGCTAGTGGCTGCCAAATTGGACAGGACAGTTCTAGGAAGTGCTAAACAAGCAAATAAGATTATTTTGTATAGGAATATGATCTATGAAGAAAATAAAATAATATTGTGGAATCAAGAGTGAATGGGAGTTATTTTAATAAAGCCTTTTATTTTATTGTAACACAAGATTTACCCTCAACAAATTTTTAAGCATATAATACATTCTTGTTGATCATAGGTACAATGTTCTGCTGCAGGTTCCTGGAACTTATTCATCTGACATAATTGAAACTTTGCACCTGTCGATGAGTAACCCTTCATTTCCTCCTCCTCCCAGCCCCTGGCAACCGCCGTTCCATTCTTTGATTCTAGAGAATTTGACTATTTCGGATACCTTGTATAAGTGGAATTATGCAGTATTTGTCCTTTTGTGGTTGGCTTATTTCACTTAGCATAATGTCCTCAAAGTTCATCCATATTGTCACATATTGCAGAAATTCCTTCTTCTTCTTTTTTTTTTTTTTTTTTTTGAGACAGAGTCTTGCTCTGTCACCCAGGCTGGAGTGCAGTGGCGTGGTCTCAGCTCACTGCAACCTCCACCTCCCAGGCTCAAGTGATTCTCCTGCCTCGGCCTCCTGAGTAGATGGGATTACAGGCACGTGTCACATGCCTGGCTTATTTTTGTATTTTCGGTAGAGACCAGACCAGGTTTCACCATGTTGGCCAGGCTGGTCTTGAACTCCTGACCTCAAGTGATCTGCCCACCTCGGCCTCCCAAAGTGCTGGGACTGCAGGCGTGGGCCACCCCAGTGGCCTAAATTTCCTTCTTTTTAATGGCTGAATAGTAATGGTCTTTTTTTGAGAAGGTAGTATTGAGATGATCTAATAGGTGAGAAGTAGCTTGCTATGCTGAAATGGGATGTAATGAGGGCTCCAGGCCTCAGGAATCATCATAGCAAAGTCCCTTGGAAAGAATGAATTTGGTGCATTATAGAAATGGAATGAAGGTGGCTTTAGCAGAGGGAGAGCTTGTATGTGTGTGCAGTGGGTGGGGATAGGGGTGAGGGGTGGACTAGGTGGGTAGAGTGATAGGGGACCAAGAAGGAGAAGTAAACAGGCACCAAATTATGAAGGGTTTTTCGGGCATTGTAAAGACTAGGGTCGGCTGGGCCCCGTGGCTCACGCCTGTAATCCCAGCACTTTGGGAGGCCGAGGCGGATGGATCTTGAGGTCAGGAGTTGGAGACCAGCCTGGCCAATATAGTGAAACCCTGTCTCTATTAAAAATACAAAAAAAAATTAGCCGGGCATGGTGACAGGCACCTGTAATCCCAGCTACTTGGGTGGCTGAGGCAGGAGAATTGCTTGAACGTGGGAAGCGGAGGTTGCAGTGAACCAAGATTGCGCCATTGCACTCCAGCCTGGGTGAGAGTGTGAGGTTCCGTCTCAAAAAAAAAAAAAAAAAGACTAGGGCAATGATGTTGGTTTATACATATAATCACACTAGTTTCTGGTGACCACTGCATTCATTTTTAAAGTATTCACATCCGCTTGTTTAATAATCAACTCTGGAATTTTGCTGCAGATTGATGTCTAGATTTTCAGTGTGAGGTTTTCAGAAGCTACCTCCCTTTCCCTTGTTCAAAGTTGGGGCATTGTCTTTTGGCATCTCTCTCTCTCCTCTTTTCTGTCATTTTCAATGACAGAAAACTGGAGTGATGCTGAGTTCACACCTTCAAGTTCCTCCAGTGCTCAAGGACGTTGTCCAAACGGGCCTGGGAACGTGAACACATTTTCAGTGAGTAAATTCTCTTTTACTAGATTGTCACATATCTTCACCTTCATTTCTCTTTTTATGGCATTTGTACTATTCTTTTCAGTTTGAAGATATCACTTCCTAAAGAAAGCAGAAGTACAATAGCATCTGAATTAATTTCACTTTCCACTGGTTGTTAAAAATATATCATTTTCCCTCCCTTCTCTTTTTTGCTCTGAACATACCAATCTTGGTTGAAATTTTTATATGAGTTTCAGCTCATGTAGTATATTGCTTTCTAAATATTGGTATTTATACTATCCCTTTGTCTTTTGTACTTTGGACAATTGATGGTGGTAATCACCTTCCTCCCAGATCCCCCAATATCAGGGCGTTTTTGACTCTTCAGTTCCCATATGTCCAAAATCTGGCAGTTCTTAGGTTAGCCATGACTCTCAATTGCGTGTTACAGAAATCCAGTCCAACTGATTTGAGCCAAAAGAAAATAGGCTGGCTCACATGATTGGAAAGGCTGTCTTTGTCTTTTTTTTTTCTTTTTTTTTTCATTCTTGAAAGGTTCTCTAGCTTGGCTACACTAGCCTAAAAAGGAAAAAACAAACAAACAAAAAAAACAAAAAAAGTCCCAGATAAAACTTTTATTTGCCCAGACTTAGGTTACATGCCTACTCCAAACCTGTCCTCATGGGGATATGGTGATCTCATTGGCCAGTGGTGATCACATTCACCACTCAAGCCACATGGCCTGTGAATGGTAAAGGTGGTCCCTCAAAGGAAGAGCAATCAGAATTCTGTATGAGAAGAGGTGTGGGGGGATGGATAATAGGTAAGTAGGAAATAGCAAAGGACCCTTAGAGTCTCATGTCTTATTGCTTCTTCCTTTACGGTGTCACTTGTACTTGTTCTCTTCTTCCCATTTCCCGGGGTTACATTTGATTTTTGCCTCGGTTGTTGAAAAAGCCCCTTCACTCATCTTTCAGCTTCTTCTCTGTTTTGCACAGCCGTGTTGCATGATTCATGGGGCACCATTTATATGAACATCTCTCTGAATGCACAGTGCAACACTGTGGACCAATTTTCTCCCCAACACCGTTCCTTCCCAGGCGATGCCCTCAGACTAAGCTTCCAAAGTGTAGTTCTAAACATACCAGAATCTGCAGAGGCTACCAGGCCAGAAAAAAGTCAGATCATTGTTCAGAGCAGGATCGAGAAACACCATATTTAAAGGGTGGGAGCTGGAATGAGATAGAACAATGAAAAGGGAATAGCGACATTGTATTGGATTAGCTGATGAAGGGAACAGGAGACAGACAGTATAAGAGACAGTTTCCTAAACACATGGAGCTTTTAATATGGTAAAGGGAGAGAACCGCACAAATATCCACTGTGTATACTAGTATGTGGGAGGAGCCACAGGAGGGGTGCTGCCCAAATTTCATAGACAACCTGTGGCTGGAACAATGAGGGACAGCATCGTCAGAGAGGTGGCATTCGAGCGGGTCTTTGGAGGACTGGTAGGGTTGTATTAGCTAAAAGGAGGTGAGGAGGTGGGCAAGCGTGGCACGGAGAATGGTTCGAACAAAGACATGGCAAGTTTGGTGGGAGGTCTGAGAGCGGTGAACAGTTCAGATCGGCTATTTCACAGGGCGGACTGTAAGACTAATTTTCGGCTAGATTGTGGAGGGTGTTGAATAGCATTGGAGTTTGAAGATGACGAAGATGGTTCAGGTTGCTAAAAAAGAAATACACCCCAAGGACAAACAGACATTTATCTGGTGGCTGGGAGGGCCATTTGCCCTTTATATGCTTTCAAGAGAGGGAGGAGCTGAGTGGCCTGCATTCCTGGGATCTGGCACTGGCAAGCCCCTTTTCCAACTGAGGCACAGCGGGCATCGTCCTGTCCTTAGCATGAGGTGTTGGGCCTGTCACCTTAGCAACCAGGATTCATGCCCCAGAACACATTTTAGCCACGGCCCCAGAGCCGTCCTGATACTGAATCTTGATTCTTGGCCCCATCTTGGCTCCCCAGCCAGGCTGTGCTCATTTGGGATTTTCTACTGTAACTGAGGCGTCCCCAGGGTCTCTCTGGGGTCTTGGAGCAGGCAGGGCGCAGAGTGTCAGGGAAATACAGTGGGTCCTATTTGCATGCTCCGTGTGCGGTATCATTTCCCAGCTGATCTGAAAGGTCAGTCAGCAGATCTTGTTTGTGAAAATAGAAAGGAACATAAGTTGCTGACTATTTCTTTCTTAATTCTTTCTCTTTCCCTTCTACCCTGGGACTGGGAGTTGGGTTATGCTTCTTGCCAGGAGCTTTCCTTCCTTGTCAACTGACTGCCTCTCTTTCTTCCCCTCTCAAAGGGACGCGATGGATTTCTTGGCTGGATTTCTGATAGTTTCTGAAAGGCCTTCACTTCTCTGCTGGCAGAGGCTGGCTTCAGTGTGACTTGTGCAACATGAGACAGTATGTATCAGGACTTCACCCCAAGGTGCCCTGGGGAACACACTCCAGCAGGGCATCCCTGCTGACCCCTCAGGGGTCCCTGGAATGGGGAAGAGGGGAGGGCAGGTGGTGGAGTTATAATACATGTGGGAGGCGTGGCCAGTATAGGTGGCTTCCCATTCCCCAGGACACCAGGCCATTTGGATAAAGTCACAGATGCCTCTTCTCTGGTCCAGACTAGTTCAGAAAGTGCTGGGCAATGAACAGATGCTCAGATGTCCTGTGGAGATGATTCATTTCTGTAAGACTTTTTTCCTACTCCTCAACTGCCTTTCAACAAGAGCTTCCTTCTTCTCCTTATGTTCTGTTGCTGGCAGCAGGGTTAGGAGTAGATCTTCTAAACCAAAATGCAGATGCCTCCAACCCAGCCTTCCAGCAGAACAGATATCAATCCTTTGATTGGAAACAACATTTCTGGGCTCTGGTTGCAAGAGAAACACCCCTCCATCCACTACCTCCACAATACACACATCTCTGTGAAGGAAGCTCACCACTTATTTGTAAAAAGGATGAACACTCTTCAAGTTAAGAGAGAATCAGGTGCTGTGGTGGACCACAAGCCTGAGAATACTCAGCAGTGCAACCCAGTTCCAATGACTGACATGCTTTATGGGACCTGTTTGAGTCAGTCAGACCCAGGTAATAAATCCCAGCTCACCCACTTGCCTGTGAGCCTGGGCATGTCATATTCAGAGCCTCAGTTTCTACATCTGTTCAATAGGACGCCAGCAGTACTCAACAGTGATGTTGGAAGAATTAGACAAGCCACGTGTGCAAAGCGTTTAGTGCAGAGTGTGACACACACTAAGCACTCAATAAGTGGTAGCTACAGGTGTTATTTAGGTGGTAGTTTTGCTATTAGTGTTTGGTACTGATTAATCAAAAGGAGGAAGATGGTCTCGAAGTGGGACCCCGTGTGCTCCCGACTGCTGTTGCTCCCACGAATAGGCCAGGCAGCTGTTACAAAATGGCATTTACATGGGAGCTAATTTAACACAATATTAATTTTTAAGATGCAGCTGGGTCATCTCCGGGCTCCAGGGCCTTCCTACTCACATCTGGCACACTGCCCCACAGAGCCAGTCTTCGCCGTGACTTCCAGATTGACCTCAGGAGGGTGTTTGTGGCTTAGCTATCAAAGGGTTGTTAATTTTACACACATACCACATTAACACACACTTTAAATGGTCTCATTAGTTTTTCTGCTGATATCCAGCTTTGAAATTATTGCTCTCACTGCAGAGCCCCCACAGACATGAGCTCTCATTATTTTTAGGGAGAATACCCACACACACCCATTAATCTAGGGCAGCTGCCATTTGGGCATTCTTTGTGGTTCAATTGGTCCATTATATTGGAGAAGTGGTAAGTCAGAAACCATCATATGCTGTTCAGTTGGGACAGATGCAAGTAGAGTAACTCAATTGCACAAATGCAGGAAAAGAGCTGGCTGCATACTTAGGTGAAAAGAATCAGGTGCTGTGGTGGACCACAAGCCTGAGAATAGTCAGCAGTGCAACTCAGGTCCAATGACTGACATTCTTTATGGGAAGCCTGTGGGCATCTGTTGCTTATCCTCAACCTGGCTAATACCCCAAAGAGGAAGCATTAGATGAAAGCGGGACTTAGTACATCTAACACAATTTCAAGGGAGGTTTTATTAAAGGCTAGCTCCTGGTATAGCTCTATAACAACCCCTTTAGCTCTGAGGGTCAGAATGTTACACTTTATTTACTTTCTCTACAAAGCTCAGAACCTTTACTTCTCAGGATTTCTTTTAAGATAAAAATTACCCTATCAAGTTTTGAAGTTGTGTATGGTGCTGTGTTGAGCCCCTTACAAAGAAGAAAGGGGTAGTGGGGCCAAGCACACACACAAGAAGGTCCTGCAGCCCTGGATGCTCACTCATCTCCACTGGCCATCAGAGGTGGACATCAGTGGGCTGGTGGTTAGAATTCTCTCTTGTGCCCTCCCCTGGCCCCTGTTCTACAGGCTATGGCTGGGCAGCCTGAAAAGTATTAGTCTTCCTCTCTTTCGGGCTGGTGCCTAGAAGCAATGGCCAGCTTCCAACGGGGCTAGAGTGATGGGGACTGAGGACACGGGACTATTTGTCAGACTCAGGCCTCCCATCAGAAATTGAGGAGGCTGGAGGTAAGTCTGCAACTTCACTACCGCAGTCATCCATAAAAAGGAACCCTTGGCTAACCATAATCCACCCCGCAGCCAGATGCTGTGCAGACTCTGTGTGTGTCTCACCAGCAAACTAAATAATAATAATAAACCTCAGTTGTGGGGACCTTCCGCAGGCAGCCCTAAAGCTGCTGGCTCTGGGCCAACACCATCCAGCAAAGTATCCAGGCAGGCACTTTGCAGAAGCAGTTTCTCTGCTGGGTATCATTTAGCAGCCATCCTCCCCTTGGACTGTAAGCTCCGTCAGACCAGGTCTTTCTCACCACATGAAGGCCCAGCATAGAGCTTAGTACCCAGTAGGCACTCAATAAGTATTTGGGCTACACATAAACACACTCCTGAATTAAGAGCTTTGAGCCGCATCATCCTCTCATGGCTGTGTGTGTTTAAAAATGAAAAAATATTTCTTCCAAATAACGAAGAAAAAAAATCAAGTTCAGAACATTATGTACTTTGTGATTCCAGTTCTGCACGAGAGAGGGAGCAAGACAGAGAAAGAGGTAGGGAGAGATAGTGAGGGATGGAGAGACTGTCAGAGGTGGGGAGACCCAGAGAAAGGCTGAACCCTGAAATATGAATAGTGGTTTTCATGGGATGGTAATCAGTTTATCTTTCTTGTTTTTCTATGTATTTTCTAAAAATGTTATATATGTGCATGTATTAGAAACATTTTTTATTAAAATTGTTAACAGATAAACACTCGGAAACCTGTGTTTTATTATGGCAACTTGGCAAATAAAATGTCCCCTTATTTACAGAGTCCCTTTCATCAGCTTCAGCCACCTTATTTATGTGCCCTCCTTTCCTCCCAGGGCTGTGATTTTTATTTTAACTTGAAGAACCAGGTTGCAGAGAGGGAAGAAAAACTCACAAAGCTCCCAGCAATCTAGAGGCTGATTTTTCCCAAGCAAGCAAGTCTCTTTGGGGAGGTGAGGAACGATTGTACTGAATGAAGAGGTGATCTAAGGTCAGCATTAAATAGATGTGTTGCTTTTCCCAGAGTCGGCTGAAAAGATCAAGTGACTTCCTCTACTGAAAAGTTACAATTCGATAATTAACAGAATTTCCTCACAGCTTTATAGGCTTCAACTCTTATTCTCTGAAGTGCTGACCTCATTGCCTCCTCTCCTCTCCAGGAAGCAGCAGTCAGAAATTGGAATTTCAGAGGGGCTGGCAGAGTTGCAATGTACCTGAGACACTAGGTACCAAGGGGAAGTAAGGGAGGGTGGGCGGCGGGAGTGGGGGCAGTGGTTGTTCTCTTTTCGCCTTAATTTCCAGGCATTTCAGAATTAAACTCATTGTTTAAATTCGGTAACTATCTAGTCTCAGATGCTTTTGCATACTACCCGGTTCCTGGTATATAATGTTTTATTCACTTGTTTCTTCTTAATGCAGTTTTATATTGTGATCTGCCTCACAAACGATTGTAATCTACCTTAAATGCCCTTTTGAGCTAGAGTGTAGTACAAATGCATCCATTCACTCATTTATTCTAGCTTAAGGTAAAGGCTAAGCTGCTATAACAAAAAGCGTAGCCCCTGTCTTTCTTACACACACTCCCAACGTGAATTGTCCAGGCTGGCGGCTGAGCATGGTCCAATGTGACCTGAGAGCATGTCTGTTTCAGCTTGTGGGAAGGTGAAAGAGAGGAAATCCAAGGCAGGCTGCTTATCTTTTTTTAAAAACAAAAAATTAATAAACCTTATTTTTTGGAGCTGCTTTAGGTTCACAGCGAAACTGAGCAGAAAGTACAGAGAGTATCCATGTGTCTGCTGCCCCCACATATGTTCAACCTCCCCCACTATCCACATCCCATTCCACAGTGGTGCATTTGTTACAATCACTGAACCTACATTGCCACATCATTATCACCCAGAGTTCATGGCTTATATTACGGCTCACTCTTGGTATTGTATATTCCATGGGTTTTGACAAATGTATAATGACATGTAGCCACCATTATAGTATGGTACAGAATAGTTTCACCAGCCTCAAAATCCTCTGTGCTGTGCCTATTCACCTTTCCCTGCCCCAACCCCTGATAATTCACTGTCGCCATAGTTTTGTTTTTTCCAGAATGCCATCTAGTTGGAATTATACAGTATGTAACTTTTCAGGCTGGCTTCTTTCACTTAGTAATATGTGTTTATGTTTCCTCCATGTCTTTTCATGGCTCATTTCTTTTTAGCACGGAAAAACAACAGCCTATTGTCTAGATGTAGCACAGTGTATTTATCCACTCACCAACCAAAGGACATTTTGGTTGCTTCTAAGTTTTGGCAATTCTGAATAAAGCTGCTATAAACATCTGTGTGCAGGTTTTCATGTGGACATTAAGTTTTCAATTCATTTAGGCAAATAACCAAGGAATGTGTTTGCTGGATTACATGGTAAGACTATGTTCAGTTTTGTAAGAAACTGCCAAACTGTCTTGTAAAGCAGCTGTACCATTTTGCATTCCCACCACCAATGAATGAGAGTTCCAGGTGCTCCACAACCTCATTAGCATCAGATATTATCACTGTTTTGGATTTTGACCGTTCTGATAGGCGTGTAGTGGTAACTCATTGTTTTAATTTGCAATTCTCTAATAATATATGATGTTCAACATCTTTTCTTTTTCTTTCTTTTTTTTTTTTTTTTTAAGACAGGGCTCAGCCTCGACCTCCTGGGCTCAAGCAATCCACTCAACTTAGCCTCTCAAGTAGCTAGGACTACAGGCATGTGCCAACACATCCAGATTTTTTTTTTTTTTTTTTTTTTTTTTTTTTTTTTGTAGAGATGAAGTCTCGCTCTGTTGCCTAGGCAGGTCTCAAACCCCTGGCCTCAAGCTATCCTCCCACCTCAGAATCCCAAAGCGCTGAGATTACAGGCATAAGCCACTGAGCCCAGCTGATATTGAACATCTTTTCATATGCTTACTTGTCATCTCTATATGTCCTTTAGTGATGTGTCCGTTCAGGTCTTTTGCTTATTTTTTAATTGAATTGATCATCTTCTAGTTGTTGAATTTTAAGAGTTCTTTGTATATTTGGATGAGTCCTTTATCAAATGTGTCGTTTGCAAACATTTTTCTCCCAGTCTGTGGCTTGCCTTCTCATTCTCTTGATATTGTCTTTCACAGAGCAGAAGTTTTTACATTTTAATGGAGTCAGATTATCAACTGTTTATTTCATGGATCATGCCTTTGGTGCTATATCCAAAAAGTCATTGCCATACCTAGGTCCACTTGAAAATAACATTATACTACTTCATGGGTAGTGCAAGTATCTTATGATAAAAAAATTTCTAATTCCTCCTTCCCATCTCTTGTATGATTGTTGTCATTCATTTCACTTATACGTAAGCATAAATTATTTTGCACGTTCTTTCTCTTGACTCTAAGTTCCTTGAGGATAGGAATTGTATCATTATTTATTGCTGTATTCTTTCACCTAACTTTTTTCTCAAATGAAATATAATTTACTAATAAGAACAGCAATAAAATCATAATCGCTATGATTTATTCAGTGTATAAATAAATCACAAGTGAGCCAGGTAATTCATTTACTATATCTCATTTCATTATCATAACAATCACCTAAGGAAGGCTGTATTATCCTCATTTTATAGATTACAAAACTGGGATTCAGAAAGCACAAAGTAACTTAAGCAAGGTCCCACAGTTCATAAGTAGTAGATCTAGAATTAAAAACCAAATCTGCTTGACTCCAATTAAAGGCAGCCTTTAAAGAGCATCTGTCAAATGGAGAGATAAGCCTGGAAGACCTCTGCTCCATTCTTTGAAAGACAAGGCCTTATTTTGTCATCCAAGCTGCAGTGCTGTGGCACAATCATAGCTCGCTGCAGCCTCCACCTCCTGGGCTCAAATGATCCTCCTGCCTCAGCCTTCTGAGTAGCTATGACAACAGGCATGCACCACCATCCCTAGCTAATTTTTTTTTTTTTTTGGTAGAGACAGGGTCTCACTTTGTTTCCCAGGCTTTGTTACCTTAAAAAGTTCTGGGCTCAAGCAATCCTCCCACCTTGGCCTCCCAACATGCTGAGATTACAGGGGTGAGCTGTAATGCTCCCAGCTCCCGGCCCATTGAGAATTTTTTAAGAACCTGGTCTATGCCAGTCATTATGTTGGGTACTGGGAATACAAGAGTGAATGACATGATGCTTCCCCTTAAGGAAAATACAGAAATTAGTAGATGTTAGCTACACTAAGGTAAATGCTCTGATACGGACTTGTGAGCACAGAGAAGGGTCCCATCCTGGGAAGTTAAGGAGAGTTTCTGAAGGAGGTCAAATCAGACTGAGGCACGGAAGATGAGTTAGGCAGGTGAAGAAATGGAGGAAGGCTACTCCAGGGCGTGAAAACAACATGAGAAAGTCTCACAGATGTGAGGCAGCGTGAAGGGTGTTCCCCGGACACTCCTTCCCCACTGTCGTGGCGCATTTTCACACGGAGGGAGCTCCCCTTTCAACTCCTTCCCTCTCTCTCTTTACTTCTGCTCACAGTGGCGAGAGGAGAGTGAATTCTGATTAGTAAATCCAAGAATAACCTAAGTGTGCCTGATTCCGCTCTCCTCTTGTTGATGGGAATGGGCTGCTGACAGGGAACATGTGCTTATCTTGTTCTGGAGTTCACAGTGAGGAAGTGCCCTTGTGTGCAGAAAGATGTTTTCTGCAGTATTGACTTCATCAGTAATAAAGTGGGTATGTTGATCTTTCATGTGAGGTCGCCTTGTCATGTTACTTAATTGATTCAGATCTCCAGCAGGGAAGAGAAGTGCGATGTCATGAACCTCCTAGAACCCCAACACAATGACAACAGAAGGTGTGGAGTGGGGAGGGCAAGCGATGTGGCTTGCCAGGTCTGGAAGAGGCTGCTCAAAGGAGGCCTTTATCTTGAAGGCCATGTATGGGATCGCTCTGAACTGGGTTTTATTTATTTTTATTTTTTTTGAGACGGAGTGTCGCTCTGTCACCCAGGCTGGAGTGCAGTGGCACGATCTCGACTCACTGCAACCTCTGCCTCCTGGGTTCAAGCGAATCTCCTGCCTCAGCCTCCCAAGTAGCTGGGACTAGAGGCACCCACCACCACGCCTGGATAATTTTTTGTATTTTTAGTAGAGACGGGGTTTCACAGTGTTAGCCAGGATGCTCTCGATTTCCTGACCTCGTGATCTGCCCGCCTCGGCCTCCCAAAATGCTGGGATTACAGGCGTGAGCCGCCGCACCCAGCCCTGAACTGGGTTTTAAGCTGGCAGGTAACCCACTCAGAATTGTGTTCTAGGTTACTTTCCTTGGCAACACTGGACATGAGGGTAGGCTGTGGGGTAGCAATAAGACCAAAGGCAAGGAGACCAATCTAGAAGTGACTGCATCATGTGCACCAGGGAGGTTGAGGCCTGAGCCATGGCAGGGAACAAACACAGAGAAGAGGGCTGATCAAGCATATGGTTAGGATCCTACATAGAGAAGATGAACGAGCCACCAGTTGTGCTGTTGCGAATAAGGAAGACTAATCTGGGATAAGCCTCGGTTTTCTGACTTTGGTAATTAAGTGGATTAAAATGCCAGTTTCATAGACAGAAAACAAACAAACAAAAAGGATCCAAATAGGGAGATGTGAGGCAATGACCCATCTAGTTTTGCCATGTTGATTTCCATGTGTGGATCTCCAGGGAGATGTCTAGCAGACTACAGTTGGGTAAGAGTCTAAAGTCCAGCAGCAATGTCAGTCTTGGAGATTTACATTTGGGAGCCATCAGCATAGGGAGGTGAGCATTAAAATAATGACTGTGTGAGATAACAAAAAAATAAATCAATAGACCAGAAGAAAACCCTTAGGGGAATGCAAACATTTAAAAGTTGGCAGAGGAGAAAGTCCCTGTAAAACAGAACAAAAAGCAATGATCAGAGAAATAGGAGGAGAATCATAAGAGATGTCAAAGAAGCAGAGAATTTGGAAAGGTCTGGATAAGAAACAGTCTCAAATGAAAAGCCCAGTTAGAATAACACTGGGAGTGTCCAGTGTCTTTGACAATTTGGAGGTGATGCTTTTGAAAGCAGTTTGAGTTGAGTGGTAAGGTCAGAAGCCAGGCAGCAGTGAGTTTAGAAGTGAGGAAGTAAAGACTCCAAGTATTTATCATTACAAAATAGGTGTTATTTTCAAGACGCTTGGCTGAGAAGTAAAGGAGAGGTCAAGAGAGCCTTGCTCCTCGATAGGTGAGTTTTGATGTATTTATAGGCTGAGGGCAGTGAGCTACTGAAAGGCAAGAGAGTTAATTTATAGAAGAAAGGAAACTGTGCATGGAGCAAGGTCCCAAAGGGGAAGGGAGATAATGAATGAAAGCTGATATGAGGGTGGGGAGAAGAGTGTGTGTGTGTGTGTGTGTGTGTGTGGTGTGTGTGGTGTGTGTGTGTGTGTGACAGAGAATGGGCTGGTGGGAGGTGGTATCTTCTTCCCTGAGACTGAAGAAGAGGGAAGGGTGGTTACAGGTGTGATAGAGGTTGCTTGGTTGTTGATGCTGTTTTTCTTATGGAGGCAGGAGGTGAGGGAGGAAGCAGAAGAAGTTCATGCTGGTGGCCTCGGTTTTCATGATGAAATAGGCTAGGCCATGTGCTGACAGAGTGACTTAAGAAGAAGAGTGAAGGCTTGGTGTGAGCACCAGGCAGAATGGGAGAGGAGACGCCAGCCAAGGAAACGGTGATCTACTCTAGAGTTGGCCTGGTTAGAGGGGAGAGGAAAGACGGGAGGATCCTGCAGGCTGGGTGAAAATGGAGGGAGCAGGGAACTTGGTATTCTGTCTAATCCTAACAGTGGCAATGGTCTGCCTGCCTTCACTTTCCCAGTATCCAGCCTCTTTCCCATGCCGCATCCCCTGAGCCTGCACCAGAGCAATGCTGTTGCAGTGTAAGTCCATCACGTCCCTCCTCTGCTCAGTAGCCTGCTCCTATCTCATTCCACGTGAAAGCCAAAATCCTTTCAAATCCTGTCAGTTCTCTGTGTGATCTGGCCTCTGTGAACTCTGACTCCATCCTCTACTCAACTATATCAGCGTCCTCACCCTTTCTTAGGGTACTGCGCTCACGCCCACCTCAGGAGCTTGCACTGTGTTCCCTTGCCTGGAATTCTTCTCCACCAGATGACAAGATCCCTCACTCTCTTCCACCCTTAGCTCTTTTGCGCAGGTGTCTCCGTCCCCATGAGGCATCCCTGACCGCCTATCAAATCTTACCACTTCCTGCTCGCTCCCCTGACATTTCCTCTGCATTTCTCTGCCTTGTTTTCTACCCAGCACTTGATACTGACTTGAATACTGCATGTTTTACTTACCTTGTATATTTTCCGCCTGCCCCAGTAGAGTAGCGATTTAAATCTGTTCTGCTCATTTCTGTATCCCCCGTACCACAGCAGTGTCTGGTACTGAGTAAGAGCTCAATGAATATTGCTTGGACGAGTTCTGATTCAAGGCTGACCTCCTATACCCTGGCTAAAAATGCATGGTTCTCAAATTGTTTCATAGGCATTAGTTTTGTTTAATTAGAGCAGATTGCTTTTAAAAGTAGAGACCTGGTTTACGTGTCATGCCTGTTGATTAATACAATATAATGGCCCTCATCACTCAATTGCATCTGTCCTTTGTCCCATCCACCACTTTATACCTGATCACCTCATCCTGTTCCGACTACCATGTATCCCTTTTCACGCCCTCAACTCCCCCTGTTACCTCGTCTCAGGGAAACCCCATCACTCCTGTGGAAATTATTCTGCTGATTTAATCTTTGCTTTTTAATCAGATATAAGGAGGTGGTGGTAGAAGTGGAGAATGTATTCAGACCATCATACATCATTTTATGGAAGAAAAAGCCTGACACTTTCATTGGCAAATAAATCCTGGAGCTCTGAGTACTGGGAAGGACCTAAGAGGTCAGCTCATCCATCTTCACATCTCTGGGCAGCTCTGCACTGAAAATCCATCCCCTAAATGCAGCTGTCTAGTGGTTTCCCTCACTATTCTCTAAGGAAGCTACCTTCCTGACCTTCTTTGATAAGCCATTTTAGTATCTTAGTAGAAAGCATGAAATTGTTACTAAAGCACCTGCAGTGCAGTAGGGTTACGAAATTGGAGCACAAATGGAGTTAGGAGGCTGGACTCTGAGACCAGAACAACCTGGGTTTGAATTCTGAATTGAACACCAACTAACTGGGTGACCTTGTGCAAGTTAACCTCTTAAAAAAATGAAATAATAAAAAAGACAGTCCTGAAGATGTTATATGCACATATATACACATATATAATATATGTAAATGATAAATATATACTCAATAAATACAGACGTACAAATATATACTCGACAAATGTCTCTTCTCTTCTTCCTTTCTTCTATTCCTCCCCCTACCCCACTGACATGCATTTCATATTTAATAAGCTATCTAAGTCTATTATAGAATTTTCAAGTCTAAAAGATTCATTCAGCTTGATGATATCCCAGACTTTTACGAGGACTATTTCTAAATCATTCCTACTTGAAGAAAAATACAGTCAACTTAGAGGTTAGATCCACAGGCTATGAAGGTTGGATTTGAATCCCAGCTTCAAAATGTATCAGTTGTGTGAATGTGGGCACTTGTGCTCATGAAATCTTCATTTCCTCATCTGTAAAATGGTTGTAAGATATCTGCTTATCTGTGGGGTTCTTGCAATGATTCGGTGAGATTATGTATGGAGAGGATTTGGCATAGTGGCCTGGGACTTAGTGTGTGCTTAATATCTGATAATGATGATGATAATGCTAGCTAATATTTAATACGTATTGCCCATTTAGTATGTGTCAGGCATTAAGAAGTACCTTACAGTCAGTGATGGAGGAGGTTACTGCTTTCATTATCATTACTAATATCATGTTTTAAAGTCCCATGAAGGATGGTGGCAAGGAGTTCTTTCTTCTCAAAGGGTCTATTATTTTGTTGTTAAAGTCAATGAGATGAATCTGAGTCAGTGTGAGTGGTTGCTGTTAACTGCATTAAACAGAGGAGGTGAAGAGGGTCTCAGAGAGGAATGGATGGAAGGGGCTATCTGTAAGAGAAGCCCACCCACCAGCCCTGAGTATTCCTTACTGTATAAATGCTGGACACCACAGTTCTTTTTTGAGGGCAGAAACAGAGCAGGCTGCTCATCACCATGGCAGGAACGTTGCCTGGGACAGGGTAGGGGTGACAGGGAAAGGGCATAGAACTTTCGGGCAGTGTTGTTCAGTTTCTGTGGTTTGCGAGTGTACCCTTCTTCAGAGGTAGAGGTGGGAGGGAGAGAGGGTGTGCGATTGTAATCTGCAAAAAAAAGCCATTGCAGGTCAAACTGACCTAGCTAAATAACAAGCTTGATTTGAGCCAAACAATGAAGTTGACAGTGTTGTCAGTGCTCCAAAAACATCTTCATTTAGCCTGCAAACAATTTTTTAAATTGTCAGGAACTTACGATTATTGTTTTCAAAACCACTAAAGAAAATGAAGCAAGGGAAAATGTCAGAGACTACGGCTGTATAACAATTCATCATGAAAGAGAAAACCTGTTCTATGTTAAAGGTGCCCCTAGCTGCTGAGTGTCCAGATGATTCCTAACACAGAGGGATCTGAGGTGTAGCAGTCTTCTATACTGAAGGGTGGTGATGGGCATTTTAAAAAGAATTAGTGCAGTTCCAGTTACCAGTTTAGGCTACCAAATCTGAAATGTCCCTCCTAAACTGCTATGCTCTGTTGAAACTCCCAATTTGCTTTAATAACCTATCAATTTCTAAATTGTTAAACATGTAGGTAAGTGCTTTCTAAGAGCATTTTTGAATGGGTTCCTGAAATACTCGAGGGGGCAATAGGAGAAACAGGATCTCGTTTCTTAGGAAGTGCCACTCCCATTCCCCACCAGCTCTGGTAGCTCTGTTCCTCTAGTATTCCTTCAGCTCTCAGGCCTTTCCAACCTCCAACCCTCTCAGCCATAGTTTCCTCTCCAGGAAACAATGTCTCCCTCCTTCTTCCCTTGGTTTGTCAGCTTCTTATCCTCTAGGTTCTGGGTTCAAATCCCCCCTTAAGGGAGGCCTTTCCTGACCACACTATCTGCAGCCAGTTCCCTCATCACTCTTCTGGCTTGCAGTGTGCAGTTCGTTTCATGGCCCACATCAGTTTATGTAATTTGTTCATTTTCTTGTGAATAGGTTCTCCCTGCTTGACTCTAAGCCCCACGAGGGCAGATCTCAGGTCCGTCTCATCTCTCACAACAGTCCCAGCACCTAGCGCAGCGGCTGTCACCTAGTCCTAGTTGAAGCTTAATGAATATTGGTTAAATGAGAAGAGTGAAAGTTCACTATTTCCTTTTGATTCATGACACTCTTATGGAAAATACAAATGCCTAGAGCACTAGTCCTTTCTTCGCTGTGTTTAGATCTATCTACGAAGATTCATGCAACTGATTTAACTGAAGATGGGTGGCACCTGACCTCAGGTTATTCAAGACTAGGAATAAGATTGTCAAAATGTACTAACTCAAGTAAATACAGTTTGATTTAAGGCTCATCTCCATTTAGGTAGTTGGGAATGGGGTTCCTTTTGCCATTTAAAAGAGAAATGAAAATGCCTTTCACCTTGGGCTCTTAGTATCCATGAAGGCAATATCTTGTACAGCACAGGGCAAAAACCATCATGGTCTACTTCCTTATAAAACTGTTATAGGTAAAGATCAAATCTCAGACTCTCACTAACTGCTGGACTGAGAGCATTACATTAATACTTGGCATTACATTCTCATTTTACTAATGATGAAAACGAGGACCAAGTTTTCAGACTTAGCTAGTGGCAAGAGGCAAGATCCAAGGCCAGATCCATCCAATGCCAAAACTCACATGCTTAAATCTTATTACAATAAACAGTCCAATCGTGAGCAGCATGGTCTGAGGTTGCACTACACAGAGACAGGAATGGGCATCTAGCAAAGAAGTAGAGAGCACACAGGCAGTGATCTTTGCTTGGAATACAGCATCAAAACACATACAAAACATCCCTCACATGCACCAACAAGAACAAGCCTGACATTTCTGAGTAATTAAATACATGAAGGTCAAGAAGAATGAGGCTAGCCACACATGATGGCCTGCACCTGTGGTCCCAGTTACTCAGGAGGCTGAGGAGGGAGGATCACTTGAGCCCAGGTGGTCAAGGCTGCAATGAGCTGTGATTGCACCACTGCACTCCAGCCTGGGTGACAGAGCAAGATCCTATCTCAAAAAAAAAAAAAAAAAAAAAAAAAAAAAAAAAAAAAAAAAAAAAAAAAGGAGAATGAAGTAACAGGAGCAGGCAGGGATGATTTAAAAAAAAGTCTCTCAGAAAGAAGAATGTAGTTAGTGGGATTTTCACGAGATAATGAGGGAGGAAGAAAGTGTAAGAGTGTGGCTTCCTTGGTGGTCACTCCTGGCCCTTCCACCAATATCCAATATTGGCTGTATAGCCTTTGGGTCTTGGCCTAAAATAGAGTCAGGAAGGATGATGGGACTGGTCAAGATATCTCAGACCCCAGGATAGCCAATATTGGCCTATGAGATTCAAGGTCCCCACAGTTCCTGAGGAACCAGGGTGGTGATCTTCAGGAAAAGAGTAGATCTTTGTTTCCTCCCTGATGTTGTGAACAACTTACCCCATTAAGATGAAGGGACATGGGGCTGGTGTTGGTTTCTGACAGTCCTGGAACAGAACTCATGTGAGTATGGCTTCTGAGACTGCCGCACCAAATCTGAAGTTGCTGTAATTCATTTAGAATTGCACCAAAAGAAAAAACAAAACAGAAACACAAAGAAACTTTTGGAGGTGATGAATATGTCTATTACCTTGACGGTTGTGATGGTTTCATGGTGTATGCATTTGTCCGAACTCATCAAATAGTACATGTTCCATTTTTTGTAAATCAATTACACCTCAACAGGTCAGTTTAAAATAAACAAATATGGAAATAAACAAATATATGAATTTGAATACTATTTTAAAAAACAATGGAGCAGGGGAGCTTGTGGGCTCCTTACACACCTGTGGGTTTCAAGTTAACGCCTAACTTTGCTATAGAGGAAAATTAATAAGAAGGAAATGTTGCAGAGAAGATACGCAAGGAGCCCATATAGGAAGGAGTGTTGGAATGATTACTTGGGGGATTTTTCTGTAGAATGCTAGGCAGCACATTCCCATTTTTCTCTCTCTGCTGGAAAGAGAGAAAATTGCAGCTTGAGTTATAACAAAGAGAACATTGGTTCCTGCTGCTGAGGAGCCTTCCTAATGCTCTACGGGTCCTTTTCTAGAGGACAAGGGCTCCCTCCTGTCAAAAACACTACAAAAAAGATGGCTTCAGTGAGGAGGATTAACTCTTTGTAGTTCGAAACATTGGCTTCCGCATAATGACTTTGAGACAAGGAAATGACAAGCTTTCCTGTGCCCACCCCACCGCCAGGGTGGCATGAATATGAGTATGATTTATTTATTCTGTCTCATTTCTTCAAACATCATTGACTCTATTTGTGTCTATTTTTACTGGACCATGCTGTGATATTTAGTATGCACTTAAAGTGGACATCAAAGACAGCACTTGCTTATTGCCAGCATTTAATATGAGCATCTAATTAAATTCAGGTTATTGTGTTAATTATTGTTCAGATCCATAGAGTTTATTAAACTACCTGATTTTCATATAATTCTACTGCAATTAGTGGTTATGTATTCATTCAACTGCTCAGATGAAAAACATTAAATCTGGATATGGAAGGTGAATTGTTGTCATTCACCTAACCATTAGACTTGATCATAAATGTTTATTAGAGTAAGATACACAGTTTTTGTTTGAATTCATATCTTTAGTGCACCCACCATCGATTGCTGTAGGCAGAATTTGCACGGTGAGTGTCTACTTTCATAAGTGTCTTGGCCATCAATTACTTTTGCCTAAATTTGTTTTTTTGAAACACACTTCAGGAATTCTCTATCCTTCTCCCAATTTCATGAATACTTTTTAAAAACTTTCTCTTTGGGCCGGGTGCGGTGGCTCATGCCTGTAATCCCAGCACTTTGGGAGGCCGAGGTGGGTGGATCATCTGAGGTCAGAAGTTTGAGACCAGTCTGGCCAATATGGCGAAACCCCATCTCTACTAAAAATACAAAATATTAGCCAGGCATGGTGGCGGGCACCTATAATCCCAGCTACTCGGGAGACTGAGGCAGGAGAATCACTTGAACCTGGGACGCAAAGGTTGCAGTGAGCCAAGATCTTGCCACTGCACTCCAGCCTGGGCAACAAGAGCGAAACTCCACCTCAAAAAAACACAAACAACAATAACAACAACAAAAAACAAAAACAAAAAAAAAACAACCTTCCTCTTTGAGAAGGATTTTAAACTTTTGCAATGGGTATGTAGAAAAATGTAGTCCGTAGTACCTTTTATCCTCACAGAGAGAATGAGAGTTGCCAGACAGGAACACTCTCAAACCATTGCCACTGAACCCAGAAATGCACAGAAATGCAGAAGCCCATCCCTCTTCCCAGCCAAAGCCACTGCTCTGTGTGCTCTGAATCACAGCCTCTCCAGCCTTCTTGATAACCTTCATCTGAGACTTCTTCCATTCTCCCACTCAACTTGCCACTTCCCTCAGTACTTAAATATCCCCCAAATTTCTCGTATTTATATAACACCTCCCACCTTCACCCAATCCCCTTTTATCGACTATTGGCTCTATCTGTCCCCACATTTGGAACTGTACTTCCAGAAGAGCCATCTCCATCCCTCCCCAACCAGTCATCGTATTTCTTCACTGTAGTCTGGCCTCTGCTGCCACCACTCTACCGAAGCTGGTTTTATCAAGCTTACCCATCGCCTCCCTGTGTTAAATGCATGAGATGCTCCTCAGTCCTTAGTTTCCTTGACTTCTCGGTGACATTTGTCACCACTGACAGTTTCCTTCTTCTGGAAACAGTCTCCCCCTTGGTTCCTGCAAAGCAACCTTCTCCTGGTTAGTCTCATTTCTCTGGCTCCTTCTCAGTTTATTACTTGCTCTTCTTCTCCTTGACTTTTCCATATTCCTTAGGATTCCATCTTTGTCCCTTTTCTCACTCGGCACACACTCTCTGGGCCATGTCTTCTGGCTTTTATTCACATCTATACCGGCTAATTCCCAAATCTGTATCCCCCTGGCACCCATCCATTCACACGGCAGTCAGTGTGATACTTCTCATGTACAAACCTGATTCCATCACCTCACAGAATATCCTTTTCAGTGTCTTCCCATTGCGTTTATGATAAAACCAACTCTCTTTGCAGGAACAACAAAGCCTTCCAGGATCTGGCTCACCTTGCTGTCCAGCCTCTATCTCTTTCCAGTCTTCTAGAATTCTACATTCCAGTCATGCTGGACCTCCTTCAGTGTCTTGAATGGTCCATGCTCTTCCCACTCTTAACCTTCCTTCAACCAATTATTTCTACCCAGAACCCTCTTCTACTGGCCTTCCTGCCTGTCACCTTCAGACCTCTGGTTAAGCGTTGCATCCTTTTGGGAGAATTTTCCCTAGGGTATGTTACCTCCTGCTAACTTACTATCTCGTAGCACGTCCATAGATTTCCTATCCAAATTTCCACTATACTTTATTGATATTCCTTCTTAACTATTTACTGCTTTATCCTACCTTCTAGCACAACACCTGATACACACCAGGTAATCAAAATTATTTGTTGAAAGAATGTACCTAAATGATAATAACATTATCTGAGGATTCATGTTTTGAGAATTTTCACATCCCTTCAGGAGGGTCGCCCTTGGGTAGTCTCCCATTTGCTTATCAACTGCTGCTTCCAAACCAGCCTGCTCATTCATAGCAACTGGGTTCTTCCATAAAGTTGTGGAGGAAAAGGCTGCAACATCCAGGCAGCTGTGTTGATCTCCAGGTGTAGGATGCAGTGTGAGTTTCATTGAAAAGGTGTCTAACATCCGATTCAAACAACTCCTGGCTGTTTTGTCTTCAGACCGGCTGAGTAGTTTGTACATATACTCTGAAACCTGCTTTGAATATTATGATTAATAGATGATCACAAACGTTGTCCTTTTTTTTCTTTTTTCTTTTTCTTTTTTTTTTTTTTTTTTTTTGAGATGGAGTTTCACTCTGTCCTCCAGGCTGGAGTGCAATGGCATGATCTCGACTCACTACAACCTCCACCTCCCAAGTAGCTGGGATTACAGGCATGCGCCACCACACCCAGCTAATTTTTGTATTTTTAGTAGGGAGACGGGGTTTCACCATGTTGGCCAGGCTGGTCTCAAACTCCTGACCTCAAGTGATCCACCCACCTGGGCCTCCCAAAGTGCTGGGATTATAGGCGTGAGCCACCATGCCTGGCCAACATTGTCCTTTAAACCTCTAAAAAATATTTATTAAACCCTAAACGTGGGCTCATTAGCTCCTATATCTAGGTTTTTCCCAAAGGAAAACAAACAAACTGTGATTTTGAATGGGAAAAAAAGGATTAGATATCAGACAACACCTTCATAGGAAAACTTCCAGGGCAACCAGCTTCACATACTTGAGAAAAATCTTTCCATAAACATCCTTCTGGGTGAGACATAAGTCATGGGGCATGGGTCTTCCTGGGGCCTATGGAGGTGTTGTATCTAAATCTTGCCCTACTGACTTTCAATCCTGCCTTTTTGTAAAGATATTTACCTGGTGTTTTTCCCCCTCTGTATCAGGGCCTAAAACACAAGGAAATCTTAACCTAAGATAAACAAAATGTTTGACGAGAATCCATAGATAACATTTACTAAAGCATCAGAATGTAAAGAACTATCCAGACCCTGCAGTACCCAGGGTGATATTTTGTCCCACGGGGAAGGCATGTGTGTACACACACATACTTGATTATATTTGAAGTCTGTTATTTTGTGTTTTGTTGTTGTGTTGAGCCTAAAATAAATGGCCAGGAATGGGATGGTGGAGCTTTAAATGCAGTTGAAAGGAACATGGCAGGGAGGATGCATCACCACCAGGCTGGTTTAGGAGCACAATTTTCTAAAGACAAGGGAGGGAGTAGATGACCTTTCTGGATCCCTCCAGTCTGAAGATTTTATGATTCCATGCACGTCCTCTGTCTAGACATGAAATGTGGATGCTTCTGCTTTTATTGCTACAGCACGGGTGAAAAGCATAACTGCTCCACCTACAGTCTGATCCTAGAAACTGCTCAGCCTCAGCCAGGAAAAACAACAAAACAAAACAAACAGAACAGGGGAGGAAAAAGCCCACCGGAAAGATGCAATTTCAGAGTCCATAACAGTGAATATTCCCCAAGAATCTAGACTTACTTTTCATCTAGCCTTTCAAAGTGACTATAATTTTAATAACAGTGTCTTATAGAGTTATCAATAATTATTCATTCAAATATTTAATGTCTAATAGGAAATGCCACTCCATGAGAAAAGGAGGAGACAGAAAATTTGGCCTTTCCTTTGTCACGTGGGGAACAAAGACTGGAAGAGGATGTTAGCTGTGCAGTTAACATAGTGACCACCAAGATCAGGCGCTCTGACTACCATAAGATATAGATCAGAAGATTTCTCTACTTCCAGGAATTACCCAACCTTGCAGTGCTGTGCTGTCTTCAACTTTTACACCTCACATTCTTTCTCCGTCACTCACAGCCCCTCTGCTCACTCTTCTGTGTCCCAAGACACCTGAACACACCTTGTCTCTTCTGGCCTCCTGACATTTCTCACCTTTGTCCTCATTATCATCTTCCTCCCATTTCTATAACCTTCCAAGTTTCTATGAGGTAGCCCCTTTGTTCCTTCTCAGACATACCAAAAATCTGCCCTGAATGCTCTTCTCTCAGATGCCATGTGGCCTGTTCCTCCTCTTCATTCAAGTCTCTGCTCAGATGTTAGCTTCTGAGAGGGCTTCCTAGACCACCTTATCTGAAACGGCACCCCATGAGTTCTTCCTTCATTATTTCTAAAGATCAGTTAGATCTGTATTTTAGACCTGTACTTATCTTGAAATGTAATATGTATATACTAAACAGTGTGCAAAGCACAAAAGTCCTCCTCAACCTGCTGGGTCTCCTCCACTTGGCCATCAACAATGTGGACGTCTTACTTGCCTGACCCAACCTGATGGCTTTAGGACTGAATGACTGAGAAAGGAAAACAGGAAGATGAAGAGAGAAAACACTTCCATGCTGCTTTAAGTCCCCATTCTTAGTCCTAAGTTCTAAGGCTGGGCCCTTACAGAGGCCTTTCCGTATCTAAAAACACCCAATTTCTTTTTTCTTTCTTTTTTGTTTTGTTTTGAGACGGAGTTTTGCTCTTGTTGCCAAGGCTGGAGTGCAATGATGTGATCTCAGCTCACTGCAACCTCTGCCTCCCGGGTTCAAGCGATTCTTCTGCCTCAGCCTCCCGAGTAGCTGGGATTACAGGCATGTGCCATCAAGCCCAGCTAATTTTGTATTTTTAGTAGAGATGGGTTTCTCCATGTTGGTCAGGCTAGTCTTGAACTCCTGACCTCAGGTTATCCACTCGCCTCGGCCTCCCAAAGTGCTGGGATTATAGGCATGAGCCACTGCGTCTGGCCCCAATTTCTAATTGCTACTCAAGTAGCTGGAAGCCTGGCACCCCTAAGGGAATGGGAACTTCCCATGCTAGCTCCTCACTCAGAAGTCTGATAAACAGATTCCTTAATTTCCTGTAGGATGGGACTTAGAACAATGGAATTTTGTAAGGATTATCCATAACTATCCAGTGAAATCCTTGATGATTTCACACTCATCAAGGGGTTACTTTTTACAACTCCAGCACTGCAACAGAGTTTACAATTGAAGTTGCCCTGGATGATATCATTAGCACAGTTCCTTTAGGGGGAATGGGAACACCTGCTTTAGTGTTTTGTCCTTCTCTTAACCTTCTCAACAGAGTTATTATTCCAGCCTATTCATAGGAGTAATTCAACTTCTCTCTTTGAACTTGTTTCTTCCTCTGCAAGTAAAAGGTCAAACTCATGATCCTTGATATCCTAGATAGGTCTAACCTTTTGTGATTCCATAAAATGTTCTTGAAGAGTTAATATGTTAGTTCTTCACCCCTACCTATAAATGAATTATACAGGCTTCAACCTAGGGAAAGAGGTTTAGAGTACTGAGAGTTGAACAGATTTTGAAGATCCTCATCACCTGAGGGAAGTAAAATATGAAATAGGGCTTTAGTTACCAGGGTTAGAATGAATAAAAACAGTGGCAACCACAGCTTTGCAAATATTATTTCAGTTCATCTTTACATTATAGGAGTGTACCCCAGTGCATAATCACAGGCTGTGAAATGAAACAGACCTGAGTTTGAGACCCGAGTTCAAATTCTGATTTTGCCAAATTCTAATTTGCTCTGTAATTTGGGGCAAATTACCTTAACCTTTCCAGTCTCAGGTGTATTCATCTGTAATGTAAAGAATTTGCCCATGTTTTTTGGGGGAAGATTAAATGAAACAATGCATGTAAACGTCTCTGCAAAATACATTACATGAAACAGGTATTCAATAATGGCAGCTATTTACAATATTGGAAATGCTTAATCCCTAAACATAAGAACAAGTATCTGAACCCATGTTAATTTTATGCCATATTTCTTTCTGCTAAACAGTGCTCCCCCAATACACCTTGCCTACTACGTAATTTTCTCTTGACAAGGAAGGCTCAACAGAATTTATAGGTTCAAGCTCCCCAGTTTCATAGAAATTTACCTTCATATCCCTAGCTCATTTTCAGAGTCTCACTCCTTCCCAATCATTGACATAACTTTAACATGCAAAACTCAGTAAATTTGGGAGGCTCAATTTTCTGCCGGCAGAATTAAACTTTGAGGTGGCTTTCAGAAATCTCGGCATTACAACTATAGGAGTTCAGGGTTTATTATAGGGCAGTAATAGAAGCTTTGGAGTTCCTTAATGGGACCCTAATCTGAGAATTTAGTCATAAGCTCATCATTTTCTTTGTCCAAGTTCCTCAGGACACTTAGAAGCAATCAACGAAACTTACCATACACCTTATTTCCACTAAAACAGTCTATGCAGCAAACACCTGTTCTTCTCAAGCCTTGCCTTCTATTGGCACATGATTACAAGTATCTATAGGTGATAGTTTAAGTAACTGTTTTGCTGTTTTTGTGCACATGGTGGACTTCCAATACCCCCTTTACCATTGCAAACAAGATCATTGACTTAAAATGTAATCATATAAGAAAACCAATTGCAGATAACACAGGACCAACAGAGAACACATTTGTAAGTTTCTAATCGCTGGAACCACTTTCAGTGCCAAATTCTTTATCGGTGTTCCATCAGTGAAAGAGATCTGACCACAGGCAACTGTGGAGGCTACTTACATGGTCTACGTGAGATGACTTTTCCTCTGTCTGGTGTTGGAATCAGGAGTCTGAAGAGCAGGATGTCAGGAAGGAAAGATAATGATTGTGAGGTGGGGGAGGCAAGAACAAACCAGAACTTGGAAGGTTGAGCAGGACAACTCAGGATGGTAGACTGGCCCGCTGGTCATTCTTTCACCATCTCCAAGCCTCAACTTTGAGGTGGCGTTGTCCTGCATCAGAGGTTGCAGCCCTTCATCATGAAGTTAAACACATATCAGGCCTGGAATTTGGAGAAGCTGAAGGAGGATCAGAAAGGAGCTGCAGCTGCTGCCTCAGGCCAATGAAGTGACAACACTTGGGTGGATTGCAAGTGTTTTTGTGGACCGCTCCGTCTTCCCAAGCATAGAAAGATGGCTACTGCTCCACTTCCACCTTCTAAATCTTAGTCTCGTGTAGCCTGTATACCCCCATCCCATTGTAGCCATGCTAACCTGTAACTATGCATAAAAGTAATTCTGGGAAACAGAGCTCTGGCTCAGGTAAGGTAACACAATACAAGCCCACCATACCACTAGTCAAAGAAGAAATCCCATCAGAAATAAAAAATGCTTTGAACTAATAATGAAAACATAACAAAATTTGTGGGATACAGCTGCAGCAGTCCTTATAGGAAATGCTGTGGCTTTAAATGTTTACATTTATAAAGAAAAAAATAAATGATCTGAGCTTCCATCTTAAGAAGCTAGGGGAAAAAAGGGCAACTTAAATACACAATAAGTAGAAAGAAAGATACAGGAGCAGAAATTAGTGAAATTGAGGCTGGGCGCAGTGGCTCACGCCTGTAATCCCAGCACTTTCAAGGCCGAGGCAAACAGATCGCCTGAAGTCAGGAGTTCGAGACCCACCTGGCCAATAAATATGGTGAAACCCCGTCTCTACTAAAAATACAAAAATTAGGTGGGCATGGTGGTGCGTGCCTGTAATCCCAGCTATTCAGGAAGCTGAAGTGGGAGAAATCACTTGAACCTGGGAGGCGGAGGTTTCAGTGAGCCAAGATAGCGCCCCTGCACTCCAGCCTGGGCGACAGAGTGAGACTCCATCTCAAAAAAAAAAAAATGAAGAAAATATGAAATTGAAGACAAGCAATAGAGAAAAATCAACAGAGCCACAAGTTGGTGTCTTAGTCTGCTTGTACTGCTAAAACAAAACAGCTGAGACTGGGTTATTTATAAACAACAGAAATTTATTCCTCACAGTTCTGAAGGCTGGGTAGTCCAAGATCAAGGCACCAGCTGGTTGGGTGTCTAGCAAGGGCCCAGTACCTACTTCCAAGATGGCACCTTGAATGCTGTATCCCCTGGGGATGGGGTTGAGGGATGAACACTGTGCCTTCATGTGGCAGAAGGAACAGGAAAACTGGAGTGTCAGCTCTCTATAGCTTCTTTTATAAGGACATTAATCTCATTTACAAGGGCGGAGCTCTCATGATCTAATCACTTCCTAAATGTCACATCTCTTAATACTATCACATTGGCAATTAAGTTTTAACATACTAATTTTGTGGGACACATTCAGCCCATAGCAATTGGTTCTTTAAAAGATTAATATTGGGCTGGGCGCAGTGGCTCACGCCTGTAATCCCAGCACTTTGGGAGGCTGAGGTGGGAGAATTGCTTGAGTCCTGGAGTTCAAGACCAACCCTGGCAACATAGTGAGAACTCATCTCTACAAAACAAACAAACAAACAAAAATAGCTGGGTGTGCTGGCACGTGCCTGTAGTCCCAGCTATTTGGGAGGCTGAGGAGGGAGGATTGTTTGAGCCCGGGAGGTTGAGGCTGTAATGAGCTGTGGTCAAACCACTGTACTCCAGCCTGGATGACAGAGTGAGACCCTGTCTCAAAAAAAAAAAAAAAAAAAAAAAAAAAAAAAAAAATCAATAAAATTAATTTCATCTCAGACTAATCAAGAAAAAGAGCAAACACAAATCATCAATATCAGGAATTAGATAGGAAATATAACTACTGATCCTATAGGCATTAAAAGGGAAATAGGGAATGTTACAACTTTATGGCAAAAAAATTTTATTACTTAAATGTAGTAAACAATTTCTTGAAAAATAATGTATCAGAATTGAGAAAGGAAGAGAGGAAAACATGAAGTCTTTATCTTCTAAGAAATGAACTCATTATCAAAAACCTTGTCACAAAGGAAATTCCAGGCTTGCTTTGGGATTGGCAAAGATTTCTTAGGTTGGACAGAAAATGCAATAGTTATGAAAGATAAAAATTGATAAAGTGGTCTGAATAAAAATTAAACATTTTTTCCTTATCAAAAGATAGTAAGGAAATGAAAAGACAAGCTAAATTGGAGTAAATATTGGTAATACATACATCTAACAAAGAATTTTTGTCAATATATACAAAATCTTATAAGTCAATAACACCAAAACAACCTAATTTTTAAAATGGCCAAAGATTTAAACAGATACTTTACAAAAGATATAAAAAGTTTGAAAAAGAAAAAAAAAAAAAGCAGGAGAAAAGGTGCTTAACATCATTAGTCACAGGAAAATGCAAATTAAGCCACAGTGGGACACTACCTCACACCCACTAGAATGGTTACAAATAAGGACTGACGATACTAAGTGTTAGTGAACATGCGGGAAAAATGGAATTCTCATCATTGGGAGCAGGAGGGTAAAATGGTACAACCCTTTGGAAAATAGTTTCACAGTGTTTTATAAAATTAAACGTATACATATATATCTCTTCCCTATGACCCAGCAAATCTAATAGATATTTACCAACGAGAAATAACAACATATAGCCACACAAAGACTTGTATACAAATGTTTGTAGCAACTTTATTCATAATAATCCCACGCTGGAAATAACACAAATATTCATCAGCAAATACATAAACCAACTGTGGTATATTACAATGAAATACTATTCAGCAATGAAAACAAAAAGCTACAGACACAGGCAACAGCAAATATCTCTAAACATGTTAAGCTAAAGAAACTAAACACAAGAGTATATACTATCTGATTTAATTTATATGAAATTCTAAATCAGGGAAGAAAACTAACCTTCCAGTAACAGAAGGTGGATCAGTGGTGACCTAGGGCTGGGGAGAATGACTGCAAACGGAGAGGAAATTTATTCTGGTAAGAAAATGTTCTTTACTTTGATTGGGGGTGGTGGTTACATGGGTGTACACGTTCATCAAAGATCATTGAACTCTACAGTAAAAATGGCTACACTTAATTATAGTAAATTATAATTTCATTAAGTTGATCAGAAAGAAAAAACGTCCCAATGAAGCGACAGACAAAAGTCACCACACCAGTGTCTGTCTTAATATTTGAATATGCACTAAATTTCTAGGTTTCTATTTGTTTCATACCACATGTCAGGGGGGCAAGTTTACATCTAAATAAATGGCTTAATGAGTTAAATTATAATAGAGGAAGATATTTTTATATATATATACTTTTTTATTTTTAGAGATAGGGTCTTGCTCTGTCACCCAGCGTGGAGTGCAGTAGTGCAATTATAGCTCATTGCAGCCTAAAAGAGGAAGATATAACAAAATTATTCAAGAAATGAATAAAAGCCTATGGTATGAGTGCTTTCCAACTGAGTGATTAACTTTTGATATGCTATTTTGTCTTTGTTTGAATCGTGAGTTGTGAAGTGTTTAGAAAAATCTGTCAAGTACACAAGTCTGCTTTTTTGGTAGTTGGATCAAAATATTAAATCTCTTATCAAATGTTTAAGAAAATGTGATTAATAAAATATGTAAATGGTATTAAATGTTCAGGATAATTGGAATTTACAAATTGTTAAAGAAATGGGAATGTAATTTCTCATTTTTATCAAATTTACTGTTCTTATATCTTCAAGTTGAGCTTAGAGATTTAAAAATGCTGTATTTTAAATGTATTTTAATAAAGCAAATATTAAAACAAGTATTTATAAGTATTTTTCTTCCCATACCAAAAGCCTGCTTTGACAGTAAAGCTTGTTGACACATGGTTCAAACACTTCCTTCCTGCCTTTAAAAAATTTATTCTGCTTTTCAAGGAAGGTATGTTTCTATTTTATCTACAAACCTTGTAGACTGGCCTTATGGTTTTAGCAATATAAAAACACACAAAGTGATGCATTTTTTAAATGAAATTATTTAACAACACAATGTATTTTACCACTCTTACAAAGATAACTTACAGTAAATAATGTTAACGATGTTAGTTTTACTTATACGATTTTTCTGTGTACCCTCTATCTCTACTTCACCTCAATGTCTTTCACCCTCCAATTTTAAGGTGAAAATATCTAGGCTTCTGCCCTCTGCAACTGATTTCTATTGAGGGCCTATGGAGGTAAAATGACAATAATCATTGAATCTAGAAAGAAAAAGCATCAAGCACAATTTACATGAACAATAGTTTCAGTTGACATTTAACTGAATGCTTCTAACTTATTTAATCTTATTAGATAGGCAGTGTTTTAATCAATTTACAGATGGAGAAACCAGGGATGGTGCAACTTGCAAGTGGCAGAGCCCTGTTTATCTCCAAAGTTCCTGTTCCTCTGAGATGAAGTTATAGATTAACCTAAGTTTGTCCTTTCTTGATGTAACCAACTAATATCTTTGAGGATCTTTTTTCTTTTACCCAGAGTGCTGTGTTAAGTGCTGAGTATACAGATTCATTCAACCCTCTAACCAGTCCTTGTAGTACTGATTCATCTGTGGTCAAAATCTGGGGTACTGGTGGGTTTTGTTTCCAAAGGGTTATGACTTTGAGTGACTAAAAAAAGATAGTTTATCCTTGATGTAGGGACCATCTTTGATTTCTCATTACTTCCCCTTTTGACCCCTCCAAAGCACTTAGCAAATGTCAGCTAATGAATAAATGATAAAAAAATGGTTGGCCAAAAAGACAGCATCAGAAGAGAATTTTTACCTAGTGCAGTGCTTAGCACCTATCAGGGATTTATTAAACATATATGGAAGAGAATGACATTTCTGCCATTTTATTAATAAATTCAACAAAGTATTTATTGAACTTTAACCATGGCTTGGGCATTTGTTAAGGATGAGTGGTTTAATACAATGATGATTCAGACACGGTCTCTACTTCCAAGGAATCTGGCATCTCAAATAGGTAAGACACACATAAAAGTAATAGGTGATAGCAGTAAGTGCTGAAATAAGACTGTCATTCAAGTGTTGTGAATTTGAAGAAGTTGGGAAGATCAGGAATGCAAATTTCTTCCCCCTTGTCTTAGTCCATTTGTACTGCCTTAACAAAGTATCTTCAACTGGGTAATCTATAAATAATAGAAATTTATTTTCTTACAGCTCTGGAGGCTGGGAAGTCACGGTTAAGCACCAGTTGGTTTGGTGTCTGCTGAGTCCCCAGTTGCTGCTTTCAAGATGGTACCTTGTTGCTGGGTCCTCACGTTAGAAGGGACAGAAGGGGCTGGGCATGGTGGCTCACACCTATAATCCCAGCACTTTGGGAGGCCGAGGCAGGCAGATCATGAGGTCAGGAGATCAAGACCATCCTGGCTAACACGGTGAAACCCCATCTCTACTAAAAATATAAAAAATTAGCCGGGCGTGGTGGTGGCGGGCACCTGTAGTCCCAGCTACTCGGGAGGCTGAGGCAGGAGAATGGCGTGAACCCGGGAGGTGGAGCTTGCAGTGAACCAAGATCACGCCACTGCACTCCAGCCTGGGGCAACAGAGCAAGACTCCATCTCAAAAAAAAAAAAAAAAAAAGGGACAGGAGACAGAAGGGCTGAACAGCTGCCTCACACCTCTTTTTAAGTCATTAATCCCAGAGCCCTCATGACTTAATCACTTCCTCAAGGCCCCACCTCTACATACTATCTCACTGGCAAATACATTTCCACATTTGAATTTTGGAGGACACATTCAGACCACTGCACCCCTCAAGTTGGTTAGTGTCTTTGAATATCTTTTTTCATGCTGTGACAATCTCATGGTTTCAAACTTTTCTTCTATCTGTGTTAATCCCAAATATCTTTGTTCTCAGTCATCTCCCTAGTTTCCATCTTTCTCCCAGACCTCCTCTCTACATAAATAACCTGCATGCACTGTAAAATCCATGTATCAAAAAACTGAACTTGTGTAATTCTCTTCCAAATCTGTCCCCAGCTTCTAGAAGATGGGAGGAAAACATGATACAAGGGTATAAGGAAATTCACTCAGTACTGCAGAGACAGCATGGAAGACAAAGACTCAGTCTCTGTGTTTCTGAAAGGTCTTCTCGAACCATATCCACCCACTTCTCAATTTCTACCACAAAAGTAGAAAACGTAACCTTGATTTTCACTTTCTGTCCTGTAACTATAAAAGTCATCTGTAGAAGGTAATTTGGGTCCTCACTTCCATAAATATTCTCTGACTTCCTCTAATAGAAAGTAGGAGAATGTGGCAGTACTGTATATTACAATGTTAGGACTACTTAACATAACGCTGCTTTAAAAGACCAGAATTTGAGACGGGTGAAAGGGCAGGGGCAAGTTTGATTATTCCTAACATCTATGAGGAAGCCTCTGTCTTCCCCATAGGAAGCTGTCCTTTCTTCTCTATTAGTTATATAGGAATAAGAATCTAGAGGAAGCTTTAAACATTCATATTGGAGTTAAGAATTAAAGACACTGAGATGATTAGTGTGTGGATAACCTGAAATACTTTATGGCTCATTCACCATTTCAACATCAACAAGAGGAGAACACCACAAATACGGCAAACTGTCTAGCTGCTCAAGAAAATGGTGCCCCCTTCCTCCCAGGCACACAGCTGGACACATTTCCCAAAATCTCTCTAGGTGGGCCATGTGACGGAGTTCTGTCCAAAGGAACATGGGCGGAAGAGATATGCACCACTTCCAGGCCTGACCCAGAAACATTTTCCACACAGACTTTTCCTTCTTTTCCTATGTGCTCTTTCAACAAAGAGGGCTCTATGGACTGAGAGAAAGGCAGAGCCCCAAGAGGAAGGAGCCTGGGTCGCAGAAAGACTAGGTGGAAAGCTGTCCACTGACCACAAACATCCACATGGGACATCATATGAGAGAGAAATAAACCTGGGAATAGTTACTTAACTTCTTTGGGTCCTAGTCTCTGGGCAAAGAGGAAAAGCTCAATAAATATCAGCTGACATTATATTAGGAAATAAAGTTTACTTCTCCTTAATTTCTTTTTCTTAGGCAAGGCGGAGCACCGGGGGTGAGTGGGATTGGTGAAAAGCACTAAATGACATTTGCCTATTACAAAATGCTAATTGGTACATTTAAATAAGATGACATTGTGACAATAACTCACAGATTAAAGACATTTTCTTCTGGATCCCAGACATTAGATTTTAAGACTGATTTCTTGCTAAAAACACTCAAATCTAGTTAAAATGTGAAATATAAACAGAATGTGGTACCCACTTCTTTCCCCCTGTGACACTGAGTGTCCGGGGATGTTCTAAAACACAATTAACAATCCACATCATTTCTGTGGCTTCAAATTGGCACAAAATCTGTACAAAGAATACTTTGTGCTGCTATAATACTCAACTGATACAGTTTAATTATGATCAACTTTTATTGATTTTACATAAATAGCTTATAGAATGCCTTTACAAACTATGTTTTTGCAATATATTTGTTACAACACACATTTCCTTATGAATGTATTTGTTAAATCTTTTTGCAGAGGAAGTAGGGAAAAGTGAGGGGAGAAGAGGAGGAATAAGATTTTAGAACTAATCGTCAGCAATGGGCCTAGGTATTTGGCAATTATTTCCTTTACAAAAAAATTACAGGTTTGTAACTTCAAACATCAAAAGTGTAGTGCATCAATTTAACTAAAAAATCAGTAGTGCCTAATATATTATCTGGGCATCAAATTTCTTTTTTTAAATATATCCAGATTCACATATTTTTACTCTTATTAAATAATGGTTTTAAATAATAATCATCACAATGTTTAGCTACATAATCCCAGATCTGGATTAAATCATGGTGATATCGATATTTTTAAATTCCAATTTATTTGTTAATCAGTAAAATGTAATAGGTGATAGTGTGTCCAGAGAATGAGCCTCCTATGTGTAGGAAGACGATAGTCTTATTACACCTGCTATCAATTAGGTCATTTACATAGCTGCTAATGTATCAGAATTTTTTTCCACACTGATGTAGTACTTTATTCAAGTCAAAACAAGTTATCATTATCATACCAACGTTGAAGAATTAACCATTCCTGAAACAAGAAACAATCTTTACATTAGTATTTCTTGGTTATGGTGCTTAGTCTTGGTATTATTAAGCACAATGATTCTTAATAAACATGGGTGGATGAAGGCAAATGCATATAGCCTAGTCCCCTCAATAATTTATTCTCCATCTTATTTAAAATTGTTGTTGAGGCTATACAAACTACAGATCTGCTGCTAGAAAGATACAAGTTGTCCCCCGAACAACATCTGGCATTTTAAGCATAAGATTAAAGTCCTGGTGTTCACAGCATCTTCTTCTGACCTACCACTAGGATCATTCCTCAGCAGTGCCCACGATGCTGATTTCCAAATGATACCATTTACTATGTATCTTGACTGTATGGATATTATTTTTTCCTTATTAAAAAAAAGAAATACGATGATATTTCCTTCTTTGTCCTTACTTAAGAATAACTGGGCAATAATCTATTCAGTCTTTGTAAACTCTCCATTGAATAATTTTTCATTCTTACAGCCATTTCCTGAATGGCTGCTGCGCTTTCCCTCTGTCATCTCCTTCACATAACTGAGCGGTCCCTTCCCCTCAAAGGATGAAGGATTTTTGAATGAGCCGCCAATCCTATCCCACAAAGTGAAATATTGTCCATAATTATAGTCAAAGAACATATGGTGGTCTGTATGATGAGCTGAGCCATTAATAAATGGCTGTAAGATTTGGGGGACACGAAAATCACCGTCATGAATGGAAATTGTCCAGATATTAACCAAGATGTACAGACTTAAATAAACCACCTTGTGTAATGGAAAGATAAAAGGGTATATATGGTAAGGTAGACTCTGAAGAAAGCCATCAATAGGGTGAAAAGCATGACTTGCAAATGGAGTAGGAATCTTCCAAATATGGTGAGGTTTATGTAGGCGCTGCAGGAGAAAAGGACACAATTAGCACTGCAAACTTTACCCCGTGCAACATTCAACTTAGCTTCTCACACTCATGTTGGAAACAACCTAACAAATCCTGTAGAGATCAGCAAAATTATTTATTCTATAAAATGTCCTTCTTCGCCCTAAAACAGTATAATTTTATATGGATTTATGAGTACAAGTGCAGTGGTGTTCCATGGATATACTGCACAGTGGTGAAGTCTGGCTTTTAGTGTACCTAGCACCTGAAGAGTGCACATTGTACCCAATAGGGAGCGTCTCATCCCTCACTCCTCTCCCATCCTCCCACCTTCTGGAGTCTCTAATGTCTATTGTTCCCTCTGTAAGTCCATGTGTACCTGTTACCGGAACAGACGAATTTTAAGACAGCCCCTTAGACCCATAAAGAAGAATATGAACAAAATGCACCCTGTACCTGTTATGATTATGGCTACTTAGACATTTAATATGGGTAGAGGAAATTCTTGGAAATAGAGAACAGAATTTATAATCATACATTGCTGAAATGTGTAACCTTTTTTCTCTTTTCACCACAAATGACTTTACCTTATATACCAGTCTATGATGAAGGCCTCTGTGAATCCAGTAGATGAACATGTCAGTGAAAAAGAGGAAAGATATTATACTAACGACAAGTTCAAACAATCCTAGAAAAGAAAACGGGAAACAGAAGAATCAAAACTCAGCTCCTGGGATTAGAGTTCACTTTTCACATGTCCATCTGAGTGCAAAATGGGATCCTAGACTCAAACATTATAAATGATCTGTTCTGGCTAATTCAGTATATTATAAACTAATCTCTCTTGGCTTCTTGGAATCTGGTCATTTCCTCATTTCCCTCGCATAAGTACTTGAAATGTTCTACCTAAAGTACTTCTTAATTAAACTATAAAGATATTTGTGAGACAGGATACTCCTAAGACATCTTTATTATTTAAATCTCTGGGAATCATCACTTCCTTCATATTAATCTTCCTAAAACCCATCTTTACACATTATCTCCCTGCTTAAAATATACTTTCCACTAAATACTTTAAATTTAGCATTTATTCCATACTCCACCCCTTTCGGATCTTTCCAACCTCATCACTCCTGTATTTCTACTCTAACCAGGCAGGTTTACTCAATGTCCTCCCACTGTCTTGGAAGTTTTACCTCTGTATCTTTCATCATAGGGGTTCAAGAACCTAAAATGTCCTCTCTCCCTTTATTTTAACTCATAATCATATCCATTTTTCAAAGCCCAGCCAATTCATTACTCTAGTATATAATTTTTTGTTCCTTCTTCTGAATAACTGACTTTTTTTTTCTTTTTTTTTTTTGAGACGGAGTCTCGCTCTGTCGCCCAGGCTGGAGTGCAGTGGCGCAATCTCTGCCTCCCAGGTTCAAGGGATTCTCCTGCCTCACCCTCCTGAGTAGCTGGGACTACAGGTGTGCACCACCACACCCCGCTAATTTTTTGTATTTTAGTAGAGATGGGGTTTCACCATGTTGGCCAGGATGGTCTCATACTCCTGACCTCGTGATCCTCCTACCTCGGTCTCCCAAAGTGCTGGGATTACAGGATTGAGCCACCGCGCCCGGCAATAACTAACTTCTTACTTAAAGTGTGGGGGTGCTGGTGCCTGCAAGCCTGAGTCCAAGTCTCAGATCTACCACCAACTCGTTACTGAAACTCTCTGTACACCTCATTGACTCACCTATAAAAGGAGCACAGTGATAGTACCTATCTCATAGAATTGTAGGAAAACAATGGACTGATTCTTGTGAAGAGCTGAGAACTGTCACTGACACATATCAGCCTTCAATAAATACTATGATTCTTGCTTTTTACATACTAGATCCTAGAAATGTATCTTGAAAAAGTTTCAGAATTTCACAAAAGTTTACTCACTACAGGGCTGTTTATAATACAAAAAAGAGTAACAATCTGAAGGTCTAACAATTAGGTATCATTTACATAACTTATGAATATCCGCACAGTACTATGACTAATATATTACATAATCTCAAGATTTTTTTGACATGAAAATACAACCATGTAAGTTGCTAAGAGAAACAAAATTCAGAGCCCAAACCACTATGCACCTCAGGACTTCATTTGTGTAATGTAAACAATGAAGTATACAGGCACAGAAAAGTGGGTGGTTGTATGCCAGAAGAGTTACAGTTTCTAAGAAGCAGAATAATGCATTTTAAAAATCTGTTTTTAACTTTCAGCAATGACATAAGCTACTCAAGTTTTTTTTAGAAGGTTGAATTCAATAATTAATAGAAAACAAATGCAAGGACCCATCTCTGATCACTCCAATCTTCCGCCAGACACAATCTCATCTACAGCAGACTTTCAGATTGATAGAAAAACTAAAGAAATGCACATGTGGCAAGACATGAACACATGAAAATAGAACATTAAAAAACAACTGAATAATTTGTAATTATTTTAAAAGATGAAAAAAAAAAGGGCAGACTTGTTTTTTTAAGGAAACTAACCTGTGCTTAGACTACTCTCTTCCTGACACTCGTGTTATTTACTTACCATATGGAAACTCTCCTAGGTCATCATGTAATTTGCTGTAACCTCTTATCTCCAGCAAGAACAGTGCAACAGTAAGAATACTTATCCATGGCAATGCCTGGACAGTAAACTTAATCTCTCGACGGACTTGATTCTGAAAGTGAAATTTCCAATACTTAAAAATCACAAAATCCATGTTAAACAAAACTAGCATAAAACTGTTCTGGACTGGATTTTTAAAATCTCTTTTACATGAAGGGGCTTACCTCCAAACTGTTTCTATTAAAATTTTAAATACATAAAAATAGGTATGTAAGAAAATCATTCCTTTTGTACTGAGAAAATGCAATAAGTATTTCAAATTCTGAAACCTTTTTTCCTTCCTCCAAAATCTGCATTCTAAACTTCTATTTATGGAATAACCATTTCTTTCCTAATTAACTTCCATCCCCAATCCTCTCTATTTTTTCTTTTTGCTGTTCAGTCCTTGGAGTCACTGACAAGTACAAACAACCGAAATTTAAAAATGATTGTAAACAACTTTAAAACTACTGAGTTTGAATCCCCTATCTAGCCAAAAAACAAAACATGGTAAAAAAACACATTTCAGTTTGTGAAAATCATATATTAAAATAATTACATAAATGTATGCATTTATTTACTCATCAATATCAGCATAAAAATGCTCCAATATGCATCTAGCAAGATACGATACTAGACTTATAGTTTTATTAAAAAGTTAGATTTGCTTAAACTAAGGGAAGGAGAGCAGGGATTAACCCTCATGAAAATATCTAACCCATTTGTGGTTGGTCTCCAAAATTTTATTTAATGGTTACATATAATCAGCTTAATCTAAAAATCTCAGAAATATATCATATTGTTATTTTTACTTTAATCGTTAGAAAATAGGTAAAAACATTTCTTACCTTTAAAAATTGTGGATGTTTCATTAATGCATGATCGAAGACAAAATAATAGCTCAGTGTTGCACAGAAGAAATAAAGGATGTAAGCACCAACATTTGTTACAATCAGAAGACTAATAGCTTGTCGGAAGATGTCATCTTCTGGCCATGTGGCTGGATACACGTATGGTGTAAAAAAATAGTAATCTGCAACACGGAGTACAAGATCCATCACTTAGCCCCTAAAAAATAAGCATGTGTGACAATTAGTTACCATGTCTCTATTTTTCCAGGCAAAAATTTTTCAGAAACACTATATCTCAAGTTCCTGATTTAAGAACAGTCATATGCAGTACATCTGCTGCTATCAGAATCCCCTACATGCCATCTTTAGAGCCAGAAGGGATCTTAGATATCATCTCTAGTCCAATCTCTTCATACTATGTATGGGGATGCTAAAGCTCAGTTAGAGAAACTGAGGCCCAGGAAAGGTCATCAAGCTGCTAAGTGGCACAAGCCCAGATGGAATTCCATTTCAGTGTCATTCCCTACCGCGTCCTATGGCAGCATGGCAAGTGGTAAAGATGGGAATGCAGGGGACTAGGTACTCAGACAAATAGTTTCCTCTTTCAGCTACAAGTTTCAGCTCATCTCTCTCCTTCAAGGATTCATACTTCAGAGATTTTTGCTTCAGCACTGACACCTAAGATAAATTCCCTAAAAGATATCCATGCTGCCACCACAACCATAGAATTGGGACTATCTGTTCTTCTGACACTCCCATTGACAGAACAAAGGAAGATGTATTCTTGGTGTTAAGAACTGGAATACATTTATTTCTCTACCTCTAATCAATATTCCAGATCGGGAGTTGGTAAATTGCAGCCCACGGGCCAAACTCAGAGCCTGCTTTGTAAAAATCTTTATGGAACACAGCGACACCCAGATGTTTACATACTGTCTGTGGCTGCTTTTCTGCTACAAAGGTGGGCTTATAGTATCACTGCAACAGAGACAGTATGGCCCGTTGAACCGAAGGCATTTACTACCTGGCCATTTACAGATAGTTTGCCAACTCCTGTTTCAGATGCTTAAACTCTAAAAAACATTAGTCAGTTCAGTACATATTTAAGTCCATTCTATACTCATGGTCCTGTTACAATACAGTTCGGTGATATTGTGGTCAGCTTTTGTGATCTGACTATGGAATCTATCATTTATGATCGACTCACTCATCCCTCATTGCATTGTTCGCACAAGAAAACGTGTTCAGCATCTAAAATGTCTCTCACTTGAACTGAAATTTTTGAACAAGAAGCCAATCTGCAAATTGCCTACCCACAATAGATTTCAGGTGTTCAAACGGCCTTTATCTCCTACATATTGGGCCACGTTAATAAACATCAATTCATGAAACAAAATAGCCCACAGGTAAGGAAAATTCTGAAAATACTTATTTACTTCTTTGTAGCCTATTTCCTTCACTAGATTCCCTATGAGATTTCTCCACTAAATTCCCACAGGGATTTAAGAAAATGAGAAACTGACAGGAAAAGACATACAATGCAAAGCCTTGCTTCCATCCATGTCACTGTAAACCACACCGTCATTTCATTTCCACCTCTCTGGGTGACCATATCTATTAGTTTCCTGAGAATCCTTACGGTGTTTGTTAATGTAAGATGGAATGATGACAAATTTTTCTCTCCCTCCTTACAAAACATGGCATACTATATACACCATGAAGTTCCTTTTTCTTAATTGAATATATATCTTGGAGATCTTTCCATCCCTACATAAATATCATGCTCCTCCTTTTTTTGTTTTTAAAGAAACAGGTTTATTGAGATATAATTCACATACCATAAAATTCACTAAAGTATATGATTGACTAGTTTTTTAGCATTCTCAGAGCTATGCAATCATTACCACTATCAAGTTTCAGAACATTTTCAGCACCCCAAAAATAAACCCCAACCCTATACTGTTGAACTTCTAGGATGTGTAAAGTTTTTCATCAAATTTGGTGAGTCTGGGGCCACTCTTTCTTAAACTTTCTATGACTTTCTCTCTTCTCCTTTTAGGACTCTCATTATGCTTATGTGGAAATGCATGACAGTGTCCCCAAGTCTCTGTTTGTATTTCTTCATTTTCTTTCTCTTCCCAGCTGTTTAATCTCAATTGACCTATCTTCCAGTTCTGTGCTCTGTTGGCTCAAATCTGCTGTTAAGCAAGACAGTTTCAGTCACTGTACTTTTCAACACCTGCGTTTCCATTTGGTTCTTTAAAAAAAAAAAAAAAAAACTTTTATCACTTTATTGATATTCTCTACTTGGGAAGAAACTGTTCTAATACTTCCTTTTAGTTAGTTAAACGTGGTGTTCCTTAGTTCTTTTATATTTGTAGTAGCTGATTTAGAGTCTTTGCCTTGTAAGTCCAACATCTGGGCTTTCTGAGAGAGAGTTTCTACTGACTGATTGCCTTTTTGTGTGTACAGGCCATACTTTCCTGTTTGTGTTTTTTAATTTTTTATGGAAAATGGGATATTTTAAGTAATATGATGGGGTAACTCTTGAAATCAGATTGTATGCACCACCGCCCACCCTGCCCCAGGGCTTTAAGTTGCTTTTGTTGTTGCTGTGCGTTAAGTAATTCTCTGAACTAATTACATACCTGTTTTATTTGTTGTGTGCAGCTACAAGTCTCTTACTAATGACTGGAGTGATTTTCTTAAGTGCTTTGAACCAGTTAAGTCCCCCAGCCTTTGCCAAGGTGCTGTGTTGGGCCATGCTTTCAATACTTTAGTTGTCACTCTAAAATTGACTGGCCTGAACTTACTGCTTGCGTAAACCCTCAAGGTCAGCCAAAGGGGAAATTAGGGCCTTCTCCCCTTTCTTGGGTATGTGCAACAGCCCTGCTCATGGGAATCATTCTAGATTCTCAGGAAAACAGAGCTTTTCAAAGCCCCCTAGGGATATCTCATTTCTCAGTATTCCCTTTTAAGTATTTTTGGTCAGGCTTTTGTTAGTGCCAGCTGATAATAGTGCCTCTAAGACCTGTTATGTGTAAATAATGACTCTCCTTGACAAAACACCCTGGGACAGGATGATATTGAACAAGCTCTAAGACAGGTCATATAAACACAAGCCTTGAGAATTGCCAGAGAGATCAAGTGGTGATGATTTTCTGGGTTGTGGCCTTTGGTGAGGCTGCAAACCTATTCTGTACCTTCCATCCAGGCTGCTGTTTTTCATAGTTACTGTGTTGTAAGGCTTAGTTTTCAAGGCTACCATGAAGTCAGCAAAAGGGAGATGGTAAAGGACGGAAAATGTCCAAAGCTCATTGTTCTTACTGAGATTCAACTACTTTTCTCAAATAAAGGCTGCTAAGATTATTGTAAAGCTTTAACTCATAAAGTTTTAATTCCTAGAGCTCTAAAAAAGCTGATTCTGACAACTTCTGTCAGTGTTTTGTTGCTTTTTATAAAGAAGAGATTTTCAGAGATTCTTACTCTGCTGTTTTGGAAGTCACCATCTCCTTTTTTATAATACAGGTCTACTACCATTCTTACTTAAAACATTTGGCATCAGATGTTATTTCGGAATTCAAAATTCCTATAAATACATTTTGCAAAGGTCAAAACTTCTCCCTGTCATTAAATAAATCAAATATTTGGGGGTTTTGGTTCTTTTTTATTATTTATTTATTCATTTAGAGACAAGGTCTTGCTCTGTCATTCAGGCTGGAGTGCAGTAGTGTAATCTCAGCTCACTGCAACCTCTGCCTCCCGGGCTCAAGTGATCCTTCTGACTCAGCCTCCTGAGGAGCTGGTACTACAGGTGGGCACCACCATGCCCAGTCAATTAAGAAAAAATTTTTTTGTATGGACAAGGGCTCATTATATTGCCCAGGCTGGTCTCAAACTCCTGGACTCAAGCAATCCACCCACCTCAGCCTCCCAAAGTGCTAGGATTACAGGCATGAGTCACCATGACCAGCTCATATCAAATATTTGTTTAGAAAATGTGAATATTCACATTAAGTGGGATAAGTACATACTGTAAATGGTATTATAATTCATTTGTATATTAACAATTTATGTAATTATGTATGGAGTAACAAATGACAAATGGAAAATAGACTGGTACAGACAATAAACAATGTATTCTCTTTTTAAAAGAAAAATTCAGTAAACTTTCAAATATATATAAAATCAAAGTTAAATACTTGTGCATGTATATGTATACATACACGCAATAAATGTTCATTACATCTGATTGCTTGAGAATCTTAAAGAGAAGGGCCTATCAGGTTGGAATTAGACATTGGTCATGGGCCAGGATCAGGATTCTCAAGTGATAAAGCAACAATATCCAAGATAACCTTTTCAAAAGATTTCTACCAATGTCATCTGTCTTATTAATATATTTCTGCTTAAGCAATGATTATTTACATAATGCCTTCAGTGATCTTCCCATCTGTGTTCACAATATAGTCATCATTTAATCATTCATGTAGTTATTACTATCTTCCCGCTATTGTCAGGCCTCTGAGCCCAAGTCTGCACGTATACATCCAGATGGCCTGAAGCAACTGAAGAATTACAAAAGAAGTGAAAATGGCCGGTTCCTGCCTTAACTGATGACATTACCTTGTAACATTCCTTCTCCTGGCTCAGAAGCTCCCCTACTGAGCACCTTGTGACCCGCAAGAGAACAACTCCCTTTGACTATAATTTTCCACTACCTACTCAAATCCTTCAAAACTGCCCCACCCCTAACTCCTTTTGCTGACTCTCTTTTCGGACTCAGCCTGACTGCATCCAGGTGATTAAAAAAGCTTTATTGCTCACACAAAGGCTGTTTGGTGGTCTCTTCACATGGACGTGCGTGACAATTATGTGCATTTAGAAACCTTTCAGCAATGTCCCCATCACCCAAAAAGTGCCGAACAGAAGCATCAGGATTAATGTTCAGCATTTCTTCAACATCAGCTTCTCCTGACGTATTTATGGTTTGGGCCATTAAATGTATGGTATAATTAAAGAGATTAGGTATCATCACCTCATTAGTGATAGAAAATCTTCCAAAATATCTACAGGTTCATTTTCAAACCTCATTGTCAGCTAAAATGTTAAACATTTATTATTGCTGATTTATCAACATCATTTCAAGCATTAAGTAATTTTGACAACAGGATCTTTACAACTGAACTCTTAAAGGAAGTTTTGATTCCTAGGCCTCCCTTAACTGTGCAAGCAATATACTTGCTTTTTCCCAGAGTGTAGCACTCCTTGGAGAAAAAGATTGTATTCTGGTCAGGCATGGTGGCTCATGACTGTAATACCAGCGCTTTGGGAGGCAGGCTTATTCCTTGAGCTCAGAGGTTGGAGAACAGCCTGGGCAATATACTGAAATCCCATCTCTACAAAATATACAAAAATTAGCCGGGCGTGGTGCACAGCCCTGTGGTCCCAGCTACCCTCAGGAGGCTAAGGTGGGAGGATTGCTTAAGGAGTTCAAGGCTACCGTGAGCCATATTCGTGCCACTGAACTCCAGCCTGGGCAACAGAGCAAGACCCAAAGAAAAAGGCTGTATTCTGGTCACAGTGAAGTAAAAGTAAATGATTAAAAACTATAACCTACAGTTGAGGAGAATGCATAAAAGAGCTGTCTAGAAAGTAAATTTTCAATTAACTCTTGTCATACTTTTAGATATTTTTCACCACACTGCTTCCTAAGTTTCTGAATTCTTCCTTGTTAATACTAAATACATCCTTCAGTAGCAGGTCTTCATATATGCCAGCTTTTTCCATCATCAACAAAGCAATGAGTGGCATCTGTTTACTTCCTATTGTGAAATCCACTTAACCGAAACATGGTTAGAATCTTCATTTTCAGTCCTCTGCAATGTCTCCCTATTTTTCATCAATTCTTAGTCCTTACTACCACTATAAAACGTCCACGATCTGTTTTTCTATTCTTTAAGTCACATGTGGTGGTAGTTCCCACACTGCCACGTTAAACCCAAATTAACAAAACAATAAAAAACACCAGGAATACCTGGTAGGTGTGCCAAGACACAATGGGCACCTCGGTCAGATGGAGTGAGAATTTGTCATCAAATGATTTTGAGAGCCGAACTTAAAGCAAAAAGAAAACAACTTTTTGGTTTTACAGGGCTTTCCAGAGTTCCAAATTGTGACTAGGGACTATGGACCTGTGTCCATTTCTGTGAGTTCAACTGAATTATGTCTAATTCACTGTTATATAGGTGTTTACTTAACACATATCTAGATATTTGGATAGGTTCCATTTTTTGCTATTACAAATAATGCTACAATGACAGGCCCTCATTAGGCAGATTTCTAAAAGAAGAGCTGAGCGAAAGAGTTATACACTCATAACTTTGGTAGATATTGCTACATCGCTCTCCATAAGAGTTTAACTACTTTGTAGTCCTCAAACGATGTAGGACAGTACCTTACCTATTTCTCTGCAATCTTACTAGCAGGGGATATCATCAAACTTTCACATATTCATCAAGAAAGAAGGGCTATCTCGGGTATACTTAATTTGCATTTACCTTATTATGAGTAAAGTTGAGCATCATTCCATATATTTAGAATAATTTATATTTTTTTCTGTGTTTATCTGTTTTTATCCTTTGCCCGTTTTCCCACTGAGTTTTTAGTATCTTTATAAAAGTCAAATTCTAGAAGCTCCTTATATATTAGGGAGTTTGGCCCTTTGTTTATGATATGAATTATGAACATTTCCTCACTTTGTCAGGAAAAGAAAAATTTAATTAGCACCAAATGCCAGATATTAACATATATTCCTCATCATACATGCCATTGTTAATTCATTCAAATAAGAACTTATTGTTAAGCACCACACTAGGTAATGAGCATACAAACATTAAACAGACACAGTCTAAATCAGTCTTAAAGGTAGGGCAACTACAAAAACAATTCTAGCAATAGGACACGTGCTGCAATACAGATATATATGCAAATTCTATGAGATCAGAAAAGACAACACAACTACCTCAGCTTATGGTAAAAGGCTTCCTAGTGAATATGATATTAGATTTGGACTTTGAAGGACATCACCAGAAAGAAAAGGTTAGGGATAGCCATTCCAAAGAGAAGTCACAACTGCAAAGCAAGAGAAGAGCATGATGCATTCATGGCTCACTGCGTGTGGTTGGTGGGTGTTAGACAGGGTGATGGGGTGGAGCAGAGGGAAAAACATGTTAGGGGATGGACTTGTAAAGGAGATTTGTTAGACTACGCATGGAGGGATCTGCTGTCCTGCTGAGGAATTTGGACTTTCTCTCACACGCTATGAGGAGACACTAAAGATTTCTAGGTAGGAAAAAGATACAATCAGACCCACATTTCATAAAAACCATTCCATTAGAAATCTGGACTACTAGGCTAGGTGAAGTGGCTAATGCTTATTCCCAGCACTTTGGGAGGCTGAGGTAGGAGGACCGCTTGAAGCCAGGAGTTCGAGACCAGCCTGGGCAACACGGCAAGACTCCGTCACTATAAAAAAGGAAAGAAAAGAAATATGGGTTATCGGTGAGAAGCAGGGAGACTAGTTTGGTTGTTCCTGTGGTAGAATAACCCAGAGAAAATGATAGCCTGACCTCGGGCAGTGGCTGTTAAGACTAGCCAGCAGAGATTTCGCGCAAGTAAAAACACCCACAGGATTTGGATAACCCACGTTTGCTGGGAAGTGAAAGAGAGAGAAATCTAGGATGACTGTGAGACTTTAGCTGGTCTAAGTAGATGGTGATGTCATTGTAATTGAAATAGGGAATACTGGCAGAGCTAGCAGATTTGGGTAGGGTAGGAATAGGGGGTGGGTAAGGAATGATGGTGTGAACAGAAAATAAATCTTGGGACTCCAAAATCACTAAGCTAAGAGAAAAGTCAGGCTGGGAACTATGTTAGGCAAACCTGCCTCCCGCTTTATTCCTAAATAAGACAGCTACAAGGATGAGAAGCTACATCCCTCCCTCACAATTTGCCCTCAGAAAATTCCTTTGTGGATAAAGGACAGACAGGACTCAAAGTCATCCCTCTGAGGCTCACCTGACACAAATGGATTTCTGATTGCTTCCTCTGCCCTATTGTTTATGTAAACATGCAGATTCACTGAGCCAGACGAAATGTGTGCATTCAGTGGAAGGCTAATCAAGGACTCAAAATAATGCAACCTTTGTCTCTTATCTGCTTCTAACCTGGAAGCCCCCACTGTGAGTTGTCCCGCCTTACCAGACCCAACCAATGTACTTCTTACACATATTGATTGATGTCTCATGTCTCCCTAAAATGTATAAAAGCAAACTGTGTCCCCGACCACCTTGGGCACATATTGTCAGGGCTTCCTGAGGCTGTGTCACGGGTGAATCCTTAACCTTGGCAAAATAAACTTCCTAAATTGACTGAGACCTGTCTCAGATATCTGGGGTTCAAAACGGGTTCAATGTAGATCTTAAAACCTAATTATCTGTGGCTCATCTTCTATCTTAGATATAAGCAATAGGCCACATGTAAATATAAATGTGAAGTTCAAAAGCGAGCCTGGTTAGTATACAGGTAGTAGTTGAAGTTATAGGGGTGAAGACTGCCAAGGGAGGTGGTGTAGCAGGGACAGGGTACTACGTAATATCAGATAACATAAACATTTAATAATTGAAAAGGATATTGCTATATCACTAAAGGTTGGTAACAGCTGATGAGCCAATCTACATGTTCCCCACAGTGCCATGTGGCCCTACTTCAATACAATACCTAGAATAGTATCGTGCAACCAAAAAGAACACAAACATGTTTGATTGCTGTGAGGTTTAGAGACTAAGTAGACTTTTGACATTTGACCCAAGAAAGGTACTCAATAAAATAGCATCTATATGATTATCACTGTTAAGGCCGTCAAAAATGCGTCAAAATTACTTCAATAGAAGATAAAATAGGTGCCACTTGATTTTTGTTTGAAAAATAACTGACAGTAGTTGATAGTAATATTTAATATATACTAGGTAATATAAATATTTTAAATATATTAACTAATTTTCCCTTTCAAGAAGCCTCAAAGGTAGGTACTAGTATTATTTTATAGATGAAGAAGCTGGGCACAGAAATTTTAAGTAACTTGCATAGGGTCATAAGAGTAAATAAATGCTGGAGCTAGGATTCAAATACACACAATCTAGTTGCAAAGTACGTGAACTTCTGCCAAGTTCTATAGCCTCTTCACCACTACTTCAAGTCGTCAACTCCTGAATTTTTAAAAATGTTCAGTGCCTCTACAAGCTCATATAATTTTAAGGGGTTATAAGCCCTGAAGTTAGGGGTCCCAAGGACCCTAAATTAAGTACCACTGCTTCAAACAGAAACTTAAATACTTTGTCCTTGCAGAATTAAAGAAACTTCTTCTTAAAACTCAGTTATAATAACAATATTAGGCTTAGAACAACTCAGTCTACCATTATCTTTTTGCCCTACTTTAAAAGTATAGAAAATGATAGCTAATATTTATTGAGAACCAGGTATTATTTTTGTATAACCTCATCTAATCCCTATACCTCTATGAGATAGGTACTTCTATGCTCCCCACTTTATAGATAGGGAAACTGAGGTCAGAGTATTTAAATAACTTGTTCAGTAGCAAGCAACAATAACAGAAAAAACCAGCTGGGATGTACATTCCACAACCTTTCTCTTTGCTACCACGTTATGTTATCTCTCAAGATGTTTTATATGCAGATGAGGGATTCTGAGTACCACCCCATGCTAATTAATTACATTACATAACGAATGGAAAAGCACTCTGTAAATGATCAAGGATCAGTTATTATTTACTAGGTATCAATCATTAGAAACTTTAAAAAATGATAGTGATATAAAGACAAATAACTTCCAGAGGGTTTCCTCTAAAAGTACCGAGCTGCCACAAACTTTCCAGTTTGGAAACTCTATGTACTGAGGTCTTGTTTTCTTCACTTACACCACCTCCAAATCTACTCTGCTGTAACACAGGGATGTCAGTATACATTATTTTTCCTTTTATGATGCAAAAGGAACAGATTATTTCCCTTTTCCTTTCAGTCTCCTCAGCCCCAGATTGCTGTCCCTTCATTCTAATTACGCCGCAGCAACAGAGGCTTGCAATGGTCAGGAGTTCTGATACCGACCAGTTCTTCAGCCTGATTCTTCTGGCCTTTAAAAGAAAAAAACCCTCCCAGAACGAAGGGAAAAGTAAAGCATTCGTGTTCAGCAGCCAGACCAGAATTCCCTTGAGTAAGAGATCTGCAACACCCAACATCAAACACTGCATTTTCTTTAAGCCCGTCCACGGTCGGCTCCTTCAAGTCCAGGCCTCCCTATCGGCCCCGCGATCCCTCCCAGCGCGAGCGGAAGGCCCCTCCGCCCGGACTCCCAGGTGGCGCAGCCCTCCAGGCCCCGAGGTCCCCCGGCCCAGCCCTCGCCGCCAGTCTTCGGGATGCCAGGCTACCTGCCAGCCTCTCCTCTCACTCGGCGCAGGACTCGGATCCGTATGCTACCGCGATCCTACCATCCGCCCAACGCCTAGCACCCAGAGGGCACTCGCTAACCAACCGCGGCGCGGAGAAAAGCCGTGCTGCGAGGACACCTTCCGCCTCGCCCACCCGAGTCCCAGGCGCTGAAGTCTCTCCATCTTCTTTTATTCCATCGCCCCCCGGCCCAGCCCGCTCAGGTGTATTCCGCTTCCTTCCCCGCCCACCCACCGTCCCCACCTGGAGGTGGTCCGCCGCCGCTCCGCACGCCACTGCTCTGCAAACTGTCCTAGCAGCTGGGCAGCCAGCAAGCGGGCCGGGAGGCTGGAGCGGCCAGCCAATCAGCGACCGGCGCCATAAGCTGATATGACGGCAGATCGCGCGAAGGGCCTGCGCGCAGCTCTCCGCGGTCACGTGGGCGCCGCGCGCTCGGCCACGCCCCCTTTGTCCTCTGACTAAGGGGAGGGCGGGCGCCCCATCCGAGTACCTTTGCGGTGGAGGATGCGGTTTCGGGTTTTGCGTTTGTTTCTTTGCTTTCTTTTTAAACTAGCTCTTGTGTCATTCATGGTGGTACCAGGCAGGTTTACGGTGTTTATACAAACATTCCTAGAACGGGTGCCCTGCGTTGAGGGAAATAGACGACACTTCCTTTGACGCGAATGTCTGGGTCGTTTTCTCCCTCAAGGGAGGAGGTGCAGATGTTCCCAAACAGGTGCTCAAGGTTTTAAGACGTAGTCCCCCCGATTTTCTAGCGCTGAATGGCTGGAGGCTCCGCGAGCCGGTGTATGTAGGGGTCTAAATGGTGACAAGATGAGGGTAAACATGGACAGAAACCTTTTCACGATACAAGTTGTTGAAAACCAAGGTTAACGCAGATCTAATTGGCTTTGATTTGCTACACATGAATCGAGCAGCTCCGATTTCCTGAAACAGAGCTGAGCAGAGGAGGGTGGCTTCACAGGCAGAAGAGGACGGAGGAAAGCAGAAATAAGGAACCAAAAGATCTGTCGTTTCAGAGTGACTTTCCTTAAACAGAGATTAAAACAGAGGGGACTGACTTGTGATACCAGCTCAGCAACTTCAAAGTGGCAAACTGGGCCACTTTACCTATTACATAAATAATATGGGGAATACATGACAGAAATGAGGGATTTTTAAGGGAAAAAAATAACATGATTCGATCTGCCTTCAAAAGACTTTTCCGGTAGTTAAACTTCAAATGTACATAGGATACTGGACAAAGTTCAAATGAATTTAAAATAGTGTAGGTGGTTTTTTTAAAAAAGACTCATTATATAAATAAAAATAAATTTTAAAAAGTTTTGAGTGTCTACTTCGTTTAACACATCGTACTGAACACCGGGAATGGAAAGAGATGTTACAATAATGACAAAGACATGGTTCCCAACCTTAAAAAGCTTATGTGCTGTGGGAGAAATGGGCATGTATAAATAACTATGTTGCTTATTACAAGGACAGGAAATAAACAGTAATTGGTGGTATAGGCTGAGCACAGAGACAAAATGGCTATTCTGATGAGGGAAATTAGGGAAGGAACATTGTTTTGCCCAATGAAATGATTTGAATGGACACTTTAAAATGTTATTGAGCATAGATGATAAAACATTTATTAAACGAATAAAAGCTCAAAAGTGAAATGTTATAAGCAAACATCAAATATCCTGAATCTCTAGAATTTTATTGTTGAATATGCCTTAGCTATTACAAGTGGTCTTTATTCTTGGTGACTTAGGGATTCCCAAGAAATTTGCAATCACTCCTGACAACTCAAAGTAGTAATAAGTTAACCTCAAGAGAACAATCTTGTTTAAAAATAAATTTAAGTGTATTTTTTAATTATTATTTAAGTTCTGGGATACATGTGCAGAACGTGCAGGTTTGTTACATAGGTATACATGTGCCATGGTGGCTTGCTGCACCTTCCAACCCGTCATCTAGGTTTTAAGCCCTGCATGCATTAGTTATTTGTCCTAATGTTCTCCCTCCCCTTGCCCTCCACCCCCTGACAGGCCCCGGTGTGTGATGTTTCCCTCCCTGTGTCCATGTGTTCTCATTGTTCAACTCCCACAGTTGAACAACTCCCACATACTCAATGAGAATATGTGGTGTTTGGTTTTTTGTTCTGTGTTATTTTGCTGAGAATGATGGCTTCCGGCTTCATCCATGTCCCTGCAAAAGACATGAACTCATTCTTTTTTTTATGGCTGCATAGTATTCCGTGGTGTATAAGTGTATTAATAGCACATCCTGGGGTGCAGCATTCCTACATGTCTTTTCTATCCAGGCACACTGATGGATCAGGGTAATTTATTTATTCATTGTTTGCAAGGGTCTATGGTACCAACCAGCCAGTACCAAGGAATTCAGAGATAAGCCACAATACCTGCCTATGTGTCTGGATGGAACATGAACATGGAAACAAACCATTTAATCATTAAATTACTCAATTTATTTACTCAATAAATCATTATGTAATGGTGATAAGTGTCAGGCACTGTCATATGCACAGGAGATATACTGATAATCAAAACAAAGTCTGCTCTAATGAAGCTTACACACTAGTAAGGAGACAGAAAACTGATAATAAATAAATAGATATATAATACAATGTCGGACAGTGCTATGAAGAAAAAGAAAATGGGGTAAGAGAATCAAAATTAACGGAAGCTGTTAACTTCAGACAGCATGGTCAGTCAGTTTCTCTGAGAGGGCTACATTTGACCTGAACAGAGTTAGAAGTCCTCATTCACTTGGAAGATTCTAAACTGAGATTGAGTTTGAATTTTTTTCAATGAAATGTTGCCTTTCAATGCATCAATAATTTATCAGCCCACGTTCATTATATAACATTATACTTTAATGAGAACACTAAGCACTAAACTGTTTAAAGACCTTTGTCTTTACAAAGGTACTACAAAGGAAACTACAAAGACTGTAGTTTCTGAAGTTAGGAAATGAAGACCCTTTCTTTCTGCATTCGTCCGTTTGCATTGCTATAAAGGAATACCTGATACTGGGTAATTTACAAAGAAAAGAGGTTTATTTTGGCTCACAGTTTTGCAGGCTGTACAGGAAGTGTGGTGCTGGTATCTGGTTCTGGTGAGAGGACCTCAGGAAGCTTACAATCCTGGTGGAAGGCAAAGGGGGAGCAGGCCTATCGCATGAAGAGAGGGAGCAAGAGAGAGGGAGGAGGCTCTCTCTTTTAAACTCAGGCTCTTTTAAACAGCCAGATCTCATGTGAACTCATAGAGTGAGAACTCACTTTACTGTGAGGACAGCACCAGGACATTCATGAGGGATCTGCCCCCAACACCCAAACACCTCCCACTCAGTCCACCTCCAACATTGGAGGTCGCATTTCACCACGTGATTTGGAGGGGAGGAAACATCCAAATCATGTCACTTTCTAACTGGTTTTCAGATGTGTAAAACAGAACAGCCTTCTTAATGAAATGTTGTCACTGAATGCATCAGTAATGTATCAACCTCTCTTCATTACATCACACTGGACTGTACTAAGAACACTAGGCACCAAGCTATTTAGAGTGAATGTTTCTGATGAACTCGTTGGGCCACTGGCTCACAAGCATCTGTTTGCATGAATTTATTTTTTAGGGAGAAGAGAATCTTCATGAAAAAGGTGGATGCACAAGTGTCCAAAAGTAGATTACAGGAAGAGAAAGTGTTTATTCCTTAACCTGGCCCCATGGATTCTATTTTAATTTATAGTATGATACTTTAAACTACAAATAAAATCTTAAACCCCCCAGCAGACTGAACAGACCACCTCTTGGCCAAAGGGATTCCAGAAAAGCCTTAAAAACTTAGTTCCCAGCCATGATGAGATGAGGTCAGACAGGCCTCATTATACCCCCTCCCTTTTTAGACACGACTGACCGGCATTGATGTTAAAACAGAAATCATAAAACTGGCAGAACAGATTCTTTGTGGCGATACAATACCAAATTATAAATAGGACCTAAGGTCGTGCCAGGCGAGGGTTAAGTCATGTACCCTACACGTAAAGAATAAACTATGTTCTAACTGTCACAAGATTTTTCTTTTTCTCTAGCAGCTAAACAAACACTGGCCTTCAGATAAGCAATATTAAAACAATTTGCAGCTCCACCAGACGCTAACTGACCCCCTATTCCACAAGCCACAACTACGGCTTTCATTGGATAAAGACTGGTTTTAATAACTTTCTCCTGATAAGAATACCACTGACCCATGGGCTGGTTCTGATCAGTTTACAGAAGTTGCACATCTATATGCCTTCATGTCCTGAAAAAACATTTTGACATATAGGGCCTAATTGTAATATATTTAAATGTTAACTCTCCATCCTAAAGTGAACATGGTCATATGTTACATGCATGTTTGTTCAATATGCATGTCAGGATCAGCTTCATGAATATTCATAGCTCCTCCTGTAAAACATGCATGTTTAGCCAACCTGTTCAGCATAAAGCTCCTACTCCAGCCCCTCCTTCTTCAAAGTGCCTATCTCTGGTCTCGGCTGGAGGCACACTTCCCAGCCTGTGGGTTGGTCACCTTGCAGGCTGCAACACTTTATAAGAAATAAATTCTTCTCTCCTTTCTTAAATTTATAAATTGTATAATTTTTAAGTTAACAGTACTTAACATTTTAGTGATCATAGATCCCTCCAAAAATTAAATGACATCTATGGACTCTGTCCCCAGAAAATACATATGTGCATACAGTAGTTTTTCTAACCATCTACTTAATATTCTTGATTCCCTTTCTGAAATATGCCAACTGATTCTCATAAAATACTGAAGACTCATAGCTAGTAGCCTTCACTTTAGTTTACTCCTCCACATCTGCTTCCACTAGCTGAGTGGAATACTCCCCAAGAGTCAGTTATGTTTGTTCCCAAACTTCATTTCCATTGTATGCCTCATACGTATATAATTTAATTGAATTGCATGAACTGATAAAATTTGAGTCTGCAAAGAAATAATTTTCTATGAAAATCAAGAAAATGAGTGCTAATAAAAATAGCCATTGTCAGACACTTAGGTGGTTTCCATATCTTGGTTACTATGAATATGCTGCAATAAACATGGAAGCACAGAGTATCTTTTCAGCATACTGATTTCATTTCCTGTGGATATAATACCCAGTATTGGGATTGCCGGATCATATTGTAGTTCTATTTTTAATTTTTTTAGGAACCTCCATATTGTTTTCCATAATGGTTGTACTAATTAACATTCCCACCAACAGTATACAAGGGCTTCCTTTTCTCCACACCCTCCCCAACACTTGTCATCTTTCACCTATTCTATCATAGCCATCTAAATAGGTGTGAAGTAATGTCTCACTATGGCTTTGATTTGCATTTCCCTAATGATTAATGATGCTGAGCACCTTTTCATATACCTGTTGGCCATTTGTACCATTTGCATGTCTTCTCTGGGAAAATGTTCACATCCTTTGCCCATTTCTCACCTGGGCTATTTGGCTGCTTTTAGTTTGTTTTGCTATTGAATTGTACGAGTTCTACAATGAACTGAATGTTTATGTCTCCCCCAAATTCATATGTTGAAATCTAAGCTGCCAAAGTGATGTTACTAGGAGGTGGGCCTTTGGGGAGTGTTGAGGTTATGAAGATGAAGCGGTCATAAGTTGTAGTAGTGCCCTTATAAAAGAGACCCCAGAGATCCCTTGCCCTGCTGCCATGTGAGTTTACAGTGAGAAGACAGCCATCTGTAAGGACGCAAGCCCTTACCAGACACCAAATCTGGTGGCATCTTAGACACCTTATAGCAGCCCAGAGGGGCTAAGACAGTTTCTTATATATTTTGGATATTAAGCCTTTATCAGACATACGGTTTGCAAATATTTTCTCCCATTCTGTAGGTTGCCATTTCATTTTGTTAACTGCTTCCTTTGATGTGAAGAAGCTTTTTAGTTTGATGTAGTCCCACTTTTTTTTTCATTTTGTTGCCTGTGTTTTTGGTGTCATATCCAAAAATCATTTACAAGACCAATGTCAAACGGCTTTTCCCTATGCTTTCTTCTAGGAGATTTATGATATTAGGTCTTACATCTAAGTCTTTATTCTGTGTTACTTTTTGTGTGGTGGATAAGGGTTCAGTTTCATTCTTTTGCATGAGAATATCCAGTCTTCCCAGCACCATTTATTAAGGAGGCTGTCCTTTCCCCATTGTTTTCTTAGCACCCTTGTCAAAGGTAAGTTGCTGGCAAGGTGCGGTGGCTCACACCTGTAATCCTAGCACTTTGGGAGGCTGAGGTGGGCGGATCACTTGAGGTCAGGAGTTTGAGACCAGCCTGGTCAACATGGTGAAACCCTGTCTCTACTAAAAATATAAAAAAATTAGCTGGGCTTGGTGGTGCATGCCTGTAGTCCCAGCTACTCAAGAGGCTAAGGTGGGAGAATTGCTTGAGCCTGGGCAGCAGAGGTTGCAGTGAGCCGAGATTGCACCACTGCACTCCAGCCTGGGTGACAGATCAAGACTCTGTCTCCAAAAAAATAAATAAATAAGTCAACTATTTATGTATGTGTTTGTTTATGGGTTCTCTTCTGTTCCATTGGTCTATATGTCTGTTTTTATGCTAGTACCATGCAGTTTTGACTACTATAACTTTGTAATATACAGCCATATGCCCATATGACAGACCACATATATGATTGAAATGGAGCTGAAAAATTCCTATCACCTAGTGATGTTATAGCTGTTATTAACGTCATAGCACAACACGTTACTCATGTGCTTATGATGCTGATATAAACAAACCTACTGTGCTGCCAGTCCTATAATAAAAGTCTAGAGTACATACAATTATGTACAGTAAATAATACTTGATAATAAATTACTATTAACTGGTTTATGTATTTACTATAGTATACTTTTTACTGCTATTGTAGAATGTACTCCTATTTATTTTTTTTAAGTTAACTGTAAAAAAGTTTCAGGCAGGTCCTTCAGGAGGCATTCCAGAAGAAGACAATGTTATCATAGATGACAGCTCCATGTATGTTACTGCCTCTGAAGATCTTACAGAGGGACAAAATGTGGAGGTGGAAGACAGTGATATTGATGATCCTGCGTGGCTGACTGCCACTGCTACTACTTGAGACTGTCATTACAGCAGTCACTACTGTTACTGCTTGGGATCATCATTACAGCAGTTACTACTGTTACTACTTGAGACTATTATTATGAAGGAAGGGATAAACATAAAAATAGTAACAGAAACAAAAGAAACTGTTTTAAGGAAAGGGCCAGGGGAACAAGAGAGCGCCCTGCTTCTAGTGAGCAAAGGCAGCCCACGACCTTCTACACCCCTTCGTATTTATTGGGTAACAAGAGCAGGGAGGAGGAGGTAATGATTAGTCAGCTGCTTAATTGATCACAGGTTCATATTGTTACTGACAGGCTTCAATTATGCCTAATCACAAGAAACATTTGTGCCTGGACGGTGACTACCCTCAGCAGTCCCTTCTGGGTGGCATACACAGTTTGTCAGTTTGTCAACATTCTGCATTTATGAAAAACAGTTTGCTGCTCACTCATTTAGCCTCCAGTGGTATACTGAGTTGATCACAACCCTCATTCTTTCGGCCTGCTATATCTCCTGCTTTTTGTTTTTAAATTAATTGAGCAACGCAATTGCAGGCTGTGCAGCCCTCAATTGCAGGTTGGTGATCTGGCTTCATTTTTCTTAGCCCTTATTCATAATGGAGTTGCTCTGGTTTGAATGTTCCTTACATATTTCCCTCTTCCTTTTTACAAGAGGACCTTAATCCTAAGGGTTGCAGAAGGATGAAGGTCCATCTTCTGCAACTTCTTCATGCTTAATAGGGGTGTGCCTAACTATTCCTGCCTAACTATTAGGGTCTCTTGTATTCAGGGTAGAGAGCTCAGTCAGAAAGCATTCGTCCATTAAGCATCAATTGTACCTCTGAGTTCCAGTAAAAGGTGAAATCCTGGCCCTCCAGCAGTTTCTCAGCTTCTTGTGTGGTTTTCTAGATCGGTCCCTATATTATGGGGGTTAATGTAAGCGTGACTCTGGTCGGTCCTCGTTCCATCTTTGCATTCAGATTCAACTGGCTCATGGCTCGTACTGGGGGAACCAGGCCTGTAGTTGGAATCCATGGGTCCCCTCCAGTCTCCCGTTCCATGGTCGCACACACCTTGAGGGCACCCACATGGCTTGTTCATCTCCTGCAGAAACACAAGCATACCCTCGTCCCCATGTTAGTAAATCTACCAAAACAGAAGCCAGAGTTTTTGTGGTTGTAGCTGCAAGGCATGCCACTGCCGAAGCATCTGCTCTACAAGCTGCAACTCAGCCTCTGCCTCTTTGGTTAACTGCTGCAGGGTAAAACTTTCCACTGATAATGAAAAACAGGCTCTTTCTGATTAACAGAAGGACAGAGAAAGCAAATGGAGGCTTATCCTTCTCGTAAACAATCCTCAAGATCTATTACCACGAGAAACCAGTTTCTTGCTCCCGTTTCCATAAGCCCACAAATCTTTTCTACAATTTACACTGCACAAGTGGGTCTGTGAGATGCTATGGGTCGTGATAGATAAATTTCCCATGTAGTTGTACTTCCAAATCCCTGATTCCTTCATTTCTCCTCTCATAGAGAGAGGTGCAATTTACAGGGAATAAGCAACAGTTGAGGAATACATTCTCCCGTTTCAAAAACCCAAGGATTTTGTGACATTACCACTACCCGAATTTCTCCTTCACAATCAAAATCAACTCCTAGGATTACAGTAATGCCCTCTAAGTTAACATGACCTTTACCCGAAATGAATCCTATGTATCCTGTTGGCAAAGGTCCCCAAATACCAATGGGAATCTTAGTGAGTTTGTTTCTTTCAATTAATGTAATTTGCTCTCTAGGAGATCTAATCCTGTTTCCAGGTGTTCCTGGGAGAGGGAATCAATGTGCCTCTGTAAACCCACCCCTGAGACGGAGTGGTGGCCTGGATGGGGAATGCCCTCATAGTTTGAGGTGTCCAGGTCCAGGCCCCCTTCTTGTTTCCCGACAGCGGGGTGCCGTTCTGATGAAATTTTGAGCGGCATTCATTAGCCCAATGATTTCCTTTATTACAACGAGGGCAAAGTCCTGGCATTTTTTTCTCTTGAGGGGGAACTGCATTATAAAATCCCTTCTGCCCAGAGGTCTGGCGGTGTTCTTTTCCAAAACGTCCAATTTTTCTACACTTATAACACTTTCCCACTTTAGGGCTTGACCCTTGGCTTCCTTTAGATCTGTCAGCTACCAAATTAGCCATTGCCCGAGCCAACACTGCAGAGCAATGAAGCTCAGTTCCCACATCCTGACAGGCTCCGAGAAAACCTCCTAAGTCCTCGGCACACCTCACAGGTGCCAATGCATGTTTACAATCCACAAAAGCCAAAGCTAAAGTTAGCCTTTCCGTAGCCACAGAAGATGGTACAAGCCAATTCTCATTCTCCCTCTCCTGTTCACCACTTTTGACAGGCGCTGTAGGTGGGGCAAAAATTTTTCTCAAACCCTGAAATAATATGGTATGTACCAAACTCCCAACAAAAAAAAAAGAGAAAAAACATAACCAAATTCTTCTCCATGTTACCCTGATTCAAAAACTTCCCATTCTTTGTACCTCTAGGGCACTGACCATTACCTTTTCAGAGTACTGATCTTACGTTGCTTCCGGCAGACTTGTTAACAGGGTTTCTCATTTGTCTGGTTGGTTTTAGTTTCTGTTGCAGCAGAACTTCCTTGTTCAAGTCCCTATAGGACCCCATCTGTCCCTGAGAGTTTTTGCTGGCCTCTTCTAGCTTCTACTTTTGTACCTCTTTAGGGCACTGACCTTATATTGCTAGCCTTTATCTATCCCTATCTGTCCCTATGGTACCTGTTAGTTCCTGCAAGTTCCTGTCTTCCCCTACCTATCTCTACTTACTTTTCTCTACTTATCTCTACTTAATTTACTTATCTCTATTTACTTATTTCTACTTATCTCTACTTGTCCCTGCAGGCCTCTTCAGGCCCCTTCAGGTCTCTAGGTCTCTTTTTCTCCTTGATAGTCCCTTCAGTGGCTGACTATCACTGCTACTACTTGAAACCATCTTTACAGCAGTTACTACTCGAAACCGAATGAAGGGATGAACGTAGAAATGGTAACAAAAAAAAAAAGAAACCGTTTTAAGGAAAGGGACAGGGGAAGAAGAAGAGAGCTCCCCGCTTCTAGTGAGCAAAGGCAGCCCACCAACTTCTATAGCCCTTCGTATTTATTGGGTAACAAGGGCAGTGAGGAGGAGGTAATGATCGGTCAGCTGCTTAACTGATCACAGGTTCATATTGTTACTGACAGGCTTCAGTTATGCCTAATCATAAGAAACATTTGAGCCTGGATCATGACTGCCCTCAGCAGTCCTTCTGGGTGGCATACAGTTTGTCAGTTTGCCAACATTCTGCTTTTATGAAAAACAGTTTGCTGCTTACTCGTATGGCCTCCAGTGGTATACTGAGTTGATCACTACCCTCATTACTTCAGCCTCCAACAATCCTGACCCTGTATAGGTCTAGGCTAATGTTTAAGTTTGTTTCTTCGTTTTTAACAAAAGTTTTAAAAGTAAAAAATGAAAAAATAAAAATAAAAATGGTTTTAGATTGAGAATATAAAGAAATAAAGGATTGTTAGACAGTTACACAATGCGTTGATGTTTTAAGCTAAGTGTTATTACAAAAGTCAAAACATAAAAACAAAACAACAACAAAAAAAAACCAGTGCTGTGAGTGCCCAGCAGACTGAGGAAGAGAGAGAGAGAAAGAGGAAAGGAAGAGGAGGATGATTCAGGGAATAGGCGCTGGGGAGTCCTTCTGTGGCACAGCTTTAAATCGACTGCATGAACAAACCAGCAATTCTGAGAGAACCCACAGACCCTCTGAAGGAAGCAGACTGCTCCTGCAGTACCCAGGAGACACCCCAAATACTGAGTGCCCCAACCGTGGAAGTGGGAAAGGGAGACCCTCCTCTCCGGAACACACACCCCTACTGAAGAAGCTGAAGCTGGGAGTCAGAAAGCCTTGGGCAAGTTTTCAAGCCCATCTTGCCCTCTGCCTGCAAACAGACTCAGGGCTGTTTGAAGTGGGAGACCAGCCCTTCAATTTGCATGGGAGCTGGGTGAGGCCTGTGACTGCTGGCTTTCCCCCACTTCCCTGACAACCTGCGTGACTCAGCAGAGACAGCCATAATCCTCCTAGGTACACAACTCCAGTGACATGGGAATCTCACCCCTATCCCGCACAGCAGCCGTAGCAAGACCCACCCAAGGAGAGTCTGAGCTCAGACACACCTAGACCCACCCGCACCTGTTGGTTCCTCCCTACCCACCCTGGTAGGGGAAGACAAAGGCATACAAACTTGGGAGTTCTAGCACCCCACCTGTTGGGGCAGCCAGACCCAACACCAGGCCGTGGGGGCTACAAAGTCTGGCATAGTCAAAGGAATGAGACAAGACAAGTTAAGAGTACATAAAGTGGCTCCAGGGAGTGAACGCTACTATGGAGGCTGCGAAGTCCCCGAGCTCTGGAAGCACACACTATTTATTGGTGATCAAACAAAGAAGCAGGTGGTGAAGATGTGGGGGTTGAAAGGTAGCGGTGCGTCAAGCGTATGAGCTATAGCTGTGACGGTTTAGCATTCCCTTTGAAGCATATGGAACATGTTCTGCTACTTGAGATAATGGGGAACTTGTCCTTCTAGTTTGAGATACAATCCATCCATGAGCCTGGGATTGCTAGAAGCAAGGAGCCAGCAAGCCTAGACACATTCCAGAGGCCACGAGGGCTTTCATGCTCTGAGCCCTGGATTCCATCCAAGCTACGAGGGGTTTTATGCCCTGGGCTTAGATTTTGGTACGGCAGGGCAGCCTTCCACCCTTTAGCACAGAGCCTGATGTTCCAAAGGCCACGAGGGGTTTTAGATCCTGGGCCCAGGACATGTTCCAAGACTCTTTTACATTATGTCAGACATACAAGCCCTGCCTCAGCTTTTCCCAACACCACCCACTGCCAGTCCCTTGCCACACTACTACAGCTGATGCTTTCTGGGAAGTGCCACCTTCTGGCAGGAGGCCAACCAGCACAAAAACAGAGCATTAAACCACCAAAGCTAAGGACCTCATGGAGTCCATCGCACTCTCCACCACCTCCATTGGAAGAGGCACTGGTATTCATGGCTGAGAGGCCCATAGACACTTCACATCACAGGACTCTGTGCAGACAACATGCAGTACCAGACTGGAGCTGGGTAGACTCACTGGGTGGCTAGACCCAGAAGAGAGACAACAATCACTGCAGTTCAGCTCACAGGAAGCTACATCCACAGGAAAAGGGGGAAAGTACTACATCAAGAGAACACCCCATGGAACAAAAAAAATCTGAACAACAGCCTCAGTGCTAGACCTTCCCTCTGACAGAGGCTACCCAAATGAGAAGGAACCAGAAAACAAACCCTGGTAATATGACAGAACAAGGCTCATCAACACCCCACAACAATCACACTAGTTCACCAGCAATGGATCCAAACCAAGAAGAAATCCCTGATTTACCTGAAAAAGAATCCAGGAGGTTAGTTATTAAGATAATCAGGGACAGACTAGAGAAAAGTGTAGCCCAATCCAAAGAAATACAAAAAATGATACAAGAAGTGAAGGGGGAAATACTCAAGGAAATAGAAAGCTTAAAGAAGAAACAATTAGTGGCTTATGCCTGTAATCTCAGCAGTTTGGGAGATTGAGGAGGGCAGATCATCTGAGGACAGGAGTTCAAAACCAGCCTGGCCAACTTGGTGAAACCCCATCTCTACTAAAAATACAAAAATTAGCCAGGCATGGTGATGAATACATGTAGTCCCAGCTACTCAGAAGGCCGAGGCAAGAGAATTGCTTGAACCCGGGAGGTAGAGTTTGCAATGAGGTGAGATTGCACCATTGCACCCCAGCCTGGGCAACAAAGAGAGACTCCATCAAAAACAAAACAAAACAAAAAAACAAAAACAAAAACAAAAAACAGAAAGAAGAAAAATAATAAAAAATTTAGGAAACTTTGGACACACTTTCAGAAATGCGAATGCTCTGGAAAGTCTCAGCAATAGAATCGAGCAAGTAGAAGAAAGAAATTCAGGGCTCAAAGACAAGGTCTTTGACTTAACCCAATCCAACAAAGACAAAGAAAAAAGAATAAGAAAAAAAGAACAAAGCCTCCAAGAAGTCTGGGATTATGTTAAATGACCAATCTAAGGGTAGTTGGTGTTACTGAGGAAGAAGACAGTTCTAAAAGCTTGGAAAATGTATTTGGAGGAATAATCGAGGAAAACTTCCCCCACCTTGCTAGAGACCTAGACATGCAAATACAAGAAACACAAAGAACAGCTGGGAAATTCATCACAAAAAGATCTTCACCTAAGCACATTGTCATCAGGTTATCCAAAGTTAAAATGAAGGAAAGAATCTTAAGAGCTGTGAGACAGAAGCACCAGGTGACCTATAAAGGAAAACCTATCAGATTAATGCAGATTTATCAGCAGAAACCCTACGAGCTAGAAGGGATTGGGGCCCTATCTTCAGCCTCCTCAATCAAAACAATTATTAGCCAAGAATTTTGTATCCAATGAAACTAAGCATCATATATGAAAGAGAGACACTGTCGTTTTCAGACAAACAAATGCTGAGATCTCACCACTACAAGAACTACTAAAAGGAGCTCTAAATCTTGAAACAAATCCTGGAAATACATCAAAACAGAACTTCTTTAAAGCATAAATCACACAGGACCTATACAACAAAAATACAAGTTAAAAAGCAAAAACAAAAAACAAAAAAACAAAACAAAGTACACAGGCAACAGAGACCATGATGAATGCAATGGTACCTCACATCTCAACACTAACATTGAATGTAAATGGCCTAAATGCTTCACTTAAAAGTTACAGAAACACAGAATAGATTAGAACTCACCAACCATCTGCTGCCTTCAGGAGACTCACCTAACACAGAAGGACTCAGGTAAACTTAAAGTAAAGGGGTGGAAAAAGGCATTTCATGCAAATGGACACCAAAAGTGAGCAGAGGTAGCTATTCTTACACCAGACAAAACAAACTTTAAAGCAATAGTGGTTAAAAGAGACAAAGAAGGAGGAAGGAGGTTATCTAATGGTAAAAGGCCTTGTCCAACAGGAAAATATCACAATCCTAAACATATATACACCTAACCCTGGAGCTCCCAAATTTGTAAAACAGTTACTAATAGACCTAAGAAATGAGACAGACGGCAACACAGTAATAGTAGGGGACTTCAGTACTCCACTGACAGCATTAGACAAGTCATCAAGACAGAAAGTCAACAAAGAAACAATGGATTTAAACTATACCTTGGAACAAATGGACATAACAGATATACACAGAACATTTCATCCAACAACTGCAAAATATACATTATATTCAACAGCACATGGAACTTTCTCCAAGATATACCATATGATAAACCATAAAATGAGCCTCAATAAATTTAAGAAAATTGAAATTGTATCAAGCACTTTCTGAGACCACAGTGGAATAAAACTGGAAGTCAACTCAAAAAGGAAACTTCAAAACCATGCAAATACATGGAAATTAAATAACCTGCTCCCAAATGAGCATTGGGTCAAAAACAAAATCAGGACGGAAATTTAAAAATTCTTCAAAGTGATTGACAATAATGACACAACCTATCAAAACCTCTGGGGTATAGCTAAGGCAGTGCTAAGAGGAAAGTTCATAGCCCTAAATGCCTACATCAAAAAGTCTGAAAGAGCACAAACAGACAATCTAAGGTCACCCTTCAAGGAACTAGAGAAACAAGAACAAACCAAACCCAAACCCAGCAGAATAAAGGAAATAGCCAAGATCAGAGCAGAACTAAATGAAATTGAAACAAAAAAAAAAATACAAAAGGTAAATGAAACAAAAAGCTGGTTCTTTGAAAAGATAAATAAAATTGATAGACCATTAGCAAGATTAACCAAGAAAAGAGAAAATCCAAATAACCTCACCAAGAAACAAAACAGGAGATATTACAACTGACACAACTGAAATACGAAAGACCATTCAAGGCTACTATGAACACCTTTGCACACATAAACTGGAAAACCAGAAGAGATGGATAAATTCTTGGAAAAATACAACCCTCCTTGCTTAAATCAGGAAGAATTAGATGCCCTGAACAGACCAGTAACAAGCAGTGAGATTGAAATTATACTTTAAAAATTACCAACAAAAAAAGTCCAGAACTGGATGGGTTCACAGCAGAATTCTACCAGACATTAAAAGAAGAATTGGTACCAATCCTTTTGACCCTATTCCAAAAGACAGAGAAAGAAGGAACCCTCCCCTAATTCCTTTTATGAAGCCAGCATCACCTTAATACCAGAACCAAGAAAGGACACAACTGAAAAAGAAAACTACAGACTGATACCCTTGATGAACATAGATGCTAAAATCCTTAAGAAAATACTAGCTAACTGAATCCAACAACATATCAAAAAGATAATTCACTACAATCAAGTGGGTTTCATACTAGGGATGCAGGGATGGTTTAACATATGCAAGTCAATAAATGTGATACACCACATAAACTGACTTCAAAACAAAAATTACATGATCATCTCAATAGATGCAGAAAAAGCATCTGACAAAATCCAGCATTGCTTTTGATTAAAACCCTCAACAAAATCGGCATACAAGGGACATAACTTAATGTAATAAAAGCCATCTATGACAAACCCACAGCCAACATAATACTGAATGGGGAAAAGTTGAAGCATTCCCTCTGAGAACAGGAACAAGACAAGGATGCCCACTCCTCCTCAACATAGTACTGGCAGTCCTAGCCAGAGCAATCAGACAACAGAAAGAAATAAAGGGCATCCAAATTGATAAAGAGGAAGTCAAACTGTCCCTGTTTACTGACGGTATGATCATTTACCTTGAAAACCCTAAGGACTCCTCCAGAAAGCTCCTAGAACTGATAAAAGAATTCAGCGAAGTTTCCAGATACAGGATTAATATACATAAATCAGTAGCTCTTCTATACACCAACAGCGACCAAGCAGAGAATCAAATCAATAACTCAACCCCTTTTACAATAGCTGCAAGAAAATAAAATACTTAGGAATGTACCTAACAAAGGAGTCGAAAGCCCTCTGCAAGGAAAACTACAAAACAATGCTGAAAGAAATCACAGGATGACATAAACAAATGAAAACACATCCCATGCTCATGGATGGGTAGAATCAATATTGAGAAAATGACCATACTTCCAAAAGCAATCTACAAATTCAATGCAATCTCCATCAAAATACCACCATCATTCTTCACAGAGTTAGAAAAAACAATTCTAAAATTAAAATGGAACCAAAAAAGAGCCCGCATAGCCAAAGGAAGACTAAGCAAAAAGAATAAATCTGGAGGCATCACACTACCTGATTTCAAACTATGTTATAAGGCCAGAGTCACCAAAACAGCATGGTACTGGTATAAAAATAGGCACATAGACCAATGGAACAGAATAGAGAAGCCAGAAATAAACCCAAATAGTTACAGCCAACTGATCTTTGACAAAGCAAACAAAAACATAAAGTGGGGAAAGGACACCCTTTTCAACAAATGTTGATGGGATAATTGGCAAGCAATATGTAGAAGAATGAAACTGGATCCTCATCTCTCACCTTATACAAAAATCAACTCAAGATGGATTAAGGACTTAAACTGAAGACCTGAAACTATAAGCATTCTAGAAGATAACATTGGAAAAACTCTTTTAGACATTGGCTTAGGCAAGGATTTCATGACTAACAACCCAAAAGCAAATGCAATAAAAACAAAGATAACTAGCTGGGACCTAATTAAATTGAAGAGCTTTTGCAAGTTAAAAGGAGCAGTCAGCAGAGTAAACAGACAACCCACAGAGTGGGAGAAAATCTTCACAATCTATACATCTGACAAAGGATTAATATCCAGATTCTACAACAAATTCAAACAAATCAGTAAGAAAAAAAACAAACAATCCCATCAAAAAGTGGGCTAAGGACATGAATAGACAATTCTCAAAAGAAGATATGCAAATGGCCAACAAACATATGAAAAAATGCTCAGCATCACTAATGATCAGGGAAATGCAAATCCAAACCACAATGGGATACCACCTTACTCCTGCAAGAATGGCCATAATAAAAAAAATCAAAAAATAGTAGATGTTGGCATGGATGCAGTGATCAGGGAACATTTCTACAGTGCTGGTGGGAATGTAAACTAATGCAGCCACTATGGAAAACAGTGTGGAGATTCCTTAAAGAACTAAAAGTAGAACTACCATTTGATTCAGCAATCCCACTACTGGGTATCTACACAGAGGAAAAGAAGTCATTATTCAAAAAAGATACCTGCACACACATGTTTATAGCAGCACAATTCACAATTGCAAAATCTTGGAACCAACCCAAATGCCCATCAATCAATGAATGGATAAAGAAACTGTGATATACATATATATATATATATGTATATATACACATACATATATACACACACATATATCACAGTTTATATATACGTGTGTGTATATATATGATCGATGGAATACTACTAAGCCAGAAAAAGGAATGAATTAACAGCATTTGCAGTGACCTGGATGAGACTGGAGACTATTATTTTAAGTGAAGTAACTCAGGAATGGAAAACCAAATAGCCTATGTTCTCACTGATATGGGTTAGCTAAGCTATGAAGACTCAAAGGCATAAGAATGACACAATGGACTTTGGGGACTTAACGGGTAGGGTGGGAGGGGGCGAGAGGTAAAAGACTACGAATATGGGGCAGTGTATACTGCTCAGGTGATGGATGCACCAAAATCTCACAAATCACCACTAAAGAACTTACTCATGTAACCAAATACCACCTGTACCCCAATAACTTATGGAAATTTTTTTTAAGTTGACAGGAGCTATTTGAAAAAAAAAGTTAAAAAAATTGAAAGTTTGTGAAGTAAAAATGTTACAATAAGCTAAAGTTAATTTATTATTGGAGAAATAAAATTTTTAAAAATTTAGTGTAGCCTAAGTACACAGTGTTTATAAAGACTACAGTGGTGTACAGTAATATCCTAGGCCTTCACATTCACTCACTGCTCACTCACTGACTCACTCAGAGCAACTTCCAGTTTTGCAAACTTCATTCGTGGTAAGTGCCCTAGACAGTGGTAGAGATGTATCTTTTTTTTTTTTAATCATTTATACTGTATTTTTACTCTACGTATTCTAGTTTAGATATGTTTAGACACACAAATACCATTGTGTTACAGTTGCCTCCAGTATTCGATACTGTGTATATGGTGTACAGGTTTGTAGCCTTGGAGCAATGGGTTATACCTTATAGCCTAGACAGGATACACCATCTAGGTTTAAGAACATTCTATGATGTTTACACAATGACAAAATCACCTAATGACACATTTCTCAGAACTTATCGCCATTGTTATGGATGCATGACTATAGTTTGAAATCAGAAAGTATAATGCTTCCAGCTTTGTTCTTTGTCAAGATTGCTTTTGCTGTTCTGGGTCTTTTGTGGTTCCATACAAATTTTAGGATTTTTTTTCTAATTTTGTAAAAAAAAAAAATCATTGGAATTTTAATAGGGATTACATTAAATCTGTAGATTGTTCTGGGTAATATAAACATTTTAACAATATCAATTCCTCCAATCCACCACACAGGATACTTTCCTTGTATTTGTGTCTTCTTCAGTTTCTTTCATCAATAGCCTATGGTTTCCCATGTACAGATTCTTCACCTTCTTGGTTAGATTTATTCCTCAGTATTTTATTCTTTGTGATGCTATTATATATGGGATTGTTTTCTTAACTTCTTCTTTAAATAGTTCTTTACTGGTGTATAGAAATGCAACTGAGGCCAGGCACAGTGGCTCACTCCTGAAAGCATTTTGTGAGGCCAAGGTGGGCTAATTGCTTGAGCTCGGGAGTTCAAGACCAGCCTGGGCAGCATGGCAAAACCTCATCTCTACAAAAAATACAAAAATTAGCCAGATGTGGTGGTGCATGCCTGTAGTCCCAGCTACTTGGGAGGCTGAGGTGGGAGGATAACTTAAACCCAGGAGGCAGAGGTTGCAGTGAGCTGAGATCATCCCACTGTACTCCAGCCTGGGTAACAGAGCAAGACCCTCTCTCAGAAAGAAAGAGAGAGAGACAGGAAGGAAGGAAGGAAGGAATGAAGGAAGGAAGGAAGGAAGGAAGGAAGGAAGGAAGGAAGGAAGGAAGAAAGAAAAAGAAAGAAAGAAAGAAAGAAAGAAAGAAAGAAAGAAAGAAAGAAAGAAAGAAAGAAAGAAAGAAAAGGAGGGAGGGAGGGAAGGAAAGAAGGAAGGAAGGAAGAATTCAACTGAATTTTGTGTGTTGATAGTGTGTTCTGCAACTTTACTGAATGTGTTTTATTAGTTCTAACAGTTTTTTTGGTGGAGTCTTTAGAGTTTTCTATATATGAGATTATATCATCTGCAAACACAGACAGTTCAATTTCTTCATTTCTGATGTGGATGTCTTTTATTTCTCTTTCTCACCTGATTGCTCTGGCTAGACTTCTCCAATGTTGAAAAGAAACAAAGCACACTTATCTTGTTCCTGATCTTAGAGGGAAACTTCAGCTTTTCATTGTTGAGTACGATGTTAACTGTAGCGTTGTCATATATGCCTTTTATTATGTTAAGTTACATTCTTTCTATGCCTAATTTGTTGAGGAGTTTTATCATGAAAGGATGTTGAATTTTGTCCAATTATTTTTCTGCATTTATTGAAATTATCATATGATTTTTATTCTTCATTCTGTTAATGTGGTGTATCACATTTATTGATTTGTGTGTGTTGAACCATCCTTGTACCCTAGGGATAAATCCTGCTTAATTATGGTGTGTGATCTTTTTAATGTGCTGTTGAATTTGGTTTGCTAGTATTTTATTAAGGATTTTTGGGTTATTGGTTGTAATTTTCTTGATGTGTCATTATCTGGCTTTGGTAAGAGGGTAATGCTGGCGTCATAAAATGAGTTTGGAGGTGTTCCTTCCTCTACAATCTTTTTTGGAAGAGTTTGAGAAGGATTGGCATTAGGTTCTTTAAATGTTTGGCAAAATTCACCTGTGAAGACACCTATCCTGGGCTTTTCTTTGTTAGGAGGTTATTTTTTATATATCTTTTCATTTATTTTTTTTTCTTGAGATGGAAGTTCGCTCTTGTCTCCCAGACTGGAGTGCAATGGTGCGGCCACGGCCCACTGCAAACTCTGCCTCCCGGGTTCAACAGATTCTTGTGCCTCAGCCTCCCAAGTAGCTGGGATTACAGGTGCCCGCCACCACACCTGGCTAATTTTTGTATTTTTAGTAGAGATGGGGTTTCAAATGTTGTCCAGGCTGGTCTCGAACTCCTGACCTCAGATGATCCTCCCCCCGCTTGGCCTCCCAGAATGCTGGGATTACAGATGTGAGCCACCGCACCCAGCCTTTATTATATACTTACTTGTTGCTTGTCTGTTAAGATTTTCTATTTCATCATGATTCAGTCTTGGTTGGTTGTATGTTTCTAGGAATGTATCCACTACTACTAGGTTATTCAATTCGTTGGCGTATAACTCTTCATAGTCGATTCTTGTGATCCTTTATATTTCTGTAATATCAGTTGTAATGTCTTCTTGTTCACTTATAATTTTATTTATTGAATCCTCTCTTTTTTTCCAGGTTAATCTAGCTAAAGATTTGTCTCTTTTTTAAAGCTCTTAGTTTGGTTGATCTCTTCCATTGTCTTTCTAGTCTCTATTTCATTTATTGACGCTCGAATCCTTATTTCCTTCTGTCTGAACCACAGAGAATGTAAATAACTTACCGAAGGGCACACAGCTTGTAAGAGTTTGCTAGGTTGCTATGGTCTGAATGTTTGTGTCGTCTAAAAATTCATACACTGAAACCTGATCACCAACGTGATAGTATTAGGAGATAGGGCCTTTGGGGTTGATTACATTATGAGGGCATAGTCCTCATTAATGGGATTAGTGTCCCTATGAAAGGCCCCTGAGAGCTGTCTTGTCCCTTTTACCATGTGAGAACACAGCAAAAAGATGGCCATTCATAAATTATAAAGCATTCCCTCACCAGACACCATATCTGCCAGCACCTTGGTCTTGGACATGCTGGCCTTGCAGAACTGTGAGAGATTAAAATTATGTTGTTTATAAGCTATTCAGCCTATGACATTTTTCATATCAGGCTGAAAAGACTAAGAGGTAGAGCCAGAATGATTTTTTCCTATCTAGCTGGTGAGTAGATTGGCCCCATAGGAGTGTTGGGCCCTGTTCCCTCTAATTCTCTTAGAAGTTTTTTTCCCCCAGCCTTAGGTAGTTTCCTTAAATGCATCTGCTGATAGATCCTCAAGGAGACCTACAGATCTCTGGAATTCTCTCTCTGTACAGCTCTCTCCTCTCTGGTGCTCTGTCCAATGAACCCTAGCTGCCTTGGCATCTCCATAGTCTCAGCTCTGTCTCCTCATTTTAGGAACTCCATCATGTTCCACCTTAGTTCTCTGTTCCTGCATTACAGCCTAGAAACTCTCTCAGGGCAGTAAACTGGCAATTTGAGGGCTCATTTGTTTCTCATTTCTTAAGCAATGCTATTCTTCATTGCCTGATATCTGGTATCTTAAAAGCCATTTTTAAATGTATTCTGGTTGTGTTAGTTGTTGCTGTTGTTTCAGGCAGGAGGGTAAATCTCAACCCTTTATTCCATCTTGTCCAACAGCAGAAGTCGGAGCATGCTCTAAGCACTTATCTATACTATCATCTACAGTGTGTAAAAAAGTGCATATGTTTTTCAAGAAATATGTGGCCATCCTTATTGCGTTATGTGGAACCATGATCCTATGTTACGGAGTTGCAAGCAGAGGCTGAAGGAGAAGTTTTCATAAAGACCTCTGTGGATTACAGAGGTAGAATCAATTGGCTTCGGGGCCAGGTGGTGACAGAATGAGACACAGAGTGAGAAGAGGCAGTCTCCTCACTTCCTCACAGAAGACAGTCTGACTGCAATGCAGTGAAGAATGAAAGGCGTGCTGAGCCATTTAAAAAGTTTTTGGTCTATTTTTATCAAAGATATAGATGTATGTCTTTAAAAATACAAATAATATGCTTATAAAGAAAGCAAAGAAAAGCAGTTCCTATCTCCTGATGCTGCTCTGCAGAGCAACAATGCTTTACATTTCTAGCTGCATATTCTGCCATTTACTTCTATTAAAACAAGCAAACAAAAAATGACTATGCTTGCTGTGGTGTTTGCATATCTTTGCACTTTTTCACTTTAGATTCCTGGGATTCGGAGTCTGGGCCAGGAACAATGCTCTTACAGAAAGCTGGTGATGTGGTTCTCTTAGCAACAGCCGAACAGAGCATTTTTCGCTAGCACAATCAGGGCACACCCACACGTCTCCAGAATTATCCAAGGGAGATGTTGTGTGGGACTCAGGGGAAAAGGGACAATTAATCTGTGACATCTGGGCTATTAATATTGATGTGTTGTCATTCATAACCACAGACTGGTGGGGCCCAGGGAAATTTGGGTTACAAATGCAATTTATGTGCTAAAATAGGACAGGAGCACAGAGAGGATACTGACTGTCAAAGGAAGTCAATAAAGCTTCACAGCTCAAGATAAGATTGGAGGGAGAAAAGAGAGTTCACAGGGTCTAGCGATAGAACTAAAAGGTGAAGAGAATTGCCTGTGCAGTGCCTGACAGATATGAAAGAGCAGCATGTTCTGCAATGCAAGAATGGTACTAGAAAGCTCAAGTGGAGAATCATTTTCTAAATGAGGCACAAGAGTGAATGATTTGTATTTGTTGGAATCCTTTGAGACCCGGGATGAGTTTCTCCACGGGGAAATTTAATTTGCTTCAGCCAGCCCTCTGAGGATACTTCTAATCCAAGATCACTGTAATTGAAATTCTCATTCTGAGGTTTTGAAGACGGCAAGAATTTGGTCTCTAGTATTTATAAGGGCCGGCTTTCAGTTTAAATTCTTCTCAGTGATTTCCTCCCTTTGCTTAACACCAATATTTGAGTTTATTTATTTATTTATATTTGTAGCCCCTGGGACCAGGGGCATTCTTTATATATTCTGCATATATAATTTGTCAGTTGTATGTATTGCACATATATTCTCCCCAGTTGTAGCTTGAATTTTCTTTGTCTTGATGGCATCTTTTGGTGGATGTCTTTTGTTAGACTTATTCTTAGGTATTTGATTTTTATGCTATTTAAAACTATATGATTCTTACTTTTAATGTAGTGAAAATTTTAATCTTTTATATTAATTTGATGCTGTTTTGATCCTATTTAAGAAATCACTGCATGCCCCAGTCACAAAGACATTCTATATCATCTTCTAAAAACTTTGTCTTATTTTTGCGTTTATATCTACAATCTATCTGAAATTGATTTTTGTGAACAGTGTGAGGTAAGGATCAAGATTAATCCGTTCATTGCTATTTAATCAACTCAACACCATTTACTGAAAAAATGTCTATTATTCACAGTGCCATCCCATCCCTATTTCCGGGCAAATGAACAGCTAAATGTACTGTTTATACTAGCCCCTTTTGTCCTTGTCATTCAGGATCATCCTGAATAAAGCTATAATGCCATAGCCACTCAAATCTGGCTGATGGCAGCTTATCGTGCAGAATAATCTGTACAGAGTAATATTTGTACAGAATAATAATTGTACAGAACAATGTGTAAACTAGTCCCAAATATTTTCTTCCCCCATCAACTAGTGATAGGGATGAGATGAAAGAGAGGTGACAATTCATCAGGAGTAGTTGCCACTTCCAGCTGCTCAAACTAAACATTGGAAGCAGATTCTCTGGAATGCTTACCCTTATCAATAAATTCCTATCTGGTTTAGTGCTCTTATAATTCATTCCCAGATATCTGTTTATGTAAATTGGCAAAATATTGTAATCCTTTGGTATGTAAGGTATCTCTTCTTAGGTTAATACATCCCCTTACAGAAGGGGTTTGTAATCAAGCAGCTTAACAGCTTAGCCCTAAATCATGTTCTAAAACTTTTATTTCTTTCCCCTTCTTCCTCCCTGCCCCCGCTTCCTCCTTAGGTTTCAAGATGCTGCTCTGAGATAAACTTGACAACCTCAGAATGTTTTCTTTCCTTCAGTCCCCTCCCTTTCCCACTCTATGTTCCCATGCCCTGTGCATATTTATTCACCCAGATGCTTGTTAAGCACACCTCATACTCACTTCTCTGGTCATATGTTTCCTTAAAAGCTTCAGAGGTCGGATCCTGATAGGGACCAGACACCTCCAGAATTCTCTCTCCAACAAAAGATTACTTCAAGTCCAGAACCCACTCCCAGCTAGAGACTGACTACAAGAGTGACTGCAGTACATTTATAACCTGGTAGGACCCACGACGGTGCCAGCCCCTTCACCAGATGGAAAAATAATTCAAGATGAGCCATTGGAGCAGATCACACAGCCTAGCACCTCCTAGGCACAGCCCCTCCCAACCTCTTCTGCATTTCAAACCCTCCCTTTAAAAAACCCCCTGTGTTCCTCCATAAATTGAGGAGTGGAATTTTTTTCACCTGCTCTTCCTCTTGCTGACACAAATAATAACATCTTGCTCTCTTTTTATCACACCTTATTATGATTTTGGCTTCTTTCTACAAGCAGTGTGCAGCTGGAACCTTTTGCCGGTTACAGGTTGATGAACTATGGCCCATGAGCAAACCCATTTTTATAAATAAAATTTTCTCAGAATACAGCCACGCCCATTTGTGCACATTTTGCTTATATCAGCTTTGGCAATACAACAGTGCTGAGTAGTTGTGACAGAGACTATATAGCTTGGAAGCATAAAATATTTACAGTGTGTTCCTTTAGGAAAAAAATGTGTCAACTTTTGCCCTAGTTGTAGGTCAAGAAGCTATGAGAGATGTTCAGTGTGTGTCTGAGAGCATCCAAAGATGCTTCAAGTGAGAACATTACAGGGTCTGCAACACAGGAGGCTAATCTTAGATGGCAAGGATAAACTACTTCTACCAGAAGGGAGGACTTTGGAAGTTCAAGTCTCTAAGTTTCGTTGGAATCCACACAAATGCCAACATCTCAACATTCAGATTCTTCTCTTTTTTCAATGTATGCCCTAATTTTTACATAAGAGACTTGACAAGGATGTGAACACAGTGTATGTTCTAATTATGTAATCCTCAGCATCTCATTTTAAATCTGTTCGTTTGGGACATGTCAACCCCTCAGAGTACAAGAGATAAGAGACTTACTCCTGGAACTCTGAAGGGAACCAGAAGTTCTCTGGTTCTCTAAAAGTACTTTGAACCAAGATTTTAAACCCATGAGCTTGTCTTGTTTCTTCTACGAGGTCTCCAGCATAGTCTGAAGCAGGTAGCCCACGCTTACAGTTAGTGTCATCCTCTTTTCCACCTTAAAGTGCTTCTGCGTCAACTACAGGTAAGAATTGTTAAGTAATTGTTTTTCACTGAATGCCATGGATTACTAGTATTCTGTTACCCACTAGTGTTGAAGTCATCACTGATTGCCTATGTAACCAGGCAGTACAACTAATTATAGTTTCCTTTAGGATCTCTTTACTGAAACCAATACTGATATCAAAGTCTCTATTAGTTAGGGTTCAGACAGGAAATCAGAAACTACTGTAGATATTTGGTCAGAAGAGATTTTATATATGTATTTAGATGCTTTTAAAACATCTGGAAGACCTGGAGGGAGGGGAAATCAGGAGGACTGCTGTGAGTTTCTAGAATATAAAGGATGTCGAAATCACAGTAAGCTTCCGTAGATATCAGCCATCTATGGTATGGAAGTAGGCAATTTCAGAAGCTTGTCTGGGAGCTGCTGCAAACTTCCTATCTGCCTTCTGTCCACAAGTCTACCTGCCACTAATAGTGAATAATGACTTCCACATCTCTTCTATTCCTCAAATATCATACAAGTGATATTTCTTAAATATCATTTAAGTGCCTTTCATCGGCAGATTCTAAACTAAACCTCTCCCCTCCCCTACCCCAAGAAGGGATTCTTTGCAACGTAATGCATATGCTTCTAAATTTTGGAGGAAAAATAATGACTCCTCCATAAATAAAGGGAAATCTCAGAGGCTTTGACTTGTTGAAGAACCTGCCCAGTAGTGGAGACACTGAAATATTCGGGTGGCCACTTGTCTACCACTATAGGTGACTGTTTATCAGTCCAGGGGCCTGGAAACTCCCAGTTCCGTTGACCAAGAGGGGCTTGAGCAAGGCAGTTGTAAGACAACACAAAGGAAGGGGCTAGCAACTGGCTATCAGAAAAATAATACTTGTAACTTTAGGGCAGAAGAAGGCAAGATCAATATTCCCCTAAGGGGAGGGCTAGAACCCACAACCCTAGGGGGAATGTCAACACCAAATATCCCAGAGTGTCTGAGGAGTAGAAAAAATACCAATGCTGAAAACTCAGAGTGCTCAAGTTTCAGCCAATGAGGATCCTCTCACCAAATGCTAGAAAGTCTGGGGCACTCAGGGGGCAGGTAACATTGAAACCAAGACCAAGTAGGGGACCTCTCACAAGCAAGAATCCTACCTTAAACAATTGCCCACATAAAATTAACAGAAAGTTAAAAGCAAACATAAGACTGCACTTATTTGAGGACTAAAAATGAAATGACTGATGTAACAATAAAATGGAGTGAGAAGATAGAGGACTAGGGGAAGAGGTGACAAGGACATGCTTTGGGGCACTCAAACAATGAGAGATTTCTAACTATCACCTAGGCAAAGGCTTTTATTTTATTCCCTAGTTCTCCGGATACCACAGGGGTGGAGGCAGAAGGAACACTCCCATCCACCAGAGCAGAAATGGCACCAACTGATCTTCCACATGGGACCCAGGGGAAGATCCCTCAGCATGGGTGGGCTCAGCTGCTGAGGTCAAAGGGGCCTGCATGGGGGCTGCTAACTCACCAGTCTGCCAGCGGAGCAGCAGCTATCACAAGAGGCAGGGGCACTATGGCCACCCCACCAGTGGGCTCAGCTTCCGCAGTGGGAGGAGCCTGCATGGGGCTGGTAATTCACTCTTCTGCCAGCTGGAGCAGTAGGTCCCACACAAACCGTAGCACTATGGCCACTTGCCCATCCGATCGGCTCCACTGCATGCCAGGAAAAATGATTGCTCTGAAAAGAGCCTTTGGCTAGCGTTAGAGGTTGGGTGTTACAGCTCTACTTGACTGCATCTCAGCTCATCATTCTGCCAACTACTGGTCCACAAACTGCCAGCCTGCTGACTGCCATCCCATCAATTACTGTCCTGCCAATCACTGTCCCGCCAATCACTGTCCCACTAATCGCCTGCTGCCACTGGCTGATCGCCGACTGCTGCCTCGTTGACTGCTGTTTGCTGACTGTCACCTTGCAGACTGCCACTTGCCAATTACTGACTGCCACTCAACGATCACTGACTGCCACCTTGCAGACTGCTGCTCACTGACTGTGGACTATCACGATGCTGTCTTCTTTCTTCACCCCATGTTGAGCACCAAGCTGATGCAGGGTAGGTGAACCCCCAAGTGGGGCTTAGTCTGTGAGGGTTCTTGGCTTTGCCCAGGAAAGAATTCAAGGGCAAGACGGAGGTAAAAGAAAACAGCTTTATTGAAGCAGCAGTGTTATAGCTCCATGACTGCTCCTGCAGAGCAGGGCTACCCCATAGGTAGAGAGTAGCAGCTCAGGGCAGTTTTGCAGTCATATTTATACCAGCTTTTAATAACATTCAGATTAAGGGGTAGTTTATGCAGAAATTTCTGGGGAAGAAGTAGTAACTATTGGGACATCAGGTCATAGCCGTGGAAAGGGGTGGTAACTCCTGGATGTTGTCATGGCAATGGTAAACTGACATGGCACACTGGTGGGAATGTCTGGTGGAAAGCTGCTTCTGCCCTGGCCCTGTTTTAGCTAGTCCTCAATTTGTTCTTATGTTTGAGCCCTGCCTCTGGAGTCAAGTCTTGCCTCCTACCTCACTGGCATTACCCCTCCCTGAAACCCATGCTGCATAGTTTACAGCTCCAAAAGAGATCCCTTCCTTCCACTTGAGGAGAGGAGACAGAAAAGTAGGGAGGACTTTATCTTGCAGCTTGGATACCAGCTCAGCCACAGCAGGAAAGGGCACCAGTCAGAGTCATGGTATCCAAGGCCTGGTATCCAAGATGCAAGACATTTCTAGACACATGCTGGGCCAGAAGGAACATTTTCTAGACATACTGTGGGCCAGAAGGGAACTCATTGCCTTGATGGGAAGAAGCTGGTCCTGGCAGGATTTGTCACCTACTAAATGAAGGGCCCTTGGGTCTTATGGGAACACAAGCAGTAGTCTGTCAAAACACCTTGTCGGCCTGAGACGAGAGTGGCCATAGGGTGAGGCTCCTCTGCCTTTGGAAAGGAGAGGGAAATATGGAAAGACTGTGTCTTATGGTTTGAGTACCAGCTCAGCTGCAGTATAATAGAATGCCAGGTAGAATTCTAAGGTTTTTTACTGTAGTCTCTGGCTTCTGGGTGGCATATTTGGACCTCCCCAGGGCCTGGGAGAACTTTCCACCCTAAAGGGAAGGATATAGACCTGGCTGGCTTTGCCACCTACTGATTGTAGAGCCCCAGGGCTGTGAGCGAATATAGACGTTAGCCAGAAAGAGGTTATAGCAGGCCTCAGATAAGACCCAGTGCTGTGCTGGCTTCAGGGCTCACCTAGAGCATTCCTAGAGGTGGTGGCCATAGGGGTGCTTGTGTCACTCTACTTCCCACTATACATGACTCAAAACAAAGAGAGAAGGAGACTTTGTTTGTTTGAGAGAAGGTAAGGGAAAAGAACAAAAATCCAGATAATTCTTCCAGATCTTGTCCAAGACCTTCAAGGCAGTACCTCTATGAGTCTGCAAGAACCACAGTGCTACTAGGCTTGGAGTCCCCGCTAAAGCAGATGCAGCTTAAGTCACAACACTCAAATCCTTTTAAATATTTGGAAAGCCTTCCCGAGGAGGATGGGTACAAACAAGCCCAGACTGTAAAGGCTACAATAAATACCTAACTCTTCAATGCCCAGACACAGACAATCATCTGCAAGCATCAGGATAATCCAGAAAAACATGATATCAAATGAACTAAATAAGGCAACAGGGACCAATCCTATGAACTTTCAGACAGAAAATTCAAAATAGCTGTTTTGGGGAAACTCAAAGGAATTCAAGCTAACACAGAGAAGGAATTCACAATTCTATCAGATATTTAACAAAGAGATTGAAATAATTAAAGAATCAAGCAGGAATTCTGGAGTTGAATATTGCAATTGGCTATTGAAGAATGCATCCATCTTTTAATAGCAGAATTGATCAAATGGAAGAAAGAATTAGTAAGCTTGAAGACAGGCTATTTGAAAATAGACAGAGGGGACAAAAGAGAAAATAAAAAACAATGAAGCATCCCTATAGGATCTATAAAATAGCCTTAAAATGGCAAATCTAAGAGTTACTGGACCTAAAGTGGAGGTAAAGAAAGAGATGGGGTAGAAAGTTTACTCAAAAGGATAATAACAGAGAATGTTTCAAACCTAGAGAAACATATAATATTCCAGTACAGGAAGGCTATAGAACACCAGGCAAATTTAACTCAAAGAAACCTAGCACAAGACATTTAATAATCAAACCCCCAAAGGTCGAGGACAAAGAAAGAATCCTAAAAGCAGCAAGAGAAAAGAAACAAAAACATACAACGGAACTCCAATACATCTGACAGGAGACTTCAGTGGAAGCCTTACAGGCCAGGAGAGAGTGGCATGACACATTTAATGAAGGAAAAAACTTTTAACCTAGAATAGTATATCCAGCAAAATTATCCCTCAAACATGAAGGAGAAATACTTTCACAGACAAAGAAAGTCTCAGGTATTTCATCAACACAAAAACGAAAAGTAAAGACAAAATTTAAAAAGTGGGGGACAAGCCAGGTGTCGTGGCTCACACCTGTAATCCCAGCACTTTGGGAGGCCGAGGTGGGCAGATCATGAAGTCAGGAGTTTGAGACCAGCCTGACCAATATGGTGAAACCCTGTCTCTACTAAACATACAAAAGTTAGCCTGGCATGGTGGCAGATGCCTGTAATCCCAGCTACCCAGGAGGCTGAGACAGGAGAATCACTTGAAACCAGAAGGCAAAGGTTGCAGTGAGCCAAGATCAGGCCACTGCACTCCAGCGTGGGCAAAAGAGCAAAACTCCATCTTAAAAAAAGAAAAGAGAAAAAAGTGAGGGAACAAAATTAAGGTGTAGAGTCTTTTTTAGTTTTATTTTGCTTGTTTGTTTTTGTTTGTTTATGCAAATGGTGTTGTTATTAGCTTAAAATAATGGGTTATAAAATAGTATTGGCAAACCTCATGTAACTTCAAACCAAAAAACATACAACAGATACACAAAAAATAAAAAGCAAAAAACTAAATCATATCACCAGAGAAAATCTCCTTCACTAAAAAAAAGACTGGAAGGAAAGACCAGAAAACATAATAAAATAGCAACAGTTATTACTTACCAACAGTAACATTGAATGTAAATGGACTAAACTCTCCAATCAAAAGACAGAGTGGCTGAATGGCTAAAAGCTAAGACCCACTGGTCTGTTGCCTACAAGAAACACACTTCACCTATAAAGACACATGCAGGCTGAAAATAAAGGGATGGAAAATAATATTCCATACCAATGAGAATGAAAAAAGAGCAGGAGTCAATATCCTTATTTCAAACAAAAGAGATTTCAAGAGAAAAACTATAAGAAACAAGGTCACTATATAATGATAAAGGGGTCAATTCATCAAGAGGATATAACAGTTTTAAGTATTAAGTATAAATGCACCCAACAGTGGGGCATCCAATATATAAAGCAAATATTATTAGAGCTCAAGAGAGAGATACACTCTAATACAATAATAGCTAGAGACTTCAACACCTCACTTTCACCATTGAACAGATCTTCCAGACAGAAAATAAACAAAAAAACATTGAACTTAACCTGTATTATAGGCCAAATAGATCTAATAGATATTTGCAGAGCATTTCATCCATAGCCAAAGAATTCACATTCTTTTCCTCAGCACATGGATCATTTTCATGGATAGACAATATGTTAGGTCAAGAAACAAGTCTTAAAAGATTCAAATAATTGAAATAAAATCAAGCATTTTCTCTGACCATCATGGAATACAACTAGAAATCAATAACAAGAGGAATTTTGGAAACTATACAAATACATGGAAATTAAACAGTATGCTCCTGAATGACCAGTGAGTCAATGAGGAAACTAAGAAGAAAATTGAACAATGTCTTGAAACAAATGATAATTGAAACACAACATACCCAAACCTATAGAATACAGCAAAAGCAATACTAAGAGGGAAGTTTGAACTTCTAAGTGCCTGTATCCAAAAAGAAGAAAAACAACAAATCAACAATCTAATGATGCATCTTAAAGAACTGGAAAAGCAAGAGCAAACCAAACCCAAAAATGGTAGAAGAAAAGAAATAATAAAGATCAGAGCAGAAATAAATGAAATTGAAACGAATCAAACAATCCAAAAAAGCAATGAAATAAAAATTTGTTTTTTTGAAAAGTTAAAATAGACATTTAGCCAGACTAAGAAAAAAGAAGATCCAATTAAATAAAGTCAGAGATGAAAAAGAAGACATTACAACTGATACCACAGAAATTCAAAGCATCATTAGTGGCTAATATGAGTAACTGTGTGGCAATAAATTGGAAAATCTGGAAGAAATAGACAAGTTCCTAGACACAAACAACCTACCAAGATTGAACCATGAAGAAATTCAAAACCTGAACAGACCAACAACAAGTAACAAGATTGAAGCCATAATACAAAGTCTTCCAGTAAAGGGAAGCCCAGGACCCAATGGCTTCACTACTAGATTCTACCAAACATTTAAAGAAGAACTAACACTAGTCCTCCTGAAACTATTCTGAAAAATAGAAGAGGAGAGAGTACTTCCAAACTCATTCTGGAAATCCTAGCTAGAGCAATTAGACAAGAGAAAGAAATAAAGGGAATCCACACTGGAAAGGAAGAAGTCAAATTATTTGCAGATGACATGATCTTATATTTGGAAAAACCTAAAGACTCCACCAAAAAACTGTTAGAATGAGACACAAATTCAGTAGAGTTGCAGGATACAAAATCAACACATAAAAATCAGTAACATTTCTATATGCCAACAGTGAACAAACTGAAAAAGAAATAAAAAATTAGTTCCATTTACAATAGCCACAAATAAAATTAAATACATAGGAATTAACCAAAGAAACAAAAGATCTCTGTAATGAATACTATACAATACTGATGAAAAAACTTGAAGAGGCCACCAAAAAATGGAAAGATATTTCATGTTCATGGATTGGAAGAATCACTATTATTAAAATGTCTATACTACTCAAATCAATCTACAGATTCAATGCAATTGTTATCAAAATGTCGATGACATTCCTCATAGAAAAAAACCCTAAAATGTATATGGAACCACAAAAGACCCAGAATAGCTAAAGCTATCCTAAGTAAAATGAACAAAACTGGAGGAATCACATTACCTGACTTCAAATTATACTACACAGCTACAGTAAGCAACACAGCATGGTACTGGCATAAAAACAGACACATAGACCAATGGAACAGAATACAGAACCCAGAAACAATTCCACACACCTAGTGAACTCATTTTCGACAAAGGTGCCAAGAACACACACTGGAGAAAAGACGGTCTCTTCAATAAATGATACTGGGAAAACTGGATATCCATATGCAGAAGAATGAAATTAGACCCCTATCACTCACCATATAAAAATCAAATCAAAATGGATTAAAGAATTACATCTAAGACCTCAAACTCTGAAACTACTATAAGAAAACATTGGTGAAACTCTCTAGGACATTGGTCTGGGCAAAGATTTCTTCAGTAATACCCCACAAGCACAGGCAACCAAAAGAAAAATGGACAAACGGGATCTTATCAAGTTAAGAAGCTTCTGTACAGTAAAGGAAACAATCAACAAAGTGAAGAGACAACCCACAAAATGGGAGAAAATAATATGTCTATAAGCGTTTTGTATCAAGAGTACATAAAAATTATTACAACTTAACAAGAAAGGAAAAAACAACCCAATTTTGAAAATAGGCAAATTATTTAAACCAAGATTTCTTTGAAGAAGATATATAAATGGACGATAAGCACATGAAAAACTGTTTAACTTAACAAGTCATAAGAGAAATGCTAAACAAAAGCTCAGTGAGATACCACTTCATACCCACTAAGTGGGCTATAATCAAAAAGTCAAGTAATAACAAGTGTTGACAAGGATATGGATAAACTGGAACTCTCAAATATTGCTGATGGGAATGTAAAATGATGTCTTTGCTTTGGGAAATAGTTTGGCAGTTCCTTAAAATGATAAGCACAGAATTACTACGTTACCCAATAATTCTACTCCTAGAATATATCCAAGAGAACTGAAAATATGTCTCCACACATAAATTTGTTTATGAATATTCACAGCAATATTATTTATAATAGCCAAAAAGCAGAAGCAACCCCAAGTCTATCAGTCGATGACCGTATAAACATAGATAAATTCATCCATATAACAGAATATTATTTGGTCATTAAAAAGAATGAAGTATGGATCCATACTACAATACGGATGAATTCTGAAAACGTTATGAATCTAGGCCCAAAAGGCCACATATTACATGATTCTAATTATGTGAAATGTCCAGAATAGGAAAATCTACAGAAACAGAATATAGATAGTGTTTGCCAGGGGCTGGAGGCAGGGAGGTGGGGGGGGGGCGGGTTTAGAGATTGTTTGCTAATGGATATGGGGGATTCTTTTTGAGGTGATGAAATGTTCTGAAATTAGATAATGATGATGGTTGTACAACTCTGAATAAACTGAAAACTGCTGAAGTGTACACTTTGAAAAGGTGAATTTTATGATAAGTTCTGTATACGTCAATGAAAGACATATGAAAAATTTAAACCATATAGTACATGTGATACATGTAATAACAGAAATATATCCAAAAAATAGAGGTATTACATGAGGTGAATAACTCTATAGGGAGGACAATCTCAGATAAAATGAGGAGAGGAGGTCACACCTGAGCCAGATTTTGAATAATAAATTATCAGGCACAAGAAGAGAGTGTTTCAGGTATGGAACTATACGTACAAAAAAACTTACATAATGTGGAATTGTTGAGATATAATATATATGACAAAGAATTACAGGAGATGGGCTAGACAGATGGGTACAGTTAGGGAAACTGGTCTTCATTTTGTAAACAATGAGAAGCTATTAAAGACTTTTAAGAAAAGGAGAGAAGAAAAAAATGCATATTAGAAAGGTAATTTTAGAAGCAACGTGGAGGACAATTTTTAGGATGGCAAAAGTGCAAGTAGACAGACAAATTAAGACACTATTTAAATAATCTAGGTGAAAGGTCATGAGTACCTAAAATGAGGTTTTTACAAGGATGAAGCAGCACAGTTAAGGTCTGGAGTTATTGCAGCATACATTTGACAAGATTGGATAACTCGTTATTGTTTCTTTATATCTTCTATCTAAAGTCAAGAATGACTCCAGGTTTAGGTATGTTTACTTGAACTAACAATAAAATTTACCACTCAACTAAGGGACAATAACAGGAAGATCAGGTTTGTCAGGTAGGAGCATGAATTCAATTTTGGACATGTTCTTAAGGGCAGTAGCAGGTTAAAACATTTATTTGGTAATTGAATTTATAGACCCAAGGCTGAGAAAAGAAGACATCAGAACTAGATATGAAAATATAGGGAGTATAAACATATATGGAGTCATGGAGACTATGACAAACTAGACATTACAAATCCTATCTAAGGCATCAAATTAAAAAAACAACAATAAGACCTCTCTTTTCTGGGTACTGCATTTGGCCAATAGGCAACAGTTGGTGAATTCTGTTAGAGGTGATAGTTAAAAACAAAAAAGTAGATGAAATATTCCTGAAGAGCACCTAGAGTAAAAACTAAAAGATATTTTTAAATAGAAATTTAGGAGGTATGGAAATTTAAGGGTTGAGCTGAGGAAAAGGAAAAAGATCCAGTGAAGGAGACTTAGAAGGTGAAATTGGAGGTTGGAAGCCCAGGAGAGTATGGTTTTACAGAGAGCAAGGCTGAAGAGTGTTTAAAAAGTGATGCTGTAATCAACAATGCCAAGTGTGGGCAGAAGTCAATTAAGATAAAGTCTGAAAAGTCATCATTAGCTTTGACTATGGCTATAGAAGCATGATTAATGGCTACAGAGGAAGGGGAGTGGAACTGCAGAAGTGAGATTAGAGTGTAATGAGGAATGCCTGAATGGCAAGGAAGAAGAATTAGGGTTAGTGAAGATAACTCATTAGAGGAGAGAGAGAGAGAGGCAGAGAGAGGAAAGGAAGGAGTGATATCTGGACTAAGTATATGTAAGCTTGTGCATACAAGAAAGAAAATTAGGTAAAGAAAAAACTTAAAAGATGTTTAGAGCTGTCTGTCTGCCACTTTCAGTAATATGGCAAAGTATATCCATGCCTGAATAAAATATGAAAAAATGCTTTAAAGCATAACTACAGCATAAAGTAGAGGACATAATTGGAAGTCAGATTTTTTCCCCAATTTTTCATTGTGGTAAAATACACATAAATAAAAATGTACCATTTTAACCATTTTAAAATAGAATTCAGTGGCATTAAGCATATTTACAATATTGTACAACCATCACCTCTGCATTTCCAGAGCTGTTTCATCATCCTAAACATAAACTCTGAACTCATTAAACAATAACCTCCATTCCGCGCCTGCTCCTAGCCTCTAGTAACCTCTATTTTACTTTCTGTCTCTATGAATTTGCCCTTTTAGATACCTTATATAGGTGGGATCATACAATAATCTGTCCTTTGGTGTTTGGATTATTTCACTTAGCATAGTAATTTTAAGATTTATCCATGTTAAGTAGCATGTATCAGCATTTTGTTCCTTTTTAAGGCTGAATAATATTTCATTGTATATATACACCACATTTTCTTTATGTTTACCTGTTGATGGGCCTTTTGGATTGTTCCTACCTTTTGACTATTGTGAATAATGCTACTATGAACATTACTGTTCAAGTATGGGTTTGAGTTCTTGCTTTCAATTCTTTCAGGTATATATTAAGGCGTAGAATTGCTGGATCCTTTTGTAATTCTATATTTAGTTTTCTTCAGGAGCCAACAAACTGCAGAGTCTGCACCAGAGGAAATAATTTTTAAAAGCTATTCCCTCAAGAGAAAAGGAACTCTTGAGCTGGCATTTTCCCCTGAGCTGATGATTGCTATTTTAGAGCTTGGGTTTAGTCCATTAATATTTGACATAACTATTGATATTGTCAGATTGACATATACCATCTCAGAATTTGTTTTTATTTGTCCCTATTTGCAACTTTTCTGTTTCTCCTTTTCTACCTCCTTTTTAAAAATGTTAATAAAATATTTTAATAAATACAGCAGGGTTTAAGGTAATCATTGTTTGAACAAAGGAGAGTGGTTTGCTTTCTAATATACTAGTTTACATCCAACATCTTTAAAAAAAAAGTTTATTATCTTACCATGAATGATATGAAATACTAATTTGGCCAGTTTTTTTCCCATTCAACATATCTTTGTATTATCTTCCCCCTCCCATACATATTTTAAAATGGTATAAAATTTTTGATATATTGAGGAAAAGCAATTGATTATGTAAACAAAAATGTTCACTTTTTCAGAAAAAAAGCTTTCATTGAGTTACTCAGACAGTTAGCAATGTCACCTGCAAATACAGAAAGCTTCACCAGGAGGCTAAAAGCTCATTTGAATCACAAAAACAGCTTTAAAATGTAGCAAGGAAGAGGATCAGTGAGATGCTAGTTTTAATACATCACAAACTTGAGCTCAGCTCATCCTACTGAACTTCTGCATGTACAACCCACTCCAGATATCACCATTCTCTCAACACGATGCTACGTGATGATGAGTTAAATGAGTTAAGCAGCCTACTGAGGACCTTGGGCATATGGAGGAGTCAGTCCACCTGCAGCCCTCAAACCACTGTGGCCACATTGCCCTAACCCCTGCTCATCACTCACTGATATGCTTATCACCCTGCAGCCAGAGGAGGCTTTTCACCTTCTTTTAAATGAATTGAGTTGTGTGGGGTTTTTAAAAATAATTTTATTTTGCTTTCTCTAGCTATACCTGTAAGATTAGTTTTTAGTGTTGTTCTAAAGATTACAATCTACATCTTCAACTTATCATAGTCTGTCTTAAAACAGCTTTATACTACTTTGTGAACAATATAAGAATCTTACAACAGTATGGTTCTATTTACCCCCTGCCCCCACATATGTTGTGTTTTTGTTGTGTATTTTACTTCTACAGAAGTTATAAACCCCACAATAGTATAACTTATATTATATAAACATATTATTTCTGCTATAAGTAGTTCATAGTCTTTTGAAGAAATTTAGATATAAGTATGTATGTTTTTATCTCTTAAACATAATGAAACTTTTTTTTTTATTTATTCACAAACCTTCCTTGTGTCCTTCCTTCAGTTCTGAGCTTCCATTTGGTATTATTTCTCTTCAGCCTGAGCAACCCTTTTAACATTTCTTATAGTGCAGATCTTTTGGAAATAAAATAGCTCCACTTTCATTCATCTGAAAATGTCTTTATTTTGTCTTTGCTTTTGAAGGATGTATTTTACTATATATAGAATTCTAGGTTGACATTCTTTCTTAAAGCATTTAAAAGTGGTCTTTCCATTGTCTTCTGGCTTATATTACTTCTGATGAGAAGTCAGCAATAATTCTTATTGTTTTTCTCTGTATATAATATGTAATGGTTGCTTTTAAGATTTTATCTTGGTTTTCAGCAGGCTGAGTCTGATGTTCTTAAGTGTGTTATCTAGGGGCATATGTGTGAACTTGCCTGAAGTTTGCTGACAGTTTTTTTAACTATTTTGGAAAATCTAAATTATCTCTCCAATAATTTCTTTTGCCCCATTTTCTCTTCTTTCCTCTGCTACTCTAATTACATACATGAGTCCTATAGACCTCAGATATTTTGTTGTATTTTCTGCTTTCTACTTGTGTGTTTCAGTTTTTATGACCTTTATCATCTTCAAGTTTACAGATATTTTCCTCCTGTGTGTCTAGGCTGCTATTGATACCATTGAATGAATTTTTTATTTATGATAGATATTTTTTATTTTTGGCACTTCTATTTGATCCATGTTTATAGTTGCCATATCTGCCGATATTCCTCATATGTTCGTGAATGTTTTCCAGCTTTTCCATCTTAATACATTTTCATGGTTATTTTTAATCCTTGCCTGATAATTACATCTGATCTACCTCAAGGTCTGCTTCTTTCCTGTCATAATCATGGGTTCAATTTTCTTGCATTTTTATGTGTCTCATCTTTGTTATTGTTGTTGTTTGTTTGTTTTGCTTTGAGACAAGGTCTTACCTTTCACCCAGGCTGGAGTGCAAGTGGCATGATCATGACTCATGGCAGCTGCAACCTCTCAAGCTTAAGTGATCCTCCTACTTGAGGATCAAGTGAGCCACCTGAGTGTCTGGGAACACAAGCTTGCACAACCATGCCAAACTCATTTTTTTTTTTTTTTTGTAGAGGCAGGTCTCATTATGTTGTCCAGGCTGGTCTCAAACTCCTGGGCTCAAGTGATTCACCTCAGGCTTCTTACAGTTTTGATTGTACATTGTGCTCAGACCTTTCCCAAATTAACATTGGCCCAGTGAAGCTGGGAGCAGTGCAGAAAGAGGAGAAAAATCTCTCTGAGGCACTCTGAGCTTTCATTGAATGCAAAGCAGCAATTGCCAAAGGTTGGAGGCACAGAAGGAGAGCTAAGAGAAGTCCCTTCAAGGCTCTATAAGCCATTTCCCAGAGCAAAGCAGTGATTCTCCAAAGACTGGAGGCAGGCTAGTAGGGCATAGAGAGATGGTATACAGACATACCTCATTTTATTGTGCTTTGTAGTACATAAAAGAACAAAAGAGACTGAAGTAAATGATATTTTCCCCAGAAAATTACTCAGCCCTTATCCTGTCAGAATTCTAACAATCCCTAGCTCTGTAAAAGCACCAAGTAAGTACAAGTAAGACATCAGAAATTTCCTTGCTAATTTATAGCACAGACAATTTTTCTGAACCATGAGAGATTTCTCTCTGCTTCACAGTCTGGATTCCAGTTTTTTAGTCACTGAGAATTTCTCTTTGTTCTTCAGTTCCATCTCATTCTTTATATGGCTGATATGAATTGGCTGTGTCCCCACCAAAGCTCATCTTGAATTGTAGTTCCTGTAATCCCCACGTGTCATGGGAGGGACCCAGTGCGAGGTAACTGAATCATGGGGTTGCTTACCTCCATGCTGTTCTTGTGATAGTGAGTGAGTTCTCATGAGATCTGACGGTTTCATAAGGGGCCTTTTCCCCTTTTGCTCAGCACTTCTCTCTCCTGCTGCCAAGTGAAGAAGGATGTGCTTGCTTCTCCTTCTGCCATGATTGCAAGTTTCCTGAGGCCTCCCCAGCCATGCATAACTGTGAGTCAGTTAAACCTCTTTCCTTTATAAATTACGTGGTCTTGGGGATGTCCTTATACCAGCATGAGAACAGACTAATACAATGGCCATACCTTGGACATATTGCAGGTTTGGTTACAGACCACCACAAAGTAACAAATACCACAATAAAGTGAGTGACACCAATTTTTTGGTTTCCCAGTACACATAAAAGATACATTTATACGATCCTGTAGTCTATTAAGCATGCAATAGCATTATGTTAAAAAGTACAATGTACATATCTTAATTAAAAAATACTGTTGCTAAAAAAAAAAAAAAAAAGCTAATGATCATCTGAGCCTTCAGAAAGTCATAATCTTGCTGATGGAGAGCCTCGCCTTGATATTAAGGGCCTTGCTCTGGATTTTGCTTTGGCTTAAAGGAATGTTGTAGCTGGTTTAATCTTCTATTCAGACCATTAAACCTTTCTCCATGTCAGCAATAAGGCTGATCTTTCTTATCATTTGTGTGTTAACTGGACTAGCACTTTTAATTTCCTTCAAGAACTATTTATTTGCATTTACAAGTTGGCAAACTGTTTGGCACCAGAGGCTTCCCTTTCAGCTATCTTGGCTTTCCACATGCCTTCCTCACTAAGCTTAATCATTCTAGCTTTATATTTAAAGTGAGAGATGTGAAACTCTTCCTTTCACTTAAACACTTAGAGGCCATTGTAAGATTATTAATTGGCCTAATTTGTATGTTGTTGTGTCTCAGGGAATAGAGAGGTCCATAGAGAGAAACAGAATGATGGCTGCTTGTTAGAGCAGTCAGAACACAAATTTATTGATTAAGTTCAGTGTCTCGTATAGGTAGAGTTCCTGGTGTCCCAAAACAATTCAATAGTAACATCAAAGATCACGGATTACAGATCACCATAACAGATACAGTAATAATAATAAAGTTAAAAATACTGTAGAAATACCAAAGTGTAACACAGAGATATGAAGTGAGTGAATGCTGTTGGAAAAATGGTGCTCAGTGTGGAGTTGCCACACATTTTCAATTTGTAAAAAAAAAAACAAAACAAAAATCCAAAAAAACCCCCACAATTGCAAAATTCAATAAAGCAAAGCACAATAAAATGAGGCTTGTCTGTACACCATCTGTATGCCCTACTGGCCTGCTTCCGGTCTTTGGAGGGTCACTGCTTTGCTCTCAGTAATGGGTTACAGTGCCTTGAAGGGATTTCTCTCAGCTCTCCTTCTCTGCCTCCAACCTTTGGCAATTGAAAGTTCAGAGTGCCTTAGAGAGATTTTTCTCCTCTTTCTGCACTGCTCCCAGCTTTGCCAGGCCAATATCTTAATTTGGGAAAGGGCTGAGCATTTTCTAAGCTCTTTTGCTCTCCTCTCAGCCTTCCATGTACTATCTATGTTCCCTTGGTGAAGGCCTGTGTGCAACGCTGGGGACATGATAGTACATGGCAGATAGGGGCCTGCTCCTTCTGTGGTTAGGGCTCCTTGGGATTCTAACTCATCATGCTAGTTCACATTGCAGTCAGTAAAAAGCCAGTAAATATGGCCAGTTTCTCCTTACCATCTATTATGATGTATTCCTTTCTCTTTTAGTTGTTCTGCTAGGATGAAAACAGCCATAGATCTCTACTCTGAAAAGAAGGGCTCTTTACTTTCGAGATTTTTAGGTTTAGATTTTAGTTTAGTTAGGTTTCTCTCCTCAGGTCTTTTGCGGGTTTTAAAAACTATGATACTCTGATTTTGTAGCTTCCTGGTTTATCGTTGTTGACAGGGTAGCAGCAACAGTCTCTTGTGATTCGAAATTGGAAAGCCTGGAACGTGAGTTTTGATAGCCTGTAATGGATAGGAGACAAAGTTTGGATCCTAAGAAGGATGGGGAGTTGAATCTAAGATTCTAGCCTAAGCCAGAACTTGAAAGGTTTGATGTGGAATCTAACCACTCCAAGGCAAACTTGTCTGTTTGGGCTTGGCTCTAGAATAAATAGGGGGGAAAATCTCTGAATTTTAAACCACAAACCCACATTCATGTTGGTTTGGTGACGTAATTCATGCTAACTGCAGGATCTGAATACAAGCATGCCAGTATTTCATTTCAAAGTAGCCTCAGGTATTACCCCAATTCCTAGCAGAAGCAAAGCAAATCCTCTCTGCGAAACATTGATTTCAGCTCTTTCTGTACTTAGAACAGCTATGATTCATCATCCTGAAGTATGCAGCAGCTCCAAAGCACTGGATGCTGAAAACTGACCGGTGTGTTTGCCCTTTGGACATCCACTGGCCCTATCAAGCTTCTCCCTCTCATCGCTTCCCTAAGAAACAAGCACAAGTGTGCTTCTTACAGAGGAGGAAGTAAAAAAAGATGTGCATGCAGTGGGTTATTAAAACGGATGGCAGGCTCCACAGTGATGTGAGCTACCCTGCCAGTTTTATGCCTGTCATCAACATTGACAAGGCCGGTGAGAATTTCCATCTGATTTGTGACCCGGAGGTCACTTTGATTTTCATCAAATTATGCCTGAGGAGGCCAAGTGTAAGTTCTGAGAAATAAGAAAGATCTCTGTGGGCATCACCTAGATTGACATTTTCCAGATTGATTTGGAGCTTGGTCAAATTAATTAGCCATTTCACCAAGTTCTGATAACCCGTGTATGTTGACTGAAAGTGCTAACCTGGAACAGATCGGCGTAATCACCAGCAGAAAGAGAGCACGAGACAAAGAGAGAGGCAACCTGACTTTTTTAATATGGTTCATGTGAAAGATGTCAATGGCAATAGCTTTGCCATCCAGCTTTCCAACATATTCATTATTGGAGAAGACAATAGACCGTGGATTCCTTGCCCCAAAGAAAAGATGCCTGCTTCCTCATTGCTGGAGACAGTGACAGTCTAGAAGCCAAAAAGGGCAGTGAGTGAAATGAGCTCTAGATGGGAGAAGTGAAGAACTTCTAGGGGCTAATTAAAGATATAAAATCATAGAAGTAAAAATGAAAACATTGCTTTCAGAGACTTTCTGCTGAAGGAACATGTATTTGTATTTTTTTAAAAAAATTATTAAAACACGTATGGAAACAAGCCCAAATCAACCCAATCCAGCAGAAAAAAAGAGTAAACTGGAGGAGCAGAACCCCAAGATTGACCCTGGAAGTATTAGATACAGATGATAAAACAGGAATGTTTAATCTACCTTAATCTCAGCTGCATGAGTTAACATGAAAATCTTAAAATCATAATATTCAATGAAAACAAGCAAGTCCAAAATCAGTAAAATGGAGAAATTAATTTTAGTCTATTTATAAAACACAATACCATCAAGCAGTTTTAAAAATGCGTGAATGAATCTCAGAAAAAGAATAATGAGTGGAAAAAAGCAAGTCAGAGAAAAATAAATACAATGTGAGTTATTTTACACAAGTTTCAAGACCTGAACAAATTACACATTATATTGTTTAGAGATATATCATATTATAAAACGATTTTTAATAGCCAATAATTTACAATTTATCCAGGTGGGAAAAAGAAGGGGAAAATCAGAGAGGAAGCATAGTTGGCTTCAAGGATTTATTTGGTTATATTTTATTTCTTAAGCCAGGAGGCGGTTATACAAGTGTTTCATTTTATTAACATTATTTAAATATATAAGTACATTTTACTCATTATTTTGTAAAAGTGATTTGGTTTATTATTATTTTAAGCCCTCAAATCTTTTTTTAAGGTGAGCAGTTTAAATCTTTGTCAGAAAGACTTCACAGTATAAAATTGTTTCGCTTTTTCGGAAGACAAAATATCAAGTAGGTCCATCTAGTGGTGAAGTAGAGAATCTCACATGCAGAAATACCCTAACTATGGGATTGCCCTAGGACGAAAGGCTTTTATTCAAAAACAGCCCATTCAAAAACCATTACACAAAGACGAAGGAAAAAAAAACAAAGCAAAACAAAACTTCATTAACCAAGTAAAGAATTCTTTGTTTTCAGAATCACAGTAAAATTCTTCACTCTGACTCTAGATTGTTGAAAGACAAAAGAACAGGCTGGGTGCAGTGACTCACGCCTGTAATCCCAGTACTTCGAGAGGCTGAGGTGGGTGGATCACTGGAGGTCAGGAGTTCAAGAACAGTCTGGCCAACATAGCAAAACCTCGTCTCTATTAAAATACAAAAATTAGCCGGGTGTGGTGGTGTCTGCCTGTAGTCCCAGCTACTTGGGAAGCTGAGGCAGGAGAATTGCTGGAACCTGGGAGGCGGAGGTTGCAGTGAGCCGAGATTGTGCGACCACACTCCCGCCTGGGCAACAGAGCAAGACCCTGTTTCAAAACAACAACAACAACAACAACAACCGTAGGCAATTTGTGAGGCCCCAGCCTTCTTTGTCCCCATCACTTTCACCTCTTGCTGGTGATTTTGTTTCCCTCACTCCAGGTGCTGTGGCACATTCCTTCAGGGCTCCTGTTCTTCATTGCATTTTCCCTTCCTGGGCAGTGAATCACTCCTTCTACAGCAGCCGTCATCTAAGCCCAAGTGCTGTCCTTACCTCCACTTCAAGTTCATGAGATATAATCATGCAGTTAGTTACTCAAGGTTGGATCACTCTATGGAGTATGAACGCAGTGTATTATCAAACGAAGATAAGCAAGTTTCTGAACAGTGTAGCTGTGTTCCCATTTGTATTTTTTTGAAAGGATGTATCTGGGGGCCAGGCGTGGTGGCTCACACCTGTAATCCCAGCATTTTGGGAGCCCGAGGCAGGTGGATCACTTGAGGTCAGGAAGTCGAGACCAGCCTAGGCAACATGGTGAAACCCCATCTCTACTAAAAAAAAAAAAAAAAAAAGCTGGGCATGGTGGTGAGCACCTGTAATCCCAGCTACTCAGGAGGCTGAGGTGGGAGAATCGCTGGAACCCAGCAGGCAGAGGTTGTCATGAGCTGAGATTGTGCCACTGCACTCCAGCCTGGGAGACAGAGCGACACGCCATCTCACAAAGAAAAAAAAAAAAGGCTGTATCTGTTTTCTTATATACAGAATATTTAGGGAAGAACACACAAGAAACTGATAATCTTAGGCCTTTAAGAAGGAAGATTCTGGGGAAATTTGAGTGAGAAAGAGACTTAAAAAACTATTGGTGCTGGTTGAATTTTGTTGCGATGTGCATATATTACTTCCTTACAGAAATTTTGAAGAGCGAAAGGAATGCGTATATTCCATATATGTAGACGATATCACACAAATGTTTAAATTTTCTGCAGCTCAAGAATAAAATTATGTTTGAGTGTTTATGCACTGTAGCTGTCATGTAAGGCAACCTTAGATTATTAGGGGAGTGGTCTTCCTCCAATTGAAAGAATCTCTCTATGTATGTCTTTGGACATATTTATTGCCTTTAATGCTTAGCTACAATTTTTACTTTAACATTATTTTATCTAATAACTGACTTTTTAAAAATTAGGTTAAAAATCAGTTTATACTTCCTATTTATATTTGAATATTGATATTTCATGAATTGTCTGAAATCTAACTGCAATTCAAGATGGCACGTAACCTTTCCAGAGATCTACCTTAGACACTAACTGTAAGAAATACTAAAATTCCTTTCATCTTAGCAAACTTCAAAATAAATGTACAGTCAAGCGTCAGTTTAGTAAAAACATGAGCGTTTTCTGAGGAAATCTTTTGTAGTGGATAGAGTAGTTGATTCCTCAACATTCACCCCCACTTTCCATCATGTTGCAGCAGTGAGCTTTGAGGAACTGACCTGAACTCAGTAGATGGGCCCTGGCCAGCAAGCCAATCAGTGATTGCTTCAAGGAACCAGCCCTACATTGTTTGGGTAGCATCGCAAACTGACCCCAAAAGACTGAAGATAGACTGTCTGATGGCTTAGGGAGAGGCAATTTCTCTCTGCTGAATGTAAAGAAGAAAGTGAGCAGGCCTTATTGTAATTGGCAGCTGTCCTATAACCTAGAGAGGAACTGTTACGGGATCTTTGAGGTGTCAATTTTCTTTCTGGAAGCCTCTGTAGCCGGTGGCAATCTTTGGGGTGTCAATTTTCTTCCTGAAAACCTCTGTGGCCAGTGGCACCTTTGCCCTGAGTTCTTGTCCTGCGTCCAGGAAGAATAAAGAATAAAGTATGCAGACAGGTGAAGGGTGAAGAAGATAAAGAGGAGCTTTATTTAGTGTTAGAACAGAAGAGACCCACAGTGGGCAGCTCCTCTCTGTAGTCAGGTCGGCTCCTAGGCAGGCCCTCTCCTCAAGTACTCAGCTCTCAGCAGAGAGAAAGCCCTGGAAAGCGTGGCTCATCTCTGCAGGCAGATCATTTGGAAGTCTCTGCAGGTCTCTGAAGCTCTCAGCAGGAGGGTAGCTCCTCTCTGCAGCGGGTCATCCCATCATCTCTCTGTCCTCTGCCCTCTGCCCTGCTCTGGCTGAGCTGCCGGCTTTTATGGATCTCAGAGGGGAGGAAACGCTAGCCGATTGTTCCATGAGCAGCCATGGGCAGGCCTGGAAGAGGCACCACAGGTCCCCACTCTGATCTGTGGAACTGGACGCCCTACCCCCAGCCTTCAGGCCCTCCCTGGCCTGAAGGTGGGGCCTTACGGGGGACCCAACCCCTTCCGCCCAGGAATCTGTCTGCCTCCCACTGCCATTCATGGTCCCAGGACTTGGCCCCAACCTTGCTCAGAGACTGGAGCAGGCCCAGAGCTGAGAGAGGCCAGGCAGCAGGAGCAGACACCCCGGAGCCTGGGGGACAGGTGTCTTCCCAGCCCCCTGAGGCTGCAGGCTGCAGAGATGCCCGAGTCCTGCACCTGGGAGGGCAGAGGCAGCTGCACCCAGGGAGCTCCCGCCCCCCGCCAACTTGGAAGGAGTGGGGCTCGTGCTTGTCCCCAGCTCCTGCCTGCTCCTTGGAGCGGGAGGCCCAGGTCTGCAGCCGTAGGTCAGGCAGCTACAGCTGCACCCGGGAGGGCAGATCCTGCCTGCTCCCGCCCTCCGACCCCCAAGAGCACAGGGAGGCTCAGTAGAGCAGGAGGCCTGGGCCTGCAACCATGGTTTGGGAGGATGCAGCGACACCCGAGGAGCTTCCGCCTCAACTCAGAAGGGGCGGGGCTCCCGCCAGCTCTATGGAGTGTACAGCCCCAGCCACACCTCCCCGCTGCAGCCGGCATGATGGCAGCAGCCGCTGCCATAAGAACTGGGTTTGAAAATGATATAAACCAGGTGGTTACAGAGCAAAGAGATGGAAAGAACCTAAGTTCTTGATCCAAGTGAGCCTCTGAACCAATCAATCAACATGGAGCCTATCTCTGGACTTTGTGTAAATGCAAGCTGGTCAGTTTTTTATTGTTTAAGTCAAATTGTTTTGTTTTGTTGGTTTGTTTGAGAGCACCCTAATGAAAACATATTTCACCAGAACAGTAAGAAAAATTCTCAATAAATAAATTCCACAGTATCTAGACTAGATCTGGAATACCCTTCTGTTGAGTTTCATGAATATTTTTGTTATAGAAGCATAAACATACTCCAGAGCATATATATTTGTAAAGGTGGTTGGATTTTACAATCTCTCACATTAGGGATGGTGGAAAATGACATGAATAGTATTATACATTAGTCTAGGCTAAGAGATTAGATTAGCATTAAGCAAAATAAGCACATAGCACATGCATAGGGCACCCAGGTAAGGGGCCCACCACAGAGTTTATCATGCTACACTTGATTTCAGTAGCAGTTTTCGTGGTTGTCGTTATCCGCTTTATTCTATTTCAATCTGTGTTGTTTAAAAAGCTTTTTCTTAGGCCGGGCACGGTGGCTCATGCCTGTAATCCCAGCACTTTGGGAGGCCAAGGTGGGTGGCTCAGTAGGTCAGGAGTTCCAGACCAGCCTGGCCAACATGGTGAAACCTGGTCTCTACTAAAAATACAAAAATTAGCCGGGCGTAGTGGCACCGACCTGTAATCCCAGCTACGCAGGAGGTTGAGGCAGGAGAATTGCTTGAACCGGGGAGACAGAGGTTGTAGTGACCCGAGATCATGCCATTGCACTCCAGCCTGGGTGACAGAGCAAGATTCTGTCTCAGAAAAAAAAAAAGCTTTTCTTTGGCATGGTGAATGACTAAAGTATGATGATGTCATCAGATATCACGTTTGTTTTTGTCTTTGGGCATGACAGTTTTGCTTCCTTTGAAGTAAATATAGCTGGCGTTATATGGCTAACATTTTGACTTACCCATTGATTTCCGTAAGTGACCCCCGAGCTCTTTATTTTAAGCAATGGAAGGGCATAAGGACACCCTTGGGGGGTTGTGTTTGAGTCATCAGTTGGCCTTACTGGGCGCTGCAGATACATTTTTGACTGTTAGAGGATTGTATGAAGGCAGGGAAGCAAAATATTTTTCACGATATCTTCATTGTTCTTCATCTCTTATTAGGACCTGACAGATAAAAATTATGGGAATGTTATAAGCTTGTTATAGTCTAGAATTTTCTCTACTTGTGAGAATGAATATAATAATCTTACACAATGCTTCCACAAAGGTCAGTGTTTAATTTAACTGAAGTTAGTGTTTGGACACTAGAAAAAACTATTTGTATATGCTGATAAAATTAAAAAGACCTAAAAATGTGAATAACCATCATAATACAATTAGAAACCTCTTGCAGACTTTTTCAAATTGTAATAAAGCCAGGTCTAGGTCAGGTTTTAGAAATTCATTATATCCTGATGCTTAATCTAGAAACTGACCCTGTAATTCTGAAGCTATATGTCAATGGGTTGGCTTTTTAAATCTATGTATGTATCATCTATCTATCTTCTCTATTGATTGTAGATCTTAAACTCAAAATTCAGCCTTTTTCATGGTTTTAGGTACATTGAGTTTTCTATTTTCCCTTGAGTCAATTTTAGTAAATCACATTTGTATTTTCAGGAAATTGCCTAAGTTTTCAAATTTGATGGCAGAAGGTTGTACAAACCTTTCTTTTATTTTTTATTTATTTTTTTGAGACAGGGTCCGGTTCTGCTGCCCAGGCTGGAGCACAGTAGCACAATCTCAGCTCACAACAACCTCCACCTCCCAGGTTCAAACGATCCTCTCACCTCAGCCTCTGGAGTAGCTGGGACCACAGGGGTACACCACCACGCCCGACTAATTTGTGTATTTTTTGTAGAGATGGGTTTCACCATGTTGGCCAGGTTGGTCTGGAACTCTTGATCTCAAGTGATCTGCCCACCTCAGCCTCCCAAAGTGCTGGGATTATAGGGGTGTGCCATCATGCCGGGCCTTTTCTTATATTTTAAAAATTTCTGCTTAAGTTTGACACTTAGCGTGTATCAATAACCATTATAATTATTACCATGCATTTTTCCTTTGCTATTATATTTTTACTTTTCCCACTAAGTACAATTTTAAATACATTTCACAAATTTGATAAGTACTTTTCAACATCATGATTTCTCTTATGATGATAGTTTCTTTGCCCCATGAATTATTTAAAGAGTGAAGGCAGCTGTAGTATCACAACTTCACAATTAAGAGCACAGGTTTAATAACAGGTTGCCTGGGCTCAATCCCGTCTTTGACACTTACTGGCAGTGTAACTTTGTACAGATTACTTAAACTCTCTGTTTCTCAGTTTCTTCATTTGTAAAGTAAGAATTATAATTGTACCCATGTCATTGGGTTGTTGTGAAGATTAAGCAATTAATAAACATAAAACCCTTAATAAATATAAACATAATACCTAGTACATAATAAGCATTCAGTAAAGCTTAGCTATTGTTGTGCTTTTACATTTGCAAACATAAGAAGTTTTGTATGATTTTTAGCTTTTTAAACATTATTGGCTTTTGATATAATTGCCTTGTGGTCAGAGAATGTGCTTTGTGTGATACAGGTTCTTTAAAATTTTTGGATAATTGCTTTTGCCTGGGTGAATGGTCAACTTACATAATGTTCCACATGTACTTAAAAATAATGTACACAGATTTTCACTTAGTAAACAACCTCAAGTAAATGATAGTGTTCAAATTTTCTCTTCCTTTCTGATTTTTTGTTGGTTAAATTTTCTAATTACTGAGAGAGGTATATTAAAATCTCAGATATGATAATAGACTTGTAATTTTTCTCAAATTCTGTCCATTTTTGCTTTCTATATTTTGAGGTTATGCTGTCAAGTGCATTCAAGTACAGAATATTTGTATCTTTTTGGCGAAATGAAAAGTTTATCATAATGTAGTAATAACTTTATCTCTAATCAAATGCTTGTCCTTTAAAGCCAATCTGTGGAATCGATTATAACTTTAACACCTTTGTTTTGGTTAGCATTTGCCTAGTATAGTTTTTCCCTGATTTTTATTTTAATCTCTGCCTGTTCTTATGTTTCAGGTTATCTCTTAAAAGTGGCATCAAGTTGGACTTAAAAAAATGTAATCAAACTTTGTCTTTTAATTAGTAAGTTTCATTCATCCATATGTATTATGACTAAAGATTTCTGACTGATATACACAATATATTTTGCTTTCTATTGATTCCTTTTCTATACATCTTTGTTTTTCTTTTTTCTTTTGGAATTACTTTGATTTTACTCATTTGTTTTTCCCATTATTCATTTGAAAGTTATATACTCCATTTCTACTATTTTAGTGGTTTCCATACATTTTTAGAATCCATATTCAATATAACAATGTTTAAAGCTAATCAATATCTCTACATTCCCCAAAAATACCAGCAGCCTACAGTGCTTTAAGTTAGATTCCCCTCCCCTACTGTGTTACTTGTCATTTAGTCCAGAAGTTTAGTCTTTTCTCTTTCTAATTCTCATATTCAGCGTTACCATTATTTTAAGCAAGGAACTTTTTCTATTCATCTACATGTTTACTATTTTCTTTGCTTACCATTATTTCTTGCACCTCAGACCTTTATTTTGGAAAAAGTTGTCCTTTTGCTTAAAATATAAACTTTGGAAGTTCATTCTATAAAGCTCTGTTGGTGGTAAATTCTCTGGTTTTGTTTGTCTAAAATTGTCTTACTGATGGCAGCAGCTGCTAGTCATCATGCTGGCTGCAGCAGGGAGATGTGGCTGGAGCCCTGCCCCTTCTGAGTTAAAGTAGGAGCTCCTCAGGGGCCGCTGCAGCCACCCAAAGAGGGGCTGCAGACCCTGGCCTCTGGTTCCATGGAGCAGGCAGAAGCCCCACCCTCCTGGACAGAGCTGCAGCTGCCCAAACTGCAGCTGTCTATCTGAGCCTCCCTGTGCTCTTGGAGGGGCTGGGAGCAGGCAGGATCTCTGCCCTCCTGGGTGCAGCTGCAGCTGCCCGACCCCCGGCTGCAGGCCTGGGCCTCCTGCTCCGCAAAGCGAGCAGGCGAGAGTCTGGAGCAAGTGGGAGCCCCACCTCTTCTGAGTTGGCGGGGCAGGAGCTCCCCAGTGCAGCTTCACGGGGGTCCTCCCAGGTGCAGGACTCAGGCATCTCCAGCTTGCACCCTCGGGGGCACAGGAAGGTGCCCCCCACCCAACCCCTGCAGGCTCAAGTGTGCCTGCTCACCCTGCCTGGCCTCTCTCCACTCCCTGCCCTGCTCCAATCTGGAAGCAGGGTTAAGGCTGAGCCCCAGGGCCATGAGTGGCAGTGGCAGGCAGACAGATTCTTGGGGGGAAGGGGGCGGGTCTTCAGTAAGGCCCCACCTTCAGGCCAGGGCTGCCAGTCTTGCACGGACTGGAGTGGGGACTTGTGGTGCCTTTTCCAGGCCCCTATGGACCAATCTATAGGCACTTCCTCCCGGCTGAAGTACATAAAAGCCCTGGGCCCTGCCAGAGCAGGGGAGAGGACAGCCAGAGCAGAGGGCAGAGGACAGAGAAACAACCAGACCACCAGCTGCAGAGAGGAGCTATCCTCTCCTCTCTGCGAGAGCTTCAGAGACCTGCAGAGAGGTGTGAACTACCTGCCTGCAGAGAAGATTCTCTCTCTCCAGGGCCTCCTATTTCTCCTCTCCACAGCCTGCCCCCCACTCTCCTCTCTCCCCTTTCCAGGGCCTTCTCTCTGCTAAGAGTAGCCGACCACAGGGGGACCAGTGGTCAGAGCGGAGTTACCCTCTCCAGGGCTTCCTCTCCGCTGTAGAGCTGAACACTGAACCACTGGACCCGACAACCTGCCTACAGAGAGGAGCTACCCACTGCGGGTCTCTTCTGAGCTGTTCTAACAGAAATAAAGCTCCTGTTGATGTTCTTCACCCCTCACTTGCCTGCATATCTCGTTCTTCCTGGATGCAGAACAAGAACTGTAAAGGCGCCACTGGCCACAAGTTTCTGGGAAGAAATTCAAAACCCAAAGATCCTGTAATATTATTCACCCCTCATTACTGAAATACATTTTTCCTTGGGGCATAACAACATTTACTTTTGGCTCAGCATTTTAATTGTTTTCCACTGTTTTCTGGCTTCTGTTTTTGCGGGTAAGAGCCTGTTGGCAGTCAATTACTATTCCTCTGTAGATAATCTGTCTTTGCTCTGTCTGCTCTTAAGATAATCTCATTATCTTTATTATGCAGTTTCATTACTATTGTGTATCTTTTTACTCATGATTTCTTTTCCTGTTTCTGAGGATTTGTGCCTTCCATCAATTTTGCAAAATTCTCAACCATCATGTATTTATTTCTTCTACCTTGTTCTCATCCTGTCCTGCATGTCTATCTATCACGCTCTTTCTGTTGGGGTGATCAGACCCAACACCAGGTCATGGGGGTGACAAAGTCCGGTGGAGTCATAGGATTGAGAAAAGCTAGTTTGAGAGAGAGAAGTGGGAGTAGGGAGCCATCATGATCATGGGGGCTGCGAAGGCCCTGAGCTCTGGGAGCCCACGCTATTTATTTGTAATCCAACAAAGAAACAGGTGGTGAGAATGTGGAGGTCAAAACGGCAGGTGCATGATCTACAGCTGTGACGGTTTAGCATTTATATGGAACATGTTCTGCTACTTGAGATAATGGGAATACAATGGATCTAGGAGCCTGGGAGGGCTAGAAGCAAGGAGCCAGCAAGTCTAGACACATTCCAGAGGACATTATGTCAGTCACGCAAGCCCCATCTCAGCATTCTTCCCAACCCTCAGCATTTTTCCCAACATGCTCCCCTTCTCTTTTTTGTAAAAGAAGGTATCATTATTACTACCATTATTACTAGCCATCATTATTACTAGAGTCACTCTGGTTTGAATGCTTCCCACATATCTCCCCTTTCCCTTTTACAAGAGGATCCTTAATCCTAGGGGTTGCAAAATGATGAAGGTCCATCTTCTGTAACTTCTTTATACTGAATAGGGGCAATGATACTCCTGCCTAACCATTAGGGTCTCTTGTATTCAAGGTAGAGAGGAGCTGAGTCAGAAAGCATTGGTCCATTAAGCATCATGACTCTGGTCGGCCCTTGTTGCATCTTCTCATTCAGATTCAACTGGCTCGTGGCTCATACTGGGGGAACTCAGTGCATGGTTGGGATCCATGGGTCCCTCCAGTCTCCCATTCCATGGTCGTACACATCTTAAGGCATCCACATGGTTCATTCATCTCCCGAAAAAGCACAAGTATACCCTCACCCCCCACGTTAGTAAATCTACTGAAACAGAAGCAAAAACTTCTGTGGCTGTAGCCGGGACCATGCCGTTGCTGAAGCATTTGTTAACTCAGTTTCTGCCTCTGATTAATTACTGCGAGGTAAAACTTTCAACTGATAATGGGAAACAGGTCTTTTCTGATTAACAGAAGGCACAGAGAAAGCAAATCGAGGCTTTTCAAACCTTCAATTCGCATTATACAGGTGGGTCCACTAGATGTTGTGGCTCATGATAGATCTTCAGATGTTTGGTGGGCACCCACACAGGCTCCTGATTGTCACCTGGATAGACACAAGCAACTCCTCTTCCCCATATAATTATCTTTCCTTTTTGCCAGCTTTTTGTATGTGACCATATCTTTTTCTAAGGCCTGCAGCATTAAGATGAGTTAAAGAATGGAATGCTTGTGCATCAGCAAAGACTGCAGACACCAGTGCATCTGCCCTTTGATTATTTAAAGGACCAAAAGGTCCTGTTGGAGAGAAAAGAAAGAGCATTTTTATCCTTGCCTCCCTCCCCTCTATTCCCTTTATATTTGCCCTTTGAGCCATAGCTAATTTCATAATTCAGAATGTTCTTGTCTGTCCCTGCAAATCTCTGCTAGTCTTTGCTAGTCTCTACTTTTGTACCTCTTTAGGGCACTGATCAGTAACCTCTACTAGGGCACTGATCTTATATTGCTAGTCTTCATCTATCTCTCTACTTATCTCTATCTCTCTACTTATCTCTCTCTCTCTCTACTTATCTCTATCTGTCTCTATTTGTCTCTGTCTCTATTTGTCTCTACTTTCTTGTCTCCACTTACTTATCTCTACTTACTGACTTATCTCTGCATCTTTCTTGGAAACCTTTTTTATGACCCTGGGTAGAGCTGAAAAATCCACCCTTTATGCTTCAGCAAGAGACAAAACAGGGACCCCAGACCTGGCACCAGATTGAAGGGAACAGGAAGTGCTCTCCCCTCCCCAAAGCAGGGAAACCAGAGTTTGGCCCTTGCAGATTTCCACTCCACATCAGCATCATCCTCAATTCCCTGGAATGAATTGTTGATCATGGCAGTTAACATACTTAGCAAAACAATGACCATTGTAACATTATAGGCTCCATAAATAACATAACCAATGTTTTCAATGAATTTGTGGTTATAGTTGATGACCACTGATTTCACTTCAGAAAGTCCAAATATAGCCTAGAGCAGTGTCTTAAAACTCTGTTGTGAAGGCTTCACTTTGTTTTGCACCAATGTAGTAGTAGAGGTTGAACATTCCCATCATAAAGGCCACAAACACCACAATGAACACATTCAGCCCATATCATGCCTGTGTGCTTATTAAATCTGTTTTTCTCCAGCAGAGGCAGGTTAAACATGAAACTGAAGCTTCAAGATGACTTGACTTGCCCTACGCAAAGCAGCGCATGATTTATTTTTTCCGGAGACTACTGCCAACCAGGCCTGTGTGTCAGTCTGTAAGCATCCAACAGCAGGTCTACTGTACAAATAGGTCTTTTGTCAGACACTTGATTAACCCAAAATACAGCCTTTCCTGTTGGATTAGTACTACCAAAGCCTCCTGTTCTTCTCACTGTGCTGCTTCCCAGCTTTATGTCAACAACTGAGCAATTCTTTTTCCTGGGGAAGCAGACCACAGAGTTGAGGAACTAATAACTAATTGAATTTCTCTGGTATAATCAGAACCAATCATTTCCGTATGCACAGTGCCACCTCTAGATCTTTCAAGTAATAGACCGACGGTTCCTGAGGGCAAGGGTCCCCCAACTCCCGTGGGGACCCTCTCCAGTGGCTCCCAGGAAGCAGGGAAATGAGAACTGTGCTGCAAAGGTCCACGGCAGCACTGCCCGCCGCGGTGGGAGACAATTGTTGCCGTTTGTAAGGGCACTGGCTGTGCCGGATATGCCTCAGTTTATTGAGGTGCTCTCTAAATAAACAAGCCTCAGATTCCACTGGGTCTTAGTACTACCAATTGCTCCAGGTTTTAATGTTGCAACTACAGGAGCGGTAAGTTTTGTAGCTAATTCATTTTCTCGCCCACTAAGGGGAGAGAGAGGAGGTGGCCATTCACTTAATTCAGCAGGTGGAGCTGAGGGGCTAGTAAAACATACCTTTTTCGGTTTCCCTTTCTTTGATTTCCTCCGGTTTCTGTTCCTCACATTCAGAATCTGAAGTTAGTTTTTTACACTCGCCCTCCTCTTCCTCATCTGAATCTGCCTCATGATCTGTTTGAAATGGCTCAAGAGCTGCTTTTATTAGTGCCCACATTGACCAAACCGAGACTGGAATATTTGCTCCACCTTTATATGTTTTTTTAAAAATCTCTGCCAATTCTCTCCCATTCATCCAACTCCATAGTCCCTTGTTCCGGGAACCATGGGCAAAACTGCTTTACTGCACTGAAGAGTGATAAATTCTGAGCACTAACTTTCACTCCCCCCTCTTCATAATAAACGCCTTAAGAAATTTAAATAAGCAGAATGTCTGCTTTCACTTTGTCCCATTGCTACCCTGGTTCTTCCCAGCACTCAGCTTTCCTGCTGAGCTTCTTTTAGACATCCTCAGGTGTCCTCTGATGATGCGTCCTCTGCTTTCACACGCTCTAGCGTTCCTTCACCGGGGTCTTTGTCACCCCACATTGAGCAGCCAGGAACGTTGGGGTGATCAGACCCAACACCAGGTCATGGGGGTGACAAAGCCCGGCGGAGTCAAAGGATTGAGAAAAAGCCAGTTTGAGACAGAGAAGTGGGACCAGCGGGCCATCACGATCGTGAAGGCCCTGAGCCCTGGGAGCCCCCGCTATTTATTTGTAATCCAACAAAGAAACAGGTGGTGAGAATGTGGAGGTCAAAAGGGCAGGCACATGATCTACAGCTGTGACAGTTTAGCATTTATATGGAACATGTTCTGCTACTTGAGATAACGGAAATACAATGGATCTAGGAGCCTAGGAGGGCTAGAAGCAAGGAGCCAGCAAGTCTAGACACATTCCAGAGGACATTATGTCAGTCACGCAAGCCCCACCTCAGCTTTCTTCCCAACGCTCAGCTTTTTTCCTTAACACTTTCTCTTTTATTAGAGACAAGATCTCACTCACTCTGTTCCCCAGGCTGGAGGGTAGTGATATGATCATGGCTCATTGCAGTCTCAAACTCCTGGGCTCAAGTGATTCTCCCACCTTAGCCTCCTGGGTAGCTGGGACTACTGGTGAGAGCCACCTACATGTCTCTTAACCATGAATTATGTTCACAAAAATCCAAACTTCAGAGTCATTTTGTATAGACCTGTGGTTACAAATTCTCAAAGGCGACTTTCTTTTTCTACTAATAACCCAGCCCAAACCAGAAAAATTTACTTCTGGTTTCCTTTGCTCTGATGTGAGTTTTTTTAGTTGGTCCATTGTCATCATGGGTATTGCTCTCCAAGGATCCTCCCTTGCTCTGGCAAGTTCATCTTCTGTCTCCCAGTAGCCATTAAAATAACCACTTTTAGGTTACCAACATTGCTAAATGCATGGGAGGCAGTGAAGGTTTTATTGTCAGCTTTCTATTCTGATTTCCAGCTCCCTTTTAGTTTTGAATGATGAGAATTTCTTTGACCTTCTATGAGGTCATTTATACTTTTATCAATATGATTATCACATTTTATCTTGTATTTCCAGATGTTTGCACTGGAAGGAATGTTTTGGCTATCTAGTCCACCATGTTCCTGGATATGTATGTCCCCAAGGTGGTTTTCATTCCATCCCACAGTTGTTGGCATTTCCTAACAATATCTCCTCAAGGGCTCCATGAGAAACAGTTACATCTGCCGTGTATTCCTCACTAACAACCCCCTCCCCAATTTTCTTTTTAATTACTGTAGTCCTGCTTAACTCTCACTACACAAAAGAATCTTTATTCACCTCTCATCATCCTGCTACTTCAGACAACACTTTAAAGGCACTGGTCCCACAGTTCTAGCTCATAAGTAGAATAAATGGAAAAAGAAAAAATATGTGTGTGTGTGTGTGTGTGTGTGTGTGTGTGCAGTGTGTATCTATTTATATTCATTTCCTAACTACCAATACTTTGCATTTCCAAAATTGCACCTACTACCTCCATGCCCAGTTCTTGTATTTTACAAAAGCCTGTTTGTGGTGAGCCTTCCTGGCTCTGGAGATAGCTTTGTCCTTTCCCATGGCACTGTGACAAAAACTGCAGCTACCTCTGCAATTTTGAAGTCCTCAGGATATCCATCCCTACTCTAGGAAATAGAACTCTGATTTCTCTGTTTGTGATATTAGGCAACTCTTTTCTGGCATCCAAATCAATCAGTTTTCACAAGAATCTGATGATGTTTGTGATCACAGTCGGAGTCTGTGGAGCCCTACCTGTAGATTCCAGCTACCACTAAGATTTCAGATCAGCTGCCACTCCCCTGACTCAGTGAACTCACTGCAGCTTCAGCATGGATTGCAATCTCCGTTCCGAGCCAGGCCACCACATACAGTTTGCAGGTTGTGCATTGAACAGTTTTAAGAAACACCTGTCAATTGAGAAAAATGACAAGATAAGTCTCAATCATTTTAGGAGGTTTATTTGCCAAAGATATAAGCGTGTGCGCCCGGGAGACAGGACTATGCCTTTCTCTGAAGTTGATTTTAAGGGCTCCAAATTTAAAGGGGAAAGAGCGGAATATTGAGAAGTACACAATTTCCATGTAAGAGGAAGGTAGGGAAAAATAGTCATTCATGCCTTTGTCTGGCTCAGTGAATCTACATTTTTTTACATAAGATGACATAGACAAATGAGGCAGAGGAAAACTGCAGGGAATCTGCATTTTACATAAGATAATATAGACAAAATGGGGCAGGGGAACATCAGATATGCATATGTGTCTGGTGGGCTGGGGGTGACTCCACCTATAAATATAAGCTATCATTTTACATTGCCATGGTGAAATTTTAACAGAAATACATTAAAAGATCTTGCAGCTCACTAGGAATTTCCTTGAGGGCAAATGGGGGGAGGCAAGTAGCTTTACATCTTGTAGCCATCTTATTTAGGAACCAAAAGGGGGAGGCGGGTTTGTGTGACCCAGTTCCCAGTTTGACTTTTCCCTTCGGCTTAATGAGTTGGGGGCCTCAATATTTAATTTCCTTTCACACACCATTCATACTGTATTTATCATAGAAAAACAATAAATACGTATCATAGAAATGGTATGATAAATACGTATCATAGATAAATGATAAATATATTCTGGACAAAAAGCACTCAAGTGTCTTCATGAGAATTTTCTACTTCACACAGAGACACCAGGTGGGCTAGAAGCAGTTGCGCACACAGCTCTGTATTCTCATGTGCTCATTTCTAGACACATTGGTGCTTGGTCCATAGGAAGCATCAATGTGTTAAGCATTTGGGTCTAGGAAGCTGCAGGAAACAAAATACTCCTTTATTATCGCAGGCAAGCCTGTGATATAAATTAGAATGTAGGGCTGTGTTGGAGAATTCAGCAAAAAACAGGAGGCCTTTGTGAGACCTGCTCTTTTCTTATTCTTTGTCAGTTCTTCGGAGCAGACCATTCAGTTTTAGGCAGAGAAATTAGATTTGAGCATGTATGCACAGAAACACATCTTTTAATAAGGCGCCCTCTTCCACTGGCCAAGCATGCACCAATGAATCTTCCAAGCTATCAACAATGAGATTAAATACTAGTGTAGGTCCAGTGTAATGAGGGGGTATAGAAGTGTGTCTTCCCCCAGGAACAAAGTGGAAATGTAAAGAGAGGGAACTGTATACTCCCATTCCCTCATTTCTCAGTTACTGTTTTGATTACATTGCTTTGAGAGTTAATAATACAATAAAGAAACAAAATGTTATAAGAAGTTATTACTTGAAAGAAATAAAACAGTATTGTTATTTGTAGGTAATAAAATTCAGGAAAATCCTAGAAGGGTATGTGTGTGTATATATATATATATATATATATATATATATATATATATATATATATATATAAAATAATCATAATTTATTTAAAGAAGAAATATATAAATAGCTTTTACAAAGATATAAACAGATTCAAATAGATGTTAGAAAACAGTGGAGTTTGGTTGAAATTTCCCTTCCATTCCCCCTTCTTTCTTCCTCCCTCTCTCCCTTTACTTCCTTTCTTTGTTTTCTTTCTTTCTTTCCTTTTAAAACTATACTTCAAAAATTAATTATCTGAGATTAAAATTTTGTAACAAGAAGGCATTATTTGTAGTCACAAAAACTGAGAAATCAGCTTAAATTAATAGTAACAATAAAGACTCTAATAAAGTAAAGATATATATTATGAATTAGGTCGGGGTCTGCATGACTACATAAGATAAATTATGAAATTATATTGGTATACAGAAAAGAATATTTCAGAAATCTCTTCTATACTGGTAAAGAAGTAAAATAGTTTCTCTAATGGATGGATTGCATTAATCAACATCAATAAAAATTCCCACCTAATTATTTTATAGAATCCATAAAATAATTCTGAAATTAATTTTGAATAAATTGGTAGGCAATAATAATAAATGATCTTTAAAAAAGAAGAAGAACAGAGCAAGGAAAAAGAGCTATTCCTTTCCCATGTTAGAATGCATTTTAAATGTGGTGCTGACATAAAAACAGAAATTTCAAATATTATGATGGAGTGGAAAGCTATGAGTATATGAAGTTAAACATAAAAATTTTATAATGAGATAAGAATCATAAGTGAGATATATATGTGTGTGTGTATATGTATGTATATTTGTGTATGTATGTGTGTGTATATATGTGCATACATATGTGTATATATGTGTGTGTATTCCATATATATGCACATATTGTATACACTTTGTAACCTCATCAATAAGCAGTACATGAGCAGTTCAGTCACACAAAATGAAAATCAATAGCCATTTTAAAATCTAATATTGTTAGTCATAATAACAAATCATAGCAAGATCTCATTTATATCTACTAAACCCAAAAGAAAAAAAAACAAGCATAATATTTAATTCAGGTATGTCTTCAAGGTAACTGGCAAGTTCTTAACATTTTTTGGCATTACTCATTAATTTATTTTGGATTCCTCTTTGACAATATGCGTTAAAATCCATAGAGATATTTATATCCTTTGTTCTAGTAAAGCATATCTTAAGGATTTATCTTAAAATAATTCAAAAGAGAGAACTATATTCATGATAATGTTTACTGCAGCATTAATTATAAAAATGGAAAATTGGGATAAACTTAAAATGTTCAACAATAGAGGCAATGGGTAGGGAAAGTCTCATTTTAAGACTAGGTTAAACATTCTGTGCTTCTTTCTTTTGTTTTTTGGAGTGCAGTGACATAATCATGGCTTACTGCTGCATCAAACTCCTCGGCTTCCCAAGTAGCTGGGACTACAGGCATGGACCAGCACGCCAGGCTAATTTTTTAAACATTTTGTTAGAAATGGGGTCTCACTATGTTGCCCAGGTTGATCTCAAACGCCTGGGCTCAAGTGACCCTCCCACCTTGTTTGTTACTATTTATCATGTAATTGCCGTGAAGCAGGTATTTTATATACGATCTCTAATTCTCACACTCATTCTGCAAGTTACGTATTTTTCATTCTCAATTTAAAGTTTTGAGATCTGGTGCTCTAACAAGACTAAATAGCTTACTCAAGGCTAGTAAGTGGTGGAGCTGGACCTTGAACCCCTGCATGACAAGGCCTGCTTCCCTTGGCCTGGTCAAAGGGCAAAAGCCCTGCTTACAGTTCCGACTGAAGGAACAGCCTTTGGCAGGCACATTCTGTCCATGTGATTTCTGTGACCTTATCGAAATTGCCCTTCCTGCCAGATACCACCAGGCCTGGAGTCTGACCCAAGGGCAGCCAATCCAAGGTCAGGCTAGTAGCTCATGATAGGGCTGTCATGAAAAGTTCTGTTAGATAGAGAAGAAAGGAATTATCTAAACTATCTAATTCCCTCTCTTACTAATTTAGCTTTGGAAATACAGAGCAAATCAGGCAGTTGTCAGGAGCTGAAGGTAGGAGAATGTGAGACAAGTATAGAAAGCATTTAAGAATGCATATGTTAACTAGATGAGACAGAACTAAATTGCTATTGAGAAATCGATGCTCTTTTGCTGGAAAAAAAAAAAAGAACTAAACTGCTAGATCACCAGTGGCAGAAAAACCAGGCAAGAGAAGGGATGGGTGGGAGGATGAAAACACGTTCAAATCAGGCAGCAAAGAATAGTAAAAATATGAAGTAAAGGGAAGTAATTGCAGACCATACTCAATTCTGCAAACATTGCCTATCCTATAATATCAATATCCTTCATGATTGATACAGTTTTGACTTTTGTTCCCTCCAAATCTCACGTTGAAATATGACCTCCAATGTTGGAGTTGGGGTTTAAGGGGAGGTATTGGATCATGGGGACAGATCCTTTATGAATGGCTTAGCATCATCCTCTTGGTAATGAGTGAGTGCTTGCTCCGAGTTCCCACACATGTGATCTGGTTGTTTGAAAGTGTGTGGCATCTCTCCGTGCTCTCTCTCTCTTGCTCTCAGCTCTTGCCATGTGATGCGGCTGCTCCTGCTTCACCTTTCACTGTGACTGGAAGCTTCCTGATGCCCTCACCAGGAGCAGACCCTGGTACTTTGCTTCTTGTATGGCCAGCAGAACCATAAGCCAATTAAACCCCCTTTCTTTATAAATTACCCAGCCTCAGGTATTTATTTAGAGTGATGCAAAAACAGCCTAACATGGTAATCTAGTTACTTCTAGAGATTCGTCTCCTGTATGTCCTTACTTGACCTCTTAATTCCAGCTACCCAAACAGCTTGCATGGAAAGTACAAGTGCACTGCTCCAGGTATCAATTTATTGTCTCTCAGCTCCAGATTCACCCTTTTGCCTGAACTAGTAAGTACACCATGCTATCCCTCCCTAGAGGGCATTTTCATTTACCTAGCCAATTCCCTTGTGCCCTCCAAGACTTGGCACAAGAGAAGCTTTCTCTAAGGAGATTCCCATGGTCTCCACCAGACTGAATCCACCTGAGCACATCTCCATTGAGACTCTCTTGACTATTACAGCATTATATCAAGGGAGTTTCGTCTGAGAGTTCTAAGTAATGAGCAGATATGAATTAAGCAGAAACCAGAAGAGAGGCTCAAACGGCAACTGTAGCAAGAACTGACTCAGGAGACAACACAGCACCAACCCCTCAACATGCCAGAGGAAAGTGCCCCCTCAAGAGAGGAAGGTAGATGCTTGAGTTACAATCATTCGCAAATCCCTATTTACTTCCTGAGTTTAAGTAGATATATTTTAAAATACAGCTTAAGATATATACAGATATATTATTAAAAGCGTGAAATAAATAGACTTTTTATCCATTTGTAACTCAGGCAAAACTAATCTAGTTCTAAGTTAATGAGAATGGCACACTGTAATAGCAATTTGTGTTATAAATGGTTCTTGAGGCAACCATCTGTACTACACAAATAAATTTGCCCCTGAAACTGCAAGGCGACATTCTCCCTGAGTCCTTCAGAGAATCCACATGCAAATTTGCCTGGCTGACTGCCTTTGCTTTATCCATTTGGCTCACCAGTTTGTGGGCAAATTTATATATAAAATTGCAAAAGCTGGCCTGGGACTCTAGAGTGCGGAAAAAAATAATAAAAATAACAGTAATTTGTATTTATGTAGGTAGAATACTTGTACTAAATGATCAGATAATTTCAAAATATTATCTCATTCATTTCCACCATAATATCAGAAGCCTGGGAAGTATAAACAAGTATTTTAAAAGCATGATTTTGTAAGAAGTATTCCCAGCGGTCTATATTAGTGTGAATCAGATATGGGTGCTGTGATTTGTATGTTCCCAGGGAAATGTTCTTTCTACTCAGAAACTTGCTTTTTTTAACCAACTGATTATTTCAGATGACGTCAATTTTTATTTCTTTATCTGCTATGTCTAAGAGCTACTAAACAATGAACCTGAAACTAGAAATAAATAAAATCATAAGCCACAAACTTTATAACACAAGGAACATACAGCTTAGTTATTCTTCACAGTAACTTTGCACCACTTCTAAAAATAAGACACATTTTTTTCATGCTTTTAAAAATGTCATTACAGATTTAATAAGGCTAATTGTAAAAAGATTGAAAATGTAGAAAACTAAAACAAGAAAAATGAAGTTATCTGCAATCTTAATACTCAAGAATAACTACTGTTAATAGTTTGGTACATCTTTCAGCCTTTTTTAAAGGCTCCTATTAATATATAAACTTTATGTAATTCATACAGATCTTGTTTTTCAAATGCTACATAATTTGAATTTTCTGCAATGACTATTCTTTATAAAATTCATTTTAATGACTGCATACTTATATATTACATGAAACCATATACTTTGCCTTACTTTACTTCTTGCCTGTTTCCTCCTTCACAGTCCAGATTCCAGCTATACTCCATTAATTTCCATGTATCATGTTCTCCCTCACCCACCGATCCTGCACTTGCTGGACATTCTAAGTCATTTTACATCTTTCCCCTCTCCATCCCTTCTGTGTCCCCACTTCTCCTCCTACTCCTTTTTTTCTAATTAATACCTGCTGGTCTTTGATGAAAGGATAGTGTGTAAGATTTTAAAAAGGAAAGGAAGCTTAGAATTAAGTCTTGGGTACCTCAATTATTAGAAGAATGTAGAAAAAAAGACACTGACAAATGGCTGAAGAAGAAAATCAGGAGAGTATGGCATCGTGGAAAGCAAGGAAGGGGAAAAAAGGTGTCAAAATTTAAAGACCAATGGAACAGAATACAGTCCAGAAATAGACCCAAGCGTTTATCATCAGTTGATTTTTAACATGGGAGACAAGATAATTAAATAAGGAAAGGATAGTCCTTTCAACAAGATGTGCTGGAATAACTAGATATTTATACTGAGAAGAACTCCAGCCCTTACATCATACACAAAAATCAACTCAAATTAAATCATAGACCAAAATATAAGTGTGTAAACTACAAAACTTCTAGAAAAAAAACATAGAATAAAACCATTGAAATTTTGGAGTAGGTAAGAACTTTTGGATAAGACACACAACTATGAACTGTAAGGGAAAAATTTCATAAAGTGAACTTAATCAAAATTAAGACCTTCTTGAACAACATCATTAAAAAATGAAAAGGAAAGTCATAAAGCAGGACTAAAAAAACTTACAACACATGTATCTGACAAAGGATTTATCTAGAATGTACAGAAAGCTCTTGCATCTCAATAATAAGAAGACAAAAACCCATTAAAAAAACCAAAAGATTTGAACAAACAATTCACAAAAGAATATACACCAGCAGCCAGTGAGCACAAGAAAAGATGTTCAACATAATTAGTTGATATAGTTTAGATGTTATCTCCTCTAAATCTCATGTTGAAATATAATCCCCAGTGTTGGAGGTGGGGCCTGGTGGGAGGCATTTGGGTCATGGGAGAAGATCTCTGATGGCTTGGTGCTGTTTTCATGATAGTGGTCATCACAGATAGAGTTCTCATGAGATCTGGTCATTTAAAAGTGAGAGGCACCCTCCTCTCCACTCTCAGTCTTGCTCCTGCACTGACCATGTAAGATGCCTATGCCTGCTTCGCCTTCTTCCACGAGTAAAAGCTCCCTGAGGCCTCCCTAGAAGCCGAGCAGATGCTTGTGCCATGCTTGTACAACCTGCAGAACTGTGAACCAATTAAATATATTTTCTTTATAAATCACTCAGTCTCAGATATTTCTTTATAGCAACACAAGAATGGCTTAACAGAAAATTGGTGCCAGGAATAGGATATTGCTATAAAGATATCTGAAAATGTGGAAGCAGCTTTGGAACTGGGTATTGGGCAGAGGTTGGAAGAATGGGTAGGGCTCAGAAGGAGACAGGAAGATGAGAGAAAGTTTGGAACGTTTTAGAGACTGGTTAAGGTGTGACCAAAATGCTGATAGTAATATGGACAGTAAAGCCAGGCTGATGAGGTCTCAGATGGAAATAAGAAACTTACTGGGAACTGGAGTAAAGGTTACTCATGATATGCCCTAGCAAAGAACTTGGCTGCATTGTTTTCATGTCCTAGGGAACTGTGGAAGTTTGCACTTAAGAGTAACAACTTACAGTATCCAGCAGAAGAATTTCTAAGCAGCAAGGTGTTCAAAACGTGCCCTGGCTGCTTCTAAAAACCTTCTCTCAGACACAGGAGCAAAGAAATGAGTTAAAGTTGGAAGTCCTATGTAAAGGAGAAGCAGAGCATACGAGTTTGGAAATTTTGCAGCCAGGTCATATGGTAGAAAAGAAAAGCCCATTTTTAGGAGAAGAATCCAAGTGGTTGAGTAGCAACAAGTTGCTAGAGAAATTTGCATAACTATAAGGGAGCCAGATGCTAATACCAAGACAATGGGAAGAAGACCTTAAAGGCATTTCACAGATCTTCAAGGCAGCCCCTTCCCATCATGGGCCCAGAGGCCTAAGAGTACTTAATGGTTTTGTGGGCCAGTACCAGGGCACCACTGCCCTGCACCACCCCAGGAGACTGCTCCTTGTATCTTGTCTGCTCTCCTCCAGCCTCAGCTCAAAAAGCCCCAAATACAGCTCAGGTCACTACTTCAGAGGGTGTGAGCCATAAGCCTTGGCAGCTTCTACGTGTTGTTAAGCCTGTAGGCATGGAGAGTGCAATAGTAAAGTAGACTTGACAGCCTCCACCTAGATTTCAGAGGATACATGGAAAAGCTTGGGTGCCCAGGCAGAAGACTGCTGCAGGGGTGGACACCTCACAGAGAACTTCTACTGGGGCAGAGTAGAGGGGAAATGTGGGGTTGGAACTCCCACAGAATCCTCACTGGGGCACTGTCTAATGGAGCTGTGGGAAAGGGGTGTCAGAGGCATTCAAAACAGAGTGACTCCATCTTGAATAAGGGCTGGTGAAATGAGGCTGAGACTTCTGGCTCCATTCCCAGAAGGTTAGGCCTTCTAAGTCTAACCTTAGACTTAGGGTGAGATAGGAGGTCAGCACAAGCTACAGGTCACTAAGACCTTGCTGATAAAACAGCATGTGGTAAAGAAGCCAGCCAAAACCCACCAAAACCAAGATGGCAATGAAAGTGAACTCTAGTTGTCCTCACTGCTCATTATATGCTAATTATAATGCACTAGCATGTTACAAGACACTCCCACCAGCACCATGACAGTTTACAAATGCCATGGCAAAATCAGGAAGTTATCCTATATGGTCTAAAAAGGGGAGGAAACTTCAGTTCTGGGAATTGCCCACCCCTCCTGGAAAGCTCATGAATAATCCAGCCCTTGTTTAGCATACCATCAATAAATAACTATAAGTATCATTAGTGGAGCAGCCCATGCCACTGCTCTGCCTTTGGAGTAGCCATTCGTTATTCCTTTACTTTCTTTATAAATTTGCTTTCATGTTACTATATGGACTTGCCTTGAATTCTTTCTTGTTTGAGATTCAAGAACCCTCCCTTGGGGTCTGGATTGGGACCGCTTTCTGGTAACAGGGCCACCATCCTCAAGACTGCAGAATGGGAGATCAAACAGCAGCTTGCACCCTGCACTGGGAAAAGCCACAGGCACTCAGCTCCAACCTGTGAAAGCAGCTCAGGGGGCTGAACCCTGCAAAGCCACAGGGCAGAGCTGTCCAAGACCTTCGGAGCCCACCCTTGTACCAGTGTGCCCTGGATGTAGGACACAGAAGTCAAAGGAGATTAAGATTTTATGGCTGCCCTTCTGGGTTTCAGACTTGCATGGGGCCTATTGCCCCTTTCTTTTGGCCAATTTTTCCCTTTTGGGATGCAAATGTTTGCCTGATGTCAGTACTTCCGTTGTATCTTAGAAGTAAATAACTTGTTTTGATTTTACAGGCTCGTAGGTGGAAGGAATTCATCTCCAGATTAGACTTTGGACTTGGGACTTGCAACTTTTGATTGCGCTGATGCTGGAATTAGTTAAGACTTTAGGGGGTATTGAGAGGGGATGATTGTATTTTGAAATATGAGAAGGAGGTGAGATTTGAAGAGTCAAGGGAGGGATAATATAGTTTGAACATTGTCCCCTCTAAATCTCATGTTGAAATATGATTCCCAATATTGGAGGTGGCATCTGGCATGAGGCATTTGAGTCACGGGAGCAGACGCCTCATGGCTTGGTGCTGTCCTCCTGATAGTGAGTGAGTTCTCACAAGATCTGACTGTTTAAAAGTATGTGGCACCTCCTCTGTCCCCACTCTCTTTCTTGTTTCTGCTCTAGCCATGTGAGATGCCCATTCCTGTTTCACCTTCTGCCATGAGTAAAAGCTTCCTAAGTCCTCCCCAGAAGCCAAGCCGATGCTGGTGCCATGCTTGCACAGCCTGCGGAATTGTGAACCAATTAAACCTCTTTTCTTTATAAATTACCAAGTCTCAGGTATTTCTTTATAGTAGCACAAGAGTGACCTAATAAATTAGTCAAAGGGAAATGCAACTCATAACCACAATGAGATACTGCATCATACCCACTAGAATGGCTAAAAAGGCTGACAATACCAAGTGTTGGTGAGATTGTGGAGCAACTAGAATTCTCATCACTGCTAGTGAGAGTGTAAAATTGTACAACCACTTTGGAAGCAGCTTGGTATTTTTATAAATTTAAACATACACTTACTTACTTTATAACCCAGCGACTCAAATCCTAGGAATTTATCCAACTGAAGTGAAACTTATATGTCCACCCAAAACTGGTACATGAATGTTTAAAGTAGCTTTATTCACAGAAGCCCCAAACTGGAAACGTCCCAAACATCTATCAACAGGTAAATGAATAAACAAATTGTGGTCTACCCCTACAATATTAATACTACTCACTAAAAAGGAATGAATTGCTGATATACTCAATAACAGGAATCAATCTCAAAAATATTATGCTGAGTAAAAAAGCAAGAAAAGGAGTACATAGTATGTGATTTCCTTAATATGAAATTCCAAAAAATATCTGAAATCTAGTAATAAAATGATATCAGTGGTTGTCTAAGGTCAGGATGATTTGGGGGATTGATTGGAAGGGGTACAAAAGTAATTTTTGAGGTGATGGAAATATTCTATACCTTGATTGTGGTGATGGTTGTTATGGAGATGTATGCACTTGTTGAATCCACCAAACTGTATGTGCATTTTATTGTTTGTAAATTATGCATCAATAAACTTGATGTTAAACAATTGTGTCAAATACTATTGAGATGTTAGGTAAGTCAAGGACAGAAAAGGGACTATTAGGAATGGCAATATTAGAAGTCATAATGGCTTTATTAGGAGTGTTTTCAACGGAGGGATAAAGACCAAAACCTAACCAGTGGGTTAAAAAAGAAGGAATTGATTAAGTGGAAATACACAGTTCTGTTTTTTGTTTGTTTGTTTCTTTTTGATACAGGAATTCACTCTGTCACCCAGCCTGCAGTGCAGTGGCACAGTCACAGCTCACTGCAGCCTCAACCTCCCAGGCTCAAGTGATCCTCCTGCTTCAGCCTTCCAAGTAGCTGGGAAAACAGGTGCGTGCCACCACACCCAGCTAATTTTTGTATTTTTTTGTAGAGGTGGAGTTTCATCACGTTGCCCAGGCTGGGAAATACACAGTTCTTTTAAGGACTTTTGAACTGAACTGAGGCAGAGAAATGGGGTGGTACTTGAGGGGCATGTGGCAGCCAAGGGACTTTTTTTGAAGATTGGTATTGTAAAGGCATATTTGTATGCTGAGGGAAATGATCCAGTAAAGAGAGTGAGATGGATGACACAAGGAGAAAAAGAAGGTATTGCATGAGAAAACTGTAGAGACGTCAAGAGGGTAGGGGATACAAAGCACAAGAGGAGGTGTTTACCTCTGATAGGAGCTGGAATGCATTGTCCACCTGAGCAGGAGAGAAGGCAGGAAAGGTGGGTACAGACACAATCAAAGGTTGGTAGATTTTGTTGGGGGAGAATGAAGGGTGACTCATCTGATTGCTGCTTTTTTTGTCAGTGATTTAACAATGTGTTGGGGAAAAGGTGTTACAGGCTTAAAGCAAGAGATTGAGTTGGGAAACAGTTGCTCTGGGCGGGAGGAACTCACTAGAAAATGTGTTAGGACTGTCTAGTTGAGATGACTGCCCGTTTGAGTTCTTTTGTCATTCATGTGAAAAGAAACCAATAGGCAGGGGTGTGCGGTTTTCTCTCACAACATTCAGCTTCTGGGCTGCAGACGTATAATACACAGAACTTTGCATTTAACTAAGGCTGGCACTTTCCAGGTGCCTATGCAGGAAGAGCTGGACAAAAGATTTTAGCATGGTTGCAAGGGAGTGGATATATGAGACCTAAGTGCCTATGTTAGCCTATATAAGGGACCTATGTTAGCCTAAGTGCCTGGAACAGATTAAGAATCAATATAAGGCACATAGGCTAACGTCTGTGCCTAATATAGAACCTAAGTTAGGTAATGAGGGAAATGAGGACAAGGGGGTGTCATGGGTAGAGGAACAGTGATGAGGTTAACAGATTAGAGGCTCTGCCAGGGTCTGCAAATGGATGGGATGGCAGTAAATGAGTTGGAAGGCTAAGAGAGGGTAGTCCAGGAGTGTGGTGCTTAACATTAAGATTTCAGATTTGGTTCAGTTCTTCAGGTGATCAGGATTAGGAAACAATCATGTGAGTGATGGCTGAGGTGGGGTGGATCAGAGACCTGACAGTCCAAGGCTTTGGATAGATGATCTGCATATGTTCAAAATCACCAAGAACGGTGACAGAAGTAGAGACTGAAAGGAGAGCTGCAAGCCAGGACTAGAGGCATGAGTAAATGAGCGTGAGTGACCAGGTGGAAATCACGAGGTGGCCACCGCACGGAATGTGACAGTTGTCAGGTCTGATGGTTTGCTTGTCTGTATTCCCAGCCACTGGCTCCTTGCTACTAAGTCCTGATTCTCCCTTAATATGGTTTTGAAGGTGGAGATAAGGAAGGACAACAAAATTGATTCTATGTTTTTAATGTATCCATTTTCCTCTCTCAGAATTTCATTGATTTTTCTACGTTGATTCACCTACTCATGCCTTGCTGGATGAGTAATGTTTTGAGAAAACTCACTGCTGATGGGATTAGCGGTGTTTGGAAGGGATTTCTCAGTGATTACCTGATGCACGCAGACACTTAAACACTACTGAAATTGCTACTGAAGGGCTTAAAATAACTTTGCTGAACGTTGTTAACTGTGCTATATGTGGCCCAAAGATTCAGCTGTTTTTACTTAGTGTTATGCCAAGACCACATTTACCTGCATGGGGCAGACTTCCATCCCCAGCTCCCTTATTTCCATTAGTGGCATCATTCAAATTTTAAAAATTATTATTAATAAGTATAATCATAATAATTACCATTTGTTGAATATCCACTATGTGCCAGACACTGAACTAGCTGTGATACCAAGACATAGCAGTTATTGAATTTTAATATGCTCCAGGCACGTATGCTTTGATTGTGTAATCTAATTTACACTTCACAGCAGCCTGATGAAAGGTTAAGGCTAAGATAAAGAGATTATAGCTCAAAACTTCTTGGCTAAGATCTCACAGTTATTAATAACTGGATACAGATAAGGTTCAAAACTCTGGTTGACTCTGAAACATATGCATTAACACTACACTATACTTGCCTTTACTGTGTGCCTCACCGCATGCAATGATGAATGGTCCCGTGAAAGTTATCATCCAGCAGAGGGAAGCAGACCTGCAAACAAACAGGTTAAAACCCACATGAAGAGTGCTAAGATGAGGGCTCCGATGAGGGTAGTAGATAGTAAATGATGAACTCAAGACACTTTGAAGGAAGTACATCAAATATTTTGCAGATTGACTCACTGCCTGGCTACAATAATAGCCTCTTAGTTGGTGAGCTCCTGTCACCAGGCCTTTCTCCCATACGACTCTGAATAGACTGCCAGAGTTCATCTTCCTAAAATACTTGTGCCTAAAATGTGCACTTGCTCCATTTTGCCTATGTCATGGTGCTTTTCATTCTTATTCTTCTTCATGAAATTATTTCTTTCTTGCTCTGTCACCCAGGCTGGAGTGCAGTGGCACAATCTCAGCTCACTGCAACCTCCACCTCACAGGCAAAAGTGATCCTCCCCCCTCAGCCTCCCAGTGAAATTATTTCTAACTCTTGCTACGGTAAACATGCATGGGACTATCTGTCCTAAACTCCCTCCAACTTCTAGTAACTGCCCTCCTTCCTGTGTCCACAGCCTCTTCTCCCACACTGGCTTCCTCCACTTGGCAGGGGACAAGCCACCAGCTGCTCCTGCATTTGACATCGATGTCTTTCTCCCGCAAAGAGAAGCTACACTCTTCTTTGGTTCCAATGCTAAAAACTCTGGGTTGGGGCACTAATGGGCTTGATTTGGATCAGGTGCATAAGCCTGCAAAAATGAATCATAGCCAGCAACAGGCAGCGGGAAGGCGGAAAGTTGGAGCATGCTCTTCTCTATAACCATAGTACAAGGAGCATGATGTCCAAACACTGAAAGAGAGAAAGGGAGAGAATGACAAAACGAGGGTGGTTTATTTCTTAAGTCTATTAACATTTGGGGAATCTGAGTGAAAATTACAAGATTTACCTTGTAAGACATTTGTATGACTCTGAAATTATTTCAAAATAAAATGTTTAACAAATGTGTTTTTTTACCATGATAAAAAAGGGTAAAATATACTGTTTAAAAAATGGCCTTGGGGGTGGAGCCTGTGTGCTCCAGTTCCCACAGAGCATGCCACTCCCATTACCTTACACTTGAGCTCGCATAGGTACTTTGACAAGCCAGCCTTCTGAAGGCGATTCAAGGGATATGCAGCTATTATAGAAAGGCCAGACTGGGGAGGACATTGAACACTGGATTTAGGGAGGTCGATGTTACTTTATATCAATAAGTAGGTCTTTGGAGGTTTCGAACAGTGGAGCAATATTATTTAGAAAAGGAATTCCATGTGGAGGACAATTTGGAAGGAGAAAGACTCCAGGAAGACTTATATAAGAACATTGCAATGGAAAGGGAAAGGAGAAATGTGAGTTAGATGTTTAAAGAAGAATCAATAGAATTTGGCTACTGCAAATGATACCATTATTGGAAATAGGGGATGCTGGAGGTTGGCAAAAAAGAGATGGGGCCAGAGAGGAGGTACAATAGTTTCTAGGCAAGGAGGATCTGTTTCCTTGCCTTTTGCAGCGTCTAGAGGCTGCCTGCATTCTTTGACTCACGGGCCCCTTCCTCCATCTTCAAAGTCAGCTGCATGGCATCTTCACAGCTCCTTCTGCCTAGGTGTCCTTTGTTTCTGTTATCACATTGCCTCTGGCTCAACCCTCCTGCTTCCCTCTTATAAGAATCCTTGAGATTATATTGGGACTATCAAGGTAATTCATGGTAATTCCCCAAGTCCAATGAGAGCTGTCCTTGTAAGAGAAAGACAGAGGGAGATCTGAGACTCAGACACACAAGGACATGTGAAGACGGAGGCAGAGATTGAAGTCATGTGGCTCCAAGCCAAGGAAAGCCTGGAGTCACCAGTGCTTGGAAGAGGCAAGGTAGGATCCTCCTCAAAAGCCTTAGGAGGGTGCACATTTCTGATGACACTGTGATTCCAGACTTCTGAGTTCTACCACTGTGATTTGTTTTGTGTTTGTCTGAACATGATTTCAGTAGGTGATTTAAGGCTTTTGTCTAATAAGTCCATCTAATATCTTGGCTTCATCAGGGACAGTGTATTAGTTAGTTCTCACGCTGCTAATAAAGACATACTCAAGACTGGGTAATTTACAAAGAAAAAGAGGTTGAATGGACTCAGTTCCACTTGGCTGGGGAGGCCTCACAATCATGGCAGAAGGCAAAGGAGGAAAAGGCATACCTTACTTGGTGGCAGGCAAGAGAGCTTGTGCAGGGGAATTGCCATTTATAAAACCATCAGATCTCATGAGACTATTCACTACCACAAGAACAGTATGGGGGGACCACTCTCATGATTCAATTATCCCCACCTGGCCCCACCTTTAACAGGTGGGGGTTATTACAATTCAAGGTGAGATTTGGTTGGGGATACAGCTAAACCATATCAGACAGTTTCTACCAACCACTTTTTCCCCCTGCGTATAAGCCATACTTTGTTTCTTTTATATCACATATATTTTTGTTATTGAAAACTGGACATTTAAAATAATTTAATGGAGCAGCTCTGGAAAGCAGATTCTCTCCACTTCTCAAAGTTTGTTGTTGTTGCTGCTTGTTGGTGTTGCTATTCATTTGTTTGGTGACTTTTCTGAATGAATTCTGTAAAGTCTGTATTCTCTTTCATGTGTGGCCACTGACATTTCTGCTTGGTTAGCTTAACAGTGCGCTAACAATTGAACAGAGATTTCCTTAGATGCCTGGAACCATTAAGCCTCTTTGCAAGAGGGCTCTGTGTGTGTTAGGGCATGCCTTCAATGCTCAACCAGGTACTCTGCTCTATTTTGGCTTCACTTCTTACTTGCATGGGGCGAGCCAGAGGTAAGAACTTAGCACTCGCTCAGATCTTTCCTGAGCACTTGCAGAGCTCTGGGCTTGTGCACAATCCTTTGCTTCTGTGTGGCCTTCTAGATTCCCAGGAATATGTCAGAGCATTTTTAAGCCCCATGTAGACATTTCACACCTTGCCTTTTTCCTCCAGCTTTTTGGTTATCCTATTGTGCTTTGAAGGAACACTAGCCCCTTTCTGCTACCTCCAGTGGCTGTCAGGCTACTGGTTTTAACCATTATTGTGGGCCATTGATTTTTGTGGCTACCCTATAGCCAGAAACTGGGAAGGGAAATGGCAATTGGAATGTCATGAGGCTCATTGTTCTTACCAAGATTCAACCATTTTTTCTTGAAAAAAAAAAATGCTCCCTGATGGCTTCAAGCCTTTGATTAATTTCTAAAATTCTGAAAAAGTTGACTCTGACAATTTTGCCAGTGTGCTCATTGCTTTTATGGAGGATAGAGTTTTGGGGGGGTCCTTACTCTGTCATTTTCACTGATGTCATCTTTATAGTCTTTTTTTAAGCTTTGATTTTCTATGTTTAAAAAATTTTTTTTTAATATTTTAGATTTAGGGGGTACATGTTCAGGTTACTAACATGGATATATTGTGTGATGCTGAGGTTTAGGCTTCAACTGAAACTGTCACCCAGATAGTGAACATAGTATGTGACAGGTAGTTATTCAGCCCTCCCTCTCTCCTTCCCCTCTTTTGGAGTCCTGGATGTCTATCATTCCCATCTATATGTCCATGTGTACCCAGTGATTAGCTTCCAATTATAAGTGAGAACATGCAGTATTTGGTATTCTGTTTCTGTGTCGATTCACTTAGGATAATGGCCTCTGATTGCATCCATGTTGCTGCAAAGGGCATGATTTCACTTTCTCCTGTGGAAGCATAGTATTCCATGGCGTGTATGTACCACATTTTCTTCATCCAGTCTACCACTGATGGCCGCCAAAGTTGATTCCATGTCTTTGCTATTGCAAATAGTGCTGCAGTGAACATGCAAGCACAGACATCTTCTTATTAGAAAGATTTATTTTCTGGGGGTATATACCCAGTAATGGGATTGCTGGGTTGAATGGTAATTCTATTTTTAGTTCTTTGAGAAATCTCCAAACTGTTTTCCATAAGGGCCGAACTAATTTACAGTCCCACCAACAGTGTATAAGCATTCTGTTTTCTCCACAACCTCTCAACCCCTGTTAATTTGTGTTTTTTTTTTTTTACTTTTTTAATAATAACCATTCTGAGTGGTGTGAGATGATATCATATTTTGGTTTTGATTTGCATTCTTTGATGATTAGTTATAATGACCATTGTTTCATATGTTTATTGGCTGTTTGTATGTCTTCCTTTGACAAGTGCCTGTTTTTGTCTTTTGCCTGCTTTTAAATGGGTTATTTTTTTTCTTGTTAATTTGTTTAAGTTCCTTGTAGATTCTGGATATTAGTCATTTGTTGGATGCGTAGTTTGCAAATATTTTCACCCACTCTGTAGATTATCTGTTTCCTACGTTGATAGGTTGCTTTTTTTTTTTTTCCTGTGCAGAAGTGCTTTAGTTTAATTAGGTCTCTTTATCAATTTTTGATTTTGTTGCATTTACTTTTGAGGACTTAGTCATAAATTATTTGCCTAGGCAAATGTCCAGAAGAGTATTTCCTAGGTTTTCTTCTAGAATTTTTATAATTTGAGGTCTTACATTTAAGTCTTTAGTCCATCTTGAGTAATTTTTTTTGTATAAAGAGGTCAAGTTTCATTCTTTTGCATATGGTTAGCCAGTTTTCCCAGTACTGTTTATTGAATAGAGTGTCCTTTCCCATTTCTTTATTTTTGCCCATGTTGTCAAATATCGTTTGGTTGTAGATGTGTGGTTTTATTTCAAGAGTCTCCATTGATCCATGTGTCTATTTTTGTACCAGTACCATGCTATTTTTGTTACTGTAGCCTTGTAGTATAGCTTGAAGTCAGGTAATGTGATGCCTCCAGCTTTGTTCTTTTTGCTTAGGATTGCTTTGGTTATTTGGGCCCTTTTTTGGTTCCATAAGAACTTTGGAATTGTTTTTTCTAATTCTGTGAAGCATGATGTTGAGATTTAATAGAGATTGCATTGAATCTATATATTGCTTTGAGCAGTATGGATATTTTAACAATATTGATTCTTTCAATCCATGAGCATGGAGTGTTTTTCCATTTGTTTATGTCTTCCATTATTACTTTTATTTTCAATCTACCCTTAGTAAATTTTAAGTATACAATAAAGTATTGTTAATTGTACTCACATTGCTGTACATTAGATGTCCAGAACATATTCATCCCACATAACAGAAACTTTGCACTACTTGCCTAACATATTTGCATTTGTCTCCCTCCACACCCAAGATTTTTTTTAAGCTGAAAAATATTTCTCTGTGTATATATGTGTGTGTGTGTTTGTGTGTGTGCATATTTGCATGTGTAGTTCCACATTTTCTTTATTCATTAATCCATTGAGGGACATTTAGGTTGTGTCCATATCTTAACTATTATGAATAATGCTAAAATAAACATGCAAGTGTGGATTTTTTCAAGATCATAATTTCATTTTGTTTGGATATACACTTACTAATGGGATTACTGAATCATATGGAAGTTCTGTTTTTAATGTTTTGAAGAACTTCCATATTATTTTCTATACTAGTTTTACCAAGTTACCTTTCAACCAACAGCACACAAGGATTTTTTTTCTCCACATCCTTGCCAACACTTTTTATGTCTCATCTTTCTAAAAGCCATTTTAATACGCATTAGGTAATATTTCATTGTAGTTTTGATTTTTCATTCTCATAATGATTAATAATGTTGAGCAGTTTTTATATATTCATTGGCCGTTTGTATGGCTTCTTTCGAGAAATGTCTACTCAGGTCCTTTGCTCATTTTTATTTGATTTTTTATTTTTGATTTCCATAGGTTTTGGGGGAACAGGTGGTGTTTGGTTACATGAATAAGTTCTTTAGTGGTGATTTCTGAGATTTTGGTGCACTATCACCTGAGCAGTTATACACCGTACCCAATTTGTAATCTTTTTTTTTTTTTTTTTTTTGAGATAGAGTCTCGCTCTGTCGCCCAGGCTGGAGTCCAGTGGCGCGATCTCAACTCACTGCAAGCTCCATCTCCCGGGTTCATGCCATTCTCCTGCCTCAGTCTCCTGAGTAGCTGGGACTACAGGAGCCTGCCACCACGCTCGGCTAATTTTTTTTGTATTTTTAATAGAGGCGGGGTTTCACCGTGTTAGCCAGGATGGTCTCGATCTCCTGACCTCGTGATCCGCCCGCCTCAGCCTCCCGAAGTGCCGGGTTTACAGGCCTGAGCCACCGCGCCCAGCCAGTCTTTTTTCCCTTACCCCCATCCCACCCTCCACCCTTTCCCCTCAAGTCCCCAAAGTCCATTAAATCATTCTTATGCCTTTGCATCCTCATATCTTAGCCCCCACTTATGAGTGAGAACATACGATGTTTGGTTTTTCATTCCTGAGTTACTTCACTTAGAATAATGGTCTCCAATTGCATCCAGGTCACCGCAAATGCTGTTAATTCATTCATTTTTATGGCTGAGTAGTATTCCATGGCACATATATAGATATATATCACAATTTCTTTATCCACTCATTGATTGATGGGCATTTGGGCCATCAATTAATATTGATAAATATGAATATTTTTGCTGTTATAAACATGTGTGTGCAAGTGTCTTTTTCATATAATGACTTCTTTTCCTCTGGGCAGATAACCAGTAGTGGGATTGCTGGATCAAATGGTAGTTCTACTTTTAGTTCTTTAAGAAACCTCCCCACTGTTTTTCATAATGGTTGTATCAGTTTACATTCCCACTAACAGTGCAGAAGTATTCTCTTTTGACCACATCCTGCCAACTTCTATTATTTTTCAATTTTTTTATTATGGTCATTCTTGCAGGAGGAAGGTGGTATTGCATTGTGCTTTTGATGTGCATTTCCCTGATAGTTAGTGATGTTGAGCATTTTTTTCATATGTTTGTTAGTCATTTGTATATCTTCTTTTGAGAATGATCTATTCATGTCCTTAAGCCACTTTTGGATGGGATTGTTTGGTTTTTTTACTGCTAATTTGATTGAGTTCCTTGTAGATTCCTGATATTATTCCTTGTTGGATGTACAGATTGTGAATATTTTCTCCCACTCTGTGGGTTGTCTGTTTACTCTGTTGATTGTTTCTTATGCTGTGCAGAAGCTTATTAGTTTAATTAAGTCTCATCTATTTATCTTTATTTTTGTTGCATTTGCTTTTGGGTTCTTGGTCATGAAGTCTTTGCCTAAGCCAATGTCTACAAGGGTTTTTCTGAAGTTATCTTCTTGAATTTTTATGGTTGCAGGTCTTAGATTTAAGTCCTTGATCCATCTTAAGTTGATTTTTGTATAAGGTGAAAGATGAGGATGCCTTCTGACTGGTGTGAGGTGGTATCATATTTTGGTTTTGATTTGCATTTCTCTGATGATTACTAATGATGACCAGATGAGAAGAAGGTTTGTGATTGTTACGTGAAGTATTCTGTAGATGTCTATTAGAGTCAGCTTGTCAGTACCTTAAAAACCTACTCAAATTTAAGTGCAGAATTTGTTAGTTTTCTGCCTTGATCTGTCTAATGCTCTCAGTGGGATGTTGAAGTTCCCTACTATTATTGTGTAGCTCTCTAAGTCTTTTCTTAGGTCTAGTAGTAATCATAAGTCTTCATAAGGGTGAAGGTTTCATAAGGGTGCTTCAATATTGGGTGCATGTATATTTAGGGTAGCAAAATCCTCTTGTTGAATTGAACCTTTTATCATTATTTAATGCCCTTCTTTGTCCTATTTTTACTATTGTTGGTTTAAAGAGTCTATTTTATCTGGTAGAAGAATAGCAACCTCTGTTCTTTCTGCTTTCCATTTGCATGATAGATCTTTCGCCATCCCTTTACTTTGAGCCTGTGGGTGTCATTCCATGTGAGATGGAACTTTTGAAGACAGAAGAAGATTGGGTCTTTTGATCCACTTTGCCACTCTCTGTCTTTTAAATGGAGTGTTTAGGACATTTATGTTCAAAGGGGGACAAGAGATGACTCCCTCTCCAAGTCCATTTCTGGGCCATAATTATGCTACTTCAGCAACTAGTGCCACACCTGTGTTTCCTTTGTCCCAAAAAGGAAACAAGTTCTCCTGTCTCTTAGAGGCAGGGCAGGCCACACTGAAGGTTAGGTCACCAGGGGACCTGCAAATCCCAGGAGATCTGCAACTCCCTGGGAAACTGCTGATGTTGTGCTTGCCAGTGTCAGAGCAGTTTGTAGTTTATATCTGTAGGTGGTCTGGTGATGCAGTGGCTTGAGGGTGAGGGATCCCCAAGCAGGGCACTGGCAAAATGCGTGTGCAACCGGTATAATGCCTGCAGCCCAGGGTTTTTAGCCCAGCAGGCAGCTGTGGGGCCTGCCCAGCTCGTGCTCCTCTGACCTCTCTCTGGTGTCTACCCTGGCTGTATGCCCAACCAGCTATGCTTGTTAGATAAAGCCATCTATGCCCAGATTACTAGGCCATTCTGGGTGTTTTGGGCTGCAGGACTCCCCCAGGGGAAAAGCTGAGGCTATCAAGCCACACCTTTCCTGGTCCAGCCTTGCAAAGGGCAGGGTACCCAGTTCCCATGCCAGCACATGAACCTGCACCACACTCTTCTCTGTGCTAGGGAGTGGAGGCTGGGCTGTGGGCACCCTACTGTGGGAGTGGCCAGGCAAGTGGTCTTGGGAGGTGCTGGTAGGCAAGGGGGCTCATGGATCAAAAGTACTTCAGTCCCATAGTAATGGTGGTGGGATCTGTCTTGGATGTGAGAGTGCTCCCAGATCCTGCTGCCTCCTGGCCTGGCAGACAGAAGGAGATGCAGCCATTCAGTGTAAGTCCGAGAGCCTTGGGAGATGGGTAGCTATGGTTACATTTTGCTGCAGGTGCACAATATAGAGATGTCTTCTGGGCTCCATGCAGGTTCAAGCTGTGCCTCTGCTTGTTCTCCAGGCAGCTCCCCTTTCCAGTCCAACTTTCTATGGGTGTCATGGAAACTTCGATAGCTGTAATCTCAGGGGTCTGCATCAGGAATGTGGTGGCTGGGAGTTCCTTCACTCACCCCTTCCTTAGGTCTGGTCCATGGGGCTGGTCCTGGTGCCTGGTGATTCAGCAGGCTGCCACGCTTCTTCCTCCTTCAACCACAGTGCCTCCTTCAACCACAGAGCCACAATTAACTCTGTATTGACTTTTGATGTTTTCCACCATACAATATGTTCAAAGTATCAAGGTTCCTCTCCATGAAAGAGGTGATTTCCAGCCACATCTGGTTGGCCATCTTGCCTCTCTCCAAGCTTAGATGTTGAAATTGAAAATATATTGTCAGTTGTGTTTTAAATACTGAGAAAGAGGTTTAAGTGACTGTTTACATAGTATAAAAAGAAAATTGATGTAGCGTTTCCAATAGCCATATATTTTATTCCATAATGGGATGTTAAAGAAAAGGCAAGGAGGGAATGATATGTTTGATTTACATCCTCATTCTGTATGTGATCTCTGTGGTTAGGAACTGTGTGTAAATATCAGCTTGGAGAAAGGCTTATGTGTCAGATAAAGTATAAATAAACATCTGTGTTCCTCAAAAATCATTAATTAAAAATTTGGAATGCTATTATGAATTAAGGTGGCCTGGATGGCTATGTTAAAGATGATTGAGGAATATCTTGCTGTAGAAAATTCAGTTCCTTTAAGCACTTGAAGCCCACCTCTCACTTTTTCATTTTTGCCTTTTCTTTTCCAACAAACAACTTTACAATTCACACAACAAAAACCCTCATACATTGTTGTCTCTTTTTAAGATTCTCAGCTTTCAGACATTTTTGAATCTTAAAAAGGTGTGTATTGGGTCACTCTGTCCTCTGGCTTGTAGATAATTCAAATCAGCACAACTGCAATGTTAGCTTCCAATGCAACAATCAGTTCTCAGCTATTTTTGCTACCATGACATGCTTGATAAATTATTCTCTTATGTGTGAAACACTGTCAAAAGCACATTCATGTTTTGACAAACATCTCCCAAATTTGGAAGTCATGCACTGTGATTATTTGTAATCATCAGAACAGTTAATCACCCATCTGTAGTGGTGACTCCTTGTGATCCACTGAAGAGATGAACTTGGGCTGTGCATGAGGACAATTCTCAGCATTCTGGCTGTGATGCCACTCCCTTCTCTCCCAAAATGCTAGTCAGCGAAGGTAACATTATAGGGATTCCTTGGAACCATTCTAGTGTGTGTGTGTGTGTGTGTGTGTGTGTGTGTGTGTGTGTAACCTTTTGAAATAATATATATCCTTTTGGAAACTTCAGCACTTTAACTAGAAAGCAACTTAACATATTGCTTTAGGTGCATAGTCTATGGAGCTAGATTGTGTAGGATAGAATCTGACTCCATTGTGTACTCATTATGTGACCCTCTAGTAAGTTACTGAGACTCCAGGCTTCAATTTCCTCATCTATCAAATGAAGGTGATGGTGCCTATGTCATAAAGCAGTTGTCAAGATGCCTGACATAATGTATATAAAGAACTAATTCTGTTTTTCACACCCAGCTAATTCTTGTATTTTTAGTAGAGACAGGGTTTCGCCATGTTGGCCAGGCTGGTCTTGAACTCCTGGCCTCAGGTGATTCATCTGCCTCAGCCTCCTAAAGATCATGTACAACATGATGTTTTGACATATGTATACATTGTGGAGTGGCTAAATGGAGGTAATTAACATATCTATTATCTCACATACTTTTTTTTTTGTAATAAGAACACTTAAAATCTCCTCTTTAGTGATTTTCAAGAATGCAATACATTGCTATTAACTGTAGTTACCATGGTGACTCTTGAATTTATTTCTCCTGTCTAACTGAAATTTGGTATCCTTGATCAACATCTCCCTAACACTCACTTCCCAACATATACTCTTAAAATAATAAACACATTCTCACCTTGAAGAAAATCTAAAAAATACTCAGTAGGTTTTAGGTTGTATTTGCTTGTGGTTAACTTTTATAGAGCAGACTAATCTTGTCATTGAGTCTAAGATTCAGTTCTTTTTAAAAAATATTTACTATTCCAAGAAGTAAGACAAGTTCCTGGCAAGTCATGGAAGCATGACCCTTTGTACAAGCAGATGTGGAAAGGGGAATTCTTGTTTTCTATGCTTGAGCAGCAAGAACAGTAATAGGAGAAGTTCTGTAAATTGTTTTCATTTCTGTTCCTTTTAAAGTATAATTAGAATGACTGGTCTATCAGGTAGGTTACAATATTTGCTGGTAAGCAACTTACTGATATGTGTCTTCTGAAACATTTGCTAAGAGTGATTAAAATGTATGAGGTTGTGTTTCTGGAATGCATCATTCAAGCATCATTTTAGATGGTGGGCACTGAATTAGAAAAGTGAGAACTTTCATCACTTAAACATACTTAAGTATCTCTATATGATATTTCTCATGTAAGAGGATTTTTGCATACCTCATAAACATAACCAATAATTTAAGTTATTTTACATGACATCCACTTTGACAGATGAGATATTTGTCAAAGAATAAAGGCCATTTGTTGCCCAGCGCCTCCGGGCTCTTGTTTGTCATAGTCTCCCTGGCTGCCTCATACTCTTTCCCAATTTTTTTTTTTTTTTTTTTTTCTGAGACAGAGTCTTGCTCTGTCGCCCAGGCTGGAGTGCAGGGTCGCTATCTCGGCTCACTGCAAGCTCCCCATCCCGGGTTCACGCCATTCTCCTGCCTCAGCCTCCCGAGTAGCTGGGACTGAAGGCGCCCACCACCATGCCCGGCTAAATTTTTGTATTTTTTAGTAGAGACGGGGTTTCACCATTTTAGCCAGGATGGTCTCGATATCCTGACCTTGTGATCCACCCGCCTTGGCCTCTCAACATGCTGGGATTACAGGCGTGAGCCACAGCTCCCGGCCTCTTTCCCAACTTTAAATTTAGATGGAAAGAAGAATGCAGGGTGGAAAATTTGGGAACTATGGTGGAAAAGGGAATGATAATGACTGGTGTGTATTGAGGATATCTCAGCTCAGCTGGGTGTAAAAGTGATGGTTCTCTTTATGTTTGGCAACAGAGCCTAGCTGACCTCCAGATATCTACCACACAGTATCTACTGACAGCTCTGTGGAAAGAAAGCGCTTTTACAGAGTAAAGTTGAAACATCAGTGTGATATCAGTGTGTTTTCAATCTTTTGAAGCCATGAAAATCTCTTGCACCTCCCAGAGATTGTGACACGCACTCCTCTTGAGAAGCACTGTCTTCTTTCAAATTCTCATTAGCCAAGATGTCTATCTTTCATGTCTCAGAGGCTGACATGTCCTCCTTGAAGGATGCTGTCCCACTATTACCGTCTGTGGATGAGAATTACTGTCCCAGATGAGTGGACTCCAAATCCCCTATGGGGTGATGAGAAAACATCCAACTTTTATTTACTTTTTTTAAGCTATCAAATGAATTAAATTAAACTTTACTAACAATTAATACATTAGTTAACACTGATAGATTCACTTGATTAGTAAGTCAATCAAGATGGTGACCTGTGATACGCCAATCCTGCATATTCTGAGGAAAGAGTGGGCATATCACAATGGGAAAGGCTGCACAGTGGCACTTTCATTCATTCATCACCTTTCATCACATTGTGACATAGACACTTTCTTTACACTAATTTAGGTGAAATTTATGGTTTCCAAATGACACGGCTAAAAAAGATTCCTACAAAGAAATCACAGATAAAATACAATAGCAGGCCGGGCGCGGTGGCTCACGCCTGTAATCCCAGCACTTTGGGAGGCCGAGGCGGGCGGATCACGAGGTCAGGAGATCGAGACCATCCCGGCTAAAACGGTGAAACCCCGTCTCTACTAAAAATACAAAAAATTAGCCGGGCGTAGTGGCGGGCGCCTGTAGTCCCAGCTACTCGGGAGGCTGAGGCAGGAGAATGGCGTGAACCCGGGAGGCGGAGCTTGCAGTGAGCCGAGATCCCGCCACTGCACTCCAGCCTGGGCGACAGAGCGAGACTCCGTCTCAAAAAAAAAAAAAAAAAAAAATACAATAGCAACATTGTGAGCAGCACAGCACCATGAGTAAATTAATATGAACCATCCATCATGTGAATACAAATCTGTCCAATATTAAATGAGTTTGAGAGTTATGGAATATTACAAATTGCTTATAACATTTTACTAAACTTAATATTAAGTTGTGTAGTAGAAATTGGAGAGTATTTTAAATGAATAACAATAAACAAACACTATGTATCAAAAATATTAGGATTGGGCTTAAGTAGTTCCTAGAAAAAAATGTATAGCCTTAAATACCTATGTTAGAAAAAAGAAATAATTACTTTCATGAGCTAAGCCTACATTTTGAGAGGTTAGAAAAAAATAGCACAATTGGCTCAAAGAAAATATATAATAAAAACAACAACAGAAATTAGTAAAATAGAAAGCATAAATACCATTAGGAAAGATTAACAAAATTGAAGACTGATTTTTTGAAAGGCTAATAAAATTGACAAACCTCTGCCAAGACTGATTAAGGTAAAAATAGAGAAGGCCAAAATAATTAATAACAAGAATGAAAAAAGGGCTTCATGAAAGAGGTTGCAGACACTAAAAATATAGTAAATAGATATAAAAAACTTTATGCAAATAATATTTAAAAATTTAAAAATTTTAATGGAAAAATTCCTAGAATAATGAAACATCAAAACTGATTCAAGAAAAAATTGACATTAGTGGTTAAAAATTGTTCCACCAAGAAAACTCTAGGGACAAATCAAACAGAACAGAACACATCTACAGAACATCAAAAGAAAAAGTGATATGCAAGATTCCAGTCTTCAAAAACAATTGCAGAGAAGTCTTAAAATTAGGAAATATTCTGGAACTTATTTTATGAGGGCAGCATACTTTTGGTGTGAAATTCCAATAAGGATCATATGAGAAAGAAAAAGTACAGGCCAATATAAACAAATTATTAGCAATCCAACAATGTTCACAAGGTTAATATTTCATAAGCAAGTTGTATTTATTCCAAGAATGCAAGTGGAGCATAATATGAGGAAATCAACTAAGCAATACACCACATTAACAAGTTAAAGGAGAAAAATCATATGATCAACTCAATAGATACTGAAAAAGCATTTGAGAAAAATCAGCATCCAGTCATAATGAAAACCATAAGCAAAGCAGGTATAAGGTAACTTTCATAAGCTAATAAAGGACATGCAAAAATTTGAAAGCAAAGGTCAGACTTCATGGAGAAACACTGAAAGTTTTCATTAGTAGTCAGGAACCAGACAAAAAGTACCTATCATCACTCCTATTGAACAGTGCCCAAGACATCCTTCTCCAACAGGATAAGACAAAAAATTATAAGTAAAAGGTATAAGAATTGGGATAAAATCCAAAATTTTTATTATTTTTAGATTATATTATTGTGTATGTAGAAAACCCAATGATTCTACAGATAAATTATTAGAATTAGCTTATCAAGGTTACTAGAGAGAAATTTAATATACAAAACTATTGCATTTTAACAGCAATAGTTAGAAAATATATTAAGAAACAAATACCATTTATATTAACAACAAAAATAAAATACCCAGGAATTGTTTTTAAAAGAGTTATGAAACACGAGGAAGAAAAAAACTGCAAATCATTTGTAAAGATATTACAAACCTAAATAAACAGAGAATACTGTGTTTATAGGTAAGAAATGTTAACGTTATAAAGATGTCAGTTCTCAAATCGACCTTTGGATTCAATGCAATTCCAATAAAAATTCCAACAGGCTTTTTGTGGTTGTTTTGATTTGGGGAACTTGAGGAGCTGCCTGATTCTAAAATTTATATGTAAGAGCAAATGCCTGGTAATAGCCAAGACATTCTTGACAAAAAAACAAAAGAGAAAGACATGTCTTTCTAGTTATTAAGATTTATTATAAAGCTCTAATAGACTGTGGTTTTAGGGCAGGGATAAATAAACTGGCCAATAAATAAAATAGAGTGCTTAGAAAAAAATCCATTTATACAAAGCAGGCATTGAAAAATAGTGGAGAAAGGATAGACTATCACACAAATAGTGCTTAGGTTATTTGCTACCAAATGGAAAGAAAACTTAAATTGTATCCCAATCCCACACAAAAATCAATCCTAGTAAAGACTTCAATATAAAATTTGAAATTTTAAAACTTTTAGGAGAATATCTTCGTGAACTTGGAGTAAGAAAGGATTTCTTAAAACACACAAACAGAGAGAGAGAGCGAGAGAGAGGGAGACCACTAACCATAGGTTGATAAATCAACTGTATTAAAATTAAGAACTTGTGTTTCTTAAAAGAAAATAAATAGAGCATTAAAACAAGTCACATGTTAGGGTTATATTCTTTTAGTACATGTAAATATAAAGATTAGAATCTGGAATGCAAAATGATTCTATGAATTAAGAAAATGACAAACAACAGAAAAAAATGAACAAAAGACAAACAGATGGCACAGAATAGGAAACAAAATGGCTCATAAATTCATGTAATGATACTTAGCCTCAATAGTAATCAAGAAAATTAAATTAAAAACATGAGACTGTTTCAGACCCAACAGATTGGCAGAACAAAGGGGAACAAAGCTTTATTATACCGGGTGTGGGCAAACAGGCAGAGCAACTCTCATGCACTGTTGTTAAGACAGCAAACTGATACAATCATTTTGGAAAATTCTTGGTATTACTTAGTAAAATTAAACATTCGCTTTGACCCCGCAAACTCGTTCCTAGATAGATGCCCGAGAAACTCTGAGATCTGTGCACAAGAAGACAAGGAACAAAACCTCCATGGCAGTTCTACTTGTAAGAAAAAAAAAGAGATATAACTCAAATGTCCATCTATAATAGAAAGGTAAACAAGTTGTGGGTTATTCCTATAATGGACTACCATACAGAAATAAAAACGAATGAACTAGAGCTATACCTATTAGATAGATGAGTTTCAAGATGATGGTGTTGAATGAAAAAAGCAAGTCAGTAAGTATGTGCAGTATGATCCCCTTTATATGGAGTTTGAACAGAGGAAAAAGAAATAATACATTGTTTGGGATACATACGTAGGCATTAAAATTACAAGGAAAAACAGATGAATGATTAATATGATGATGGTTACCTTGAGGAGGGGTATGTGCATAGATTTACTTGGAGAGGACCATACAAATGAGGTTTGAAAGCCCTAGTAATATCCTATTTTGTAACCTATGTGGTTGGTACATGAGTGTTCAATTTATTGTAATTATTTAAACTGCATATCTTAATATACTCTTTTACACTTATGAAATAGTTCACAACAAACATTTAACTAAACATTTACAATTCTACAAAGTAAATACTTAGATATTTTCTTTGATTAGTTACAAACATACTTCTCAAAACTTTTTAACAAGTTAAAAATTACACTCATAAGGAAGAATAACAACATGAGAAAACCTTATTAATTTTGCTAGTATTTACCTAATGATTATAGAATTACCAGGTAAGTATCTGAAATTTTCACGAACAATGAAGTTTATTCTATCATTTTGCTCCTAAGATATTATTACATAATAATTAGTTAAAACCTGATCCTTTGAAAATGTATGGATGCTTTATAATATACATAATATATTATTAAATTAGTACGAACATCTAATTTGTCCATAAACACAAATATTAAGTTGGAGAGGCATGCTCTAAAAATTTCTTACTGGGAAATCACAATATTTGGGGACCATTGCTCATGATATCTTAAGACAGCAGTTCACAAACTGAGGGTGCCTAATAGGAGCACACGTTAGAAATGCTATCTCCTGGACATAACCCTCAGGGTTCTGATTCAGTTAGCCTGCAGAGGGTCCTGGAATATGCATTTTAAATACACAGTCCAGGTGATTCTGTTGCAGGTAGTTTATCAGCCACAATTTTGCTCCAAGTTTAGACCCACCATTAAAGCCACATCTTTAGAGAGCTAGGTCCCTTGACTGTAGAACTGCTTTTACTGAACGTTGACATGATGCCATTGACCTGCACTGAGGGGCTCTGTAAGAAAGAAATACTCCCTTTTAAACTTATGGCAGAAACTAGAATGAAGATGGAGTTGATAAAATAATGTATGTAGAAGAGCAGATCATAGAGCCTGGTACACAGAGAATACTCAGTAAATGGTGCCTTCTTATTGTTATAATACGCTGTCTTCTTTATGAGAGCACTTAGGAGCTAGTTCTTTCTGTTTTTAGTATAGGGAATAATTATGCTATTCTTTGTAATACAGCAATTTGACAGTATGGTTCTTTGTTCAATTTATTTTGATACTTGGTTTAAGTGGCTGTCATAGCTAACAAAAGGTACCTCCCACGGACATGTAGATCCCAACAGAAGAAGTGAAACATTGGTTGGGCTTAATGAATAATTATACCTATTTTTTTCCCACCTCATTTACCAGTTATCCTAAGCAGTTTGTTTTTCTCCTATAGACACTCAATTGAGTGACTTTTGGATTGTTTGCTGGAGTGCTTTCAATCAAATTAGTGGCCCATCCTTGACACTTCATAGAATTTCATGGCATGCAAAAACATGTCTAATTTTTTGTACTATTTTATATTCTTCACCTTTTTCTTTCTCAGCTAGTTCTAAATAATGCCTTTTTGTTGTTATTTCTATATTCTTGTTATTGCCTTAAAGAGTTGTTGGAATACAGTGAGAGGAAGGGAAGGAACAGTGTGTGGGTAGTAGGCATGTCGCTAAGATGGAAAACGAATAGGGAGAAGGGATGCAAGTCTCTTGGTCTTCTCAAGGTCACATACACCCTGGTACAGTAATCAGAGTTAGGGTCCAGGTATCCAATTCACATCATAGTCTTTCATGGACATTTCTCTTTGCCTTTCATGATATTTATCCACTAATTCTATATTCACTGGGTAAATACTGACAAATTAGTAAGATCTTTCATGGAGAATTGTGTTATTTTTGTTTACAAAATGTTCTCCACTGTCTCATAAAAGGTTATGGCACATCTTTTTAGTTAACTTGGAGAAAATTTCCAATGTTCACTCTAAAGAATGATAGGGGAGCAGTGTGTCTTTGATTTCTCTCAGTTGTTTGTGTGTATGTGTGAACTTAGAATATTTATTTTAATTTTTAAATTTTCATTGATTGAATTTTCATGGGCCAAAGTAACTGTTATCAGTGCACCTAGTCTTTTATTTACTTTATTTATTTATTTATTTATTTTTTATGGAGTGTCACTCTGTCACCCAGGCTGGAGTGCAGTGGTGCGACCTCGGCTCACTGCAACCTCTGCCTCCCAAGTTCAAGTGATTCTCCTGCCTCAGCCTCCCGTGTAGCTGAGATTACAGGTGCATGCCTGTATAAAATAAAAAATAATTTTTTTTTATTTTTAGTAGAGACGGGGTTTCACCATGTTGGCCAGGCTAGTCTCGAACTCCTGACCTCAGGTGAACCACCCACCTCGGCCTCCCAAAGTGCTGGGATTACAGGCGTGAGCCACCACACCCAGCCAATCCACCACACCCAGCCAATCCACCTTGTCTTAATAGAACTTTATGAAGATCATTATTTTGAAAAGAGGTTCCTGTTTTTTCATGTAGTTGAGGACAAATTTTTTTCTTATATTTCTACCTACTGGAAACAGCAAAAAGATCCAAGTGCAGTAATAATTTGTTTGAAATGAGTTTACATAATTTTTAATAAATGAAAGCTGCTCATTTCCTTTTCATTAATGCTTCACTGTTTTAGCCACTTTTAATTTCTCTTGCCTTTTTGGAAAGCCTTGCATGCTTGATGATTTTCCTTTTTAAACAGCAATTTGGCATTCAGAAACATCAGCAAGCTTTTTGGAGACTATTCCCATAGGAAATTTCTGTAGGGAAGCTTTTTCGGTAAGTGGCTTAGTGTTTTTAAGATGTTAATAACTTTGCTGATTTGGTCTTTCCTCAGATTGCAGTTAAAATTAATTGAAAAAAACAACAACAAAACTCTCATACACTTTACCTGAAAGCCAAATAGTCTTAAGGAATGGTGGACAAGTAAAGTAGGCTTTGAAGTAATTAATGGTATATCCTTTCACGGACACTGAAAAGTCACGGTTTACTACAAGAAAAGATTCATTCTCATACCTTTTAAGTGATTTTCAGCAAGGAAAGAGAAATAATCAAAGCTAGATTAGTTGACATTCTTATAGACACAATTCTTTACTAGCTAATCATCTGCACATCTACAGTACTGTGATAATTAATGACATGGAGATAATGAAGGATTAAAAAAAAAAAACTTACTCCGTACACTTACTGTACACAGGGCTCCATGTTAAGTGACTTAGATTTGTCATTTCACTTAATACTCTAAACAACCATAAGGGATAAATAGTATTTATATTTTAATTTATTTTATAGATTTTATAGGTTCTCAGAAAGGTTAAACAACTTACCTGAGATTATCTGGTGCTCAAGATGATTAGCTTTAAATACTCATTTCTATGAGCCTGGAGTATAACAGAATATTCTGCTTAAAATACTCACTTTCCTTGGTCAGGCTTCCTCCTGAGTTTTCTTCAGCTTTTTCTGGCTATTCCTCAGTCTCCTTTGGTAATTTCTCCCTCTCTTCCCAGCCTCTAAATTTTGATCCCATAGATTCTCAGACCTCTTGACATTGAGGCCTCTTCTAGTCTCACGCTCTAAATTCTGCCCCAAGTTTAAAATACCATCTAAATGCATGTGATCTCTATATACGGTTATCACCATCCCAGACAAGTCTGACGAGCCCCTGTCATGGATCTTACTGCCTACTTGACACCTCTCCTTGGATCTCTTGCAGACATCTCATGCTCAACATGTACAAAAATCAACACGTGATTTTCTCCCTGAAACTATTTCTTACCAAATTTTTATCATCTTTGTAAATGATATCATTCATCCATCCAGATGTACACATCAGATACATCTTTGATTCCTATCTTTTCCTTCTCTCCGTATCCAAGACATGACTTAGCCTCATAACTTCAACTTCCAAAATGCAGCTCAATGCCTTCCATTTCTTCCCATATCCCAGGTCCCTGGGCTTTTGCCAGTACTCCAGCCTTGGCCTAACACAATAGTCATTTGTTTTTCCTGCATCCTCTCTTTCTCCCTCCAAATTCATTCTCCATATAGTATTGGGAATTATTTTTAAATGTAAATTGAATGATGCCATTCTCCGGCTTACGATCTTCTAGCAGCTTACTATCGTCCCAGAAATAAAATTCAGCCACCTTCTCGTGGCTGACAAGGTCCCTGCCTTCCTCTGCAGGCCTAACTCCTGCCAGCCTAGAACATTCCACGCACACTGGCTGCTTCTCATCCATGCAAACATGCCACTCCCGAGACTTCAGGCCTTGTCCCTGCTCTGGCTTCTGTCTGAAATGCCTACCCTGGTGCCCACTCCCGACTTCATCCTTGCTGGGTTTCTTTTTCGCCCTCAAATCTTGGCTGAGTGGTACCTTCTCAGAAGGCCTGCTTGAAATTGACCTCGGTTCTCCATCCCCATTTTTGAACCTAACATCCGATTTGTATTTTTCATAGGACTTTTCTCCTTTGGAAATTACATCTTTATTTGATATATTTACTTGTTTATTAATGCTCTGCCCTACTAAACCACAAATTCTATGAGGGCAGGGACTACATCTGGTTCATTTACAACTGTAGACCTAATACCTCGTACTAGGTAGGCAATCAATAAATATTTGATGAATGAATGAATCAAGTACATCCAACTGGTAAGCGGTGAAACCAGGATCCAAACCCAGATCTGTCAGACTCCAGAATGTGTGTAGTGCACTAGTATGCTATGAGTAAAAGTAACTCATGTTTGGTCAAATTTTAGTATGAAATAAATTTTTTAAAAATCGAACATTCCTTTTTAAAAAGTGTTTTTTTTTGTTTTGTTTTTTTGTTTGTTTGTTTGTTTTTTGTTTTTTGAGACAGTGTCTCTCTGTCACCTAGGCCGGAGTACAGTGCTGCGATCACAGCTTGCTGCAGTCTCGACTCCCTCAGGCTCAAGTGATCCTCCCACCTCAGCACTGCAAATAGCTGTGACTACAGAAATGGACCACCATGCTCAGCTAATTTTTATTTTTAATTTTTTTTTTTTTTTGAGATGGAGTCTCGCTTTGTCACCAGGCTGGAGTGCAGTGGTGCGATCTCGGCTCACTGCAACCTCCACTTTTTGGGTTCAAGCGATTCCCCTGCCTCAGTCTCCCAAGTAGCTGGGACTACAGGAGCGCGCCACCACACCCAGCTATTTTTTTTTTTTGTATTCTAGTAGAGTCAGGGTTTCACCATGTTGGCCAGGATGGTCTCCATCTCCTGACCTCATGATCCGCCCGCCTCAGCCTCCCAAAGTGCTGGGACTACAGGCGTGAGCCACCACTCCCGGCCTTAATTTTGATTATTTAGAGATAGAAGTCTCCCTGTGTTCCCCAGGCTGGTCTTGAACTCCTGGCCTCAATCGATCCTCCTGCCTTGGCCTCCCAAAGTGTTAGGATTACAGGTGTGAGCCACCACGCCTGCGCTCTTTTGAAATTTGATAATCCCTATGATAAGCTTCTGCTGGCAATAGTGTGCTTGATGGACCTCTCTCCTCCAAACTGACAGTGACGCTGCATAACATAAATTCTACTATATTTCACATTTTGTTTACTGAGATGCCCAGACAAGGTCCCTTGCAGTGATTCTTTCAACTCCATCAAAAATTCTATGAAATCAAATAAAATGGCCTGTGCAAGTTACTTAACTTCTTTGAATCACTGTTTCTTCATTTATAAAAACAGGAAATAACCATTTTTTAAGGTCACTGAAGGGGACTCAAGGAAATAATAGATGCTAAACCCTCATCACCGGGCTTAGTGTATGGTAAATAAACAATAACAGGTTCTTTTAAAATAAAAGTCTTAATTCTTTAGTTGACTGAAAGACTCTAATCTTTAGGGTCAACTAATCAGGTTTGGTGTTTTTTTTGTGTGTGTTTTTTTTTTTTTTTTTTGACTGTTTCTAAATCCTGACATAGTCCAGAGGAGCCAGACTGACACGTGAAGTCATCGAATGCTGATTAAACAGAGGGGGAGTAGGCAGGAGAGCTGCCTCAGAAAGGGCCCCTAGGAATCCACACACAGGCTCTAAATCTAGATGTATCAGGCTCAGAATTTCCACTGAGTTTACACTTTACGACTATAGCAAAGAACAGCTAGAATCCCAGGTTGAAGTTGATGCCATTCTTGGAATTTGTGTTTGGCTCATGAATTTACATTTCCTACCACAGTAAACTTCTTTTTATAAGAGGAATATAGCAGCACACTCATTCTTTTCTAAATTGCTTTTAAAGAGAAATTTGATTCAGTTTATCAATTCTGCCCAAACAACAACATAAAGGTAAAAACACTGATTTTTACTCATGAGAATTTCTTTTCTTTCTTTCTTTCTTTCTTTCTTTCTTTCTTTCTTTCTTTCTTTCTTTCTTTCTTTCTTTCTTTTTCTTTCTTTCTTTCCCCCCAGAGGACTTTGTTATCCAGCATTTGCCAAGTGCTCTATTTCATGTGGTTTAATGAAAGTCTTGGGTCCCATTTTTCTTTGAGATCAGTTTGAGAGGTCCATATTTCTTTCATTTAAAAAGTCAGAATTTCTTTTCTGAATCTCAAGTTTTGAGTATTATCATGACAAAGGTAGACAAGCTGGCAGAGGAAGCCGAAGAAGTTCTCAGAATCTGAAAGCCTAATAAATGGAGATGAATGGATTTTGAATAACAAAACTCTAGTGCCATCTAACTTTGGGAAAATAAAATAGAACCTTTGCTAAATATTGATGTGTTTTGGAGAATAAAATTTTAGAGCTAAATACTAAAAATTTTAAGATTCATCAACTTTTACCCTGAAGCTTTAAGTTACACACACACGCATACACACAAAAATGCAAAAATAAAATGGAACCTTAATGTCCTTAATAACTGGGACTTTATAGCTAAAGGAATGGCCAAGGAACTTGTTTCGCAGCATCCTCGGGGGAAATTACTGGTGTTTCTTAGTATCCTATTGATGTGGTTTGGGTCTGTGTCCCCGCCCAAATCTCATGTGGAATTGTAATCCCCAGTGTTGGAGGAGGGACCTGGTGGGAGGGGATTGGATCATAGGGGCAGATTTCCCCCTTGCTGTTCTCATGATAGTAAGTTCTCATGAGATCTAGTTGTTTAAAAGTGAGTAGCACCTCCCGCTCTCTCTCTTCCTCTTGCTCTGGCCATGTGAAGAAATGCCTGCTTTGCCTTCTGCCACAATTGTAAGTTTCCTGCGGCCTCCCAACCATACTTCCTGTACAGCCTGCTAAACTGTGAGCCAATTAGACACCTTCTCTTTATAAATTACCCAGTCTCAGGTAGTTCTTTACAGCAGTGCAAGAACGAGCTAATACATCTATGGATTTGCTCTAATATTTATTTACTCATTTTTCAAGGTAATCAGTTTAGCTTTTTTTCCATTTATGAAATCATGTGTTTATTTAAAGGCAGTGGCATCAAAGCCCTTGGTTGCTTGCTTTACATTGGTTTAGTGTCTACAAGGAATTACTTTGTTAAATTCAAACTTTTTTCCTCAGGGCAATCCTGTGTTTATATTTTATTTCTTAGTTCTTGATTCCAGTAGATTTTTACTCACTGAATTAAATCTGAGAGATTCATTGTTTTCTTTCTGATAGTATTTTCCAAATATCTCAGAATTAAGATCATTTTCTCTATCTTTGATAAAAATCTGCTTAGGGGTTTTAGTAAAGTGAATTTCCTTTTTTTTTTTTTTTTTTTACATTTTTGGAAGGAGACTGACTGTACCTTCAAGGGCATCTGGCCCACCTGGCTAACTCAGGGTTCCATGAGAAGTTGAGGCCAATGCAGGGGCCACCCACAGCCCTGGCCCTCTGCACTCCTTCCATCATCCTCAGCTGCACTTTGCAACATATAGGAACAAAATATCCTTGTGCTACCTTCACAAAACTAAAAGGTTCTGCCACTCTCATTTTTCCAACCCATGTACATTTACATTCTTCTGGTGAGAAGGAAAAACTCGGCCAGGTGCTGTGGCTCACGCCTGTAATCCTAGCACCTTGGGAGGCCGAGGCGGGTGGATCACGAGGTCAGGAGATCGAGACCATCTTGGCTAACATGGTGAAACCCCGTCTCTACTAAAAATACAAAAAAATTAGCCGGGCGTGGTGGTGGGCGCCTGTAGTCCCAGTTACTCGGGAGGCTGAGGCGGGAGAATGGCATGAACCCGGGAGGCAGAGCTTGCAGTGAGCCGAGATCGCGCCACCACACTCCAGCCTGGGCGACAGAGCGAGACTCCGTCTTAAAAAAAAAAAAAAAAAAAAAAAAAATCAACTTACAATAGGGTTGGGATAAGTAATGTGGGAATTGTTTTACAAATAAAACAATAAGAGCAGACTTTGCCAGTGATCAGTGACTCAAGTGCATGTTTTAGCGGTGGCATTGAAAGAACCCACTTCTAACAGCAGACCCAAAGATGAGGAGTTTTGTTGTTGTTTATGTTGCTGTTTCTATAACATGAGAGCACCTCAGAATGATACTTTCTGGTAGAAGACTTAGAAATACAACCATACATTTTACAAATTTTATTGTAAAATTTATCAAATCACCACACATTAAAGTTCTACAGTTGTATCTTCCTAACAAAGTATGCAAAACCCTAAGGCAGAGGACAGAGAAATAGTTGTTGCCGTGAGGTCTCTTGGTTTGCAAGAGTTAGGGGTGCCTCTTTGGGGATCTACCTGGAAAGTTGACTTTTGCCGAATTTGTGTTTCTGGAGTATAATGCCTAGAAATACAACAAAGTCCTTGTGGGTTGTGACTGTCTGAAACTATTCTTCAAAATAAGAAGCATTTAACTTTGTATGATGGAGACATGTTTTCCTGTGATTTAGGCAGCCTGTGTTTTCAGGGAAATTTGTCTAAACAAGATACAAATGTCAACTTAGTTTTGGGGTTCTACTTAAAATTAACTAATGAAAGTAATTTTGTATCAACATGACCAGGTTGAGAATACAAATAGAACAGGCTAACAACAGGAGACATGAATAAAATCCATAGTGGCCAAGTATCTCTAGACTCACTACATTCCTGCTAATCTTAAATTAATATTCAGAATACTTCCACTCTTCTTCTCTCTTGGAGATTCAAAGTAAGCATTTCAAATATGGGGCTTTTTTAGGGGGAAAAAATTGGGTTATGTGCTATCCACAGCCCTTTTTCTCATTTTATGCTTTGAATATTCTGATATGACACCTAGATGCTTCTGCATTATATGTTAAGTCATTTTCCCCTTGTCGAATTAGTTTGCCAAATTGCTTTCTGATCGTGACTTTTCAGGAGAGCAGACTCCGTCCCCTGCACGGCTGCAGATATTCCTTAACAGCATTTTGCAGTCATCAACGTAGAGACTCATGGAAAGTGTGAATAAATACACACTTGTAACTTCTTGATTTGAATGACCCACCTAGTTATATAAACCACATTTAAGGACCAGGATGGCCTGTTAAATTAAGAATGTTTTTGGCAGATAAAAGGGAAATACTAGGAACCTTGTTTTTTCTGCCTTTGGTTAACATATAATTAACTCAGTAACAAATTTCTATGTGCCTACAGTCTTGAAATTTAAATAATTCCACTAATACTAGGTTGATCCAACGCAAAGGTTTTCAAGCCTTAAAGTAATTAAATGTTATCTTTTTCAGTAAAATAATGTATTTTTGCCCAATTAAAATAGGGCAATATCGGTGGATTTTTGTACCCTAAAGTATTCCACAAAGGAATTCAAAAGTTAGGGGGAGAAAATAAAGAATTCTAAGTTTGTTTGTTCTTAAAAGGCTCAAAAGGTCACTATCATTCTAATATGTCTCATTAGAAGTTAAAAATTATTAAATAAACCTACACATAAAAGCATACATATATGAGTAGGTTTATGTTCTTCTTTAGTTAGTACTTTTGGATATATATAACTTCAACTTAGTACTTTTCCTCTAATTTCTCTGTCAGAATGCAGCATGATCTAGGACTGAACAATATTAAATACAGTGGCAAAGCATTTGTTATGAAAGATGCTACATTTGTGTAAGGGATTGTTATTTCGTCCAATAGGAGACTATCTTAATTTCAAAATTATTTCACCATCAGTATCTTATGCTACTGAACAAAACAACAGCTAACCTAGAGGCTAGATGCAAACAGAAACACACAACGAAATGTACAGTGAACATTCTTCCTCCATTTGTTTCCTTAGCAAATAGAATTTGATTGCTGAGTTCTTCATGGAATGATGAGTCTTTTGTATTTTATTTCTATCTATAGACACAGAGATCTGTCCCTCTGCCATGGAGATGTTGTCTTATATGAGAGTCGTATTTCAGCAAACATAATTAAACCATCACAAACAGAGCCTTCCATTAGTCAGAACAGAGTTATTGCCGTTGTGCTGTAGGTGCATGTGAAAGTATTTCACATTCTGCTGGGGGGAAAAGACCACTAAATATTGCATGGGTTTTTCTTGATCAGATTGTTTATTTCTCAACATCTTAAAGAGGTACTTAATTTTTCTTGACAGCTATTTTTGTCAACACATTAGAGAAACGGATATTAAGGGCAAAATTTGCATGGGATGCCAAGTGCTGGTATTTCCTGGAGTAATGCGTACGGTATGCATAAAAATAAATCCCATACTGTTCTCCAGAAAACGTCCTTGGCATTTGATGTGTTTTCTAAAGCTATATTCTCATAATGTCCTGCGTCTAAGGTTTCAGGGTGGTAGTGGGGCGGGGGACCGGAATCATAATTCGATTGGTGTGGTTCAATACACATTTGAGCTTCATGCAAAAATAAACAGCAGACACTAGAGGGCGCTGTTTCATTTCCTTTTTCACTGGACTGTGCTGCAGATGTCAGCGTATGGGGCACTGCAAAATATCATCATGGTCTTCTAAACAGGCCCAAATTGCAATGAAGTACAAGCTGTAGAGATCCCCTGAGTTTTAGGAGAAAGGCTGGGAAGTTCAAAACAGGGTGGATGGTAAATTAATTCAGAATTAGTAAAGAAGTAATTTTTTATTACCCTAGCCCTTCATGATTGTCTTTTGATAATTACTTAATTCCTCTGGTTGAAAGAAATTTTATTAGATTTCAAGCTCCCACTAAATGTCAAATGGTTCTAAAAATAGCTAGAATATTAGACAATGTTAAACAATTAGCGCTCTCAAGTTTTGTCGTTAGAATTTTGAGTAGAATACATACCTACTACTGGTTGAGAAACTAATTACAGAATTCCCAGTGGTCACAAATGTCAGACCCCAAGATGTTTCTTTTGATATCAAACAAATACCAAGTCAATAAGATTCCCAATTAACTTCGTTTTCAACCTTTGCTAAGCATGCACTTTCTCACCCCTTCACCCCGCAAGTAAATCTTTTAGAGCAGCAGGAAAAGGCAATGCTCTGAAGTTATCTTAACATATACTATCATATGGCTTCTCTTTGTAAAAAGAGAAGGGATTGGGTTCGAGGGGGTAGGAGAGTGGGTGGGGTTCCCCAGTTCAAGTGTCTAGTGCCACTTTGTGACATAAGAACATATGAAAAGAAGCTTCATGTTCTTATGTTACCTAGAGGAAAATTAAGGTATTGAGGCATGTAATAATTTGTGTTTCAAGTAGAGAATTAGTGGAAGAGTCAGGATCATCTCTCAGTTCTTCTGCCTTCCAGGAAGTCAACTAAAGGGCCCGTTTGTTTTCAGTTCTGTAGAAGTATTTCTCTTTAATCCAGATAGAAGTGACGGACTCAAAGGCAATGTGAGCACCATCACCACTGATTTCCAGTTCTTCTGCCTTCCAGGCACACGGGATGTTTGTGCTTCCTCATCTCTAAAAGTCAGTTACAGCCATCTGGCTGTCATTGACCAATGAAGTGGGAACAGAAGCGATATGTGTCACTTCAGGCAGAAGCACGGAAGAGCTACGGTGGGATTCTCCAGGCTGTCTTCCCTTGCAAAGGTGAATCTTGAAGCCACACATTGAGCTGACAACATTGAAGGATAATAAAGCCTCCAGCAACTTCCATTCCAGGATGACAATGAAAGCAGGGGCGACTTGTGTGAGTAAGAAAGAAACCTTTGTTAAGTCACTGAGATTGTGGGGGTGTTCTCCTTTTTTGAGACAAAAATCTCATTCTGTTGTCCAGGCTGGATTGCAGTGCCATGATCATGGCTCACTGCAGCCTCAACCGCCCAGGCTCAAGCGATCCTCCCAACTGAGCCTCCCAAGTAGCTGAGACTACAGGCATGCGCCACCACCCCTGGCTAATTTTTGTATTTTTTTTGTGGAGATGGGCTCTCACTATGTTGCTCAGGCTAGTCTCAATATCCTGGGCTCAGGTGATCTGTCTGCCTGGGTCTCCCAAAGTGCCGGAATTATAGGTATAAGCCACCACACCTGGCCTGGGGTTTTCTGTTGTGGCATTACAACCAGGTTTATCTTGATGGTAGACATGTGAAGGATGCCAACCAAGTGAGAAAACCAAAAGCCAAGAATGAAAGTGTGGCAAAAAGGATTTCAAGTAAAAAGCTTTAAGAAAAAAAACTAGAATTTTTAATCGAGGAATTTCTAATGACTTTAATATGGGAATCAATAAAGAGGTGTTGTCAAGTAAGTAATACACCATTTCCTCCTTGTATGTTTTCAGTTAAAATTCATCTAAAAAGGCAGGTGTGTTGGCTCACGCCCATAATCCCAGCACTTTAGGAGGCCAAGGTGAGTGGGTTGCCTGAGCCCGGGAGTTCGAGACCAGCCTGGGCAACATGGTAAAACCTCATCTCTACTAAAAATATAAAAAATTAGCTGGGCATGGTGGTGCATGCCTGTAGTCCCAGCTACTAAGAAGGTTGAAGTAGTAGGATCACTTGAGCACAGAAAGTCGAGGCTGCAATGAGCCAAGATCATGCTAATAGACTCCAGCCTTGGCAACAGGAGTGAGACCCTGTCTCAGGGGAAAAAAAAAAATCATCTAAGGATCTCAGGTAAAACCATAAATGACACATTATTATATTTAGCTCATAATCTGTTTGATTTCAAAAGCCTAAACCTTTAATGGCATGAATGGAAATGGTGCATAAGCTCATCTGAATCCTCTGATCTTGAAGTATGGGATAGTATGGAATCCAGGTTTTCATGCAAACAAAGAACACACACTTAGAGCAGGCGCAGTGGCTCATGCCTGTAATCCCAGCACTTTGGGAGGCCGAGGCAGGCAGATTGCGAAGTCAGGAGATTGAGACCATCCTGGCTAACATGGTGAAACCCCGTCTCTACTAAAAAAATACAAAACATTAGCGGGGCATGGTGGCGGGTGCCTGTAGTCCCAGCTATTCTGGGAGGCTGAGGCAGGAGAATGGCGTGAATCTGGGAGGCAGAGCTTGCAGTGAGCCAAGATCGTGCCACTGCACTCCAGCCTGGGCGATAGAGCCAGACTCCGTCTCAAAAAAAAAAAGATCACACACCTAACATCCATTTCTATCTTGCTGAGGACGAAGTACTGTGTCTCAGCTAGAATAGACAATGGCTTGACTCCTTAATCCATCTCAGTGCTCAGCATTTCCCCAAAAGATCTTAAGATGTCCAAGCAGAAGCAGACACATATTTTTCTCCATCAATACCAGTTGTCCGCTCAGCTGCACAGCATGTGTGACTGCTGAGATAAGCTCGAATGTGTTGACTCTCCCAGGGGGCTGGGAGAACAAAACAGCTCAGTGCACACTCAGTCTACACCGCACTTCTTCAGCCCAGTGACAGTGTGATGCCAGTGCTTTGACATATGAGACAATGGCCATTTCACTCACACTCATGTTCAAAGAACACTAAGCATTTTTGCTCAGCTTTTCAGCGTTCCCAGAAAAATATAAAAATGCTATCCGTTTAAATCCAAGACAACTTCAAAATAAACCTGAAGTGGGTTTTACTTTGTTTTTGCCCTTAGAAAGCAAAGCACTCCAGGGATATATTTAGCAGGCCTTCCATTTTGTAGTTAATTATAGCAGATACGTGTTTTTGTACCACTTACAAAAGAGGATGCTGCCTGCTTCTCTTCTACACCGAACCTTAATGCTCTGCTAATGCTCTGTAAGTACACATGAACAACAATATAATGGTGCATTAATGTTCTGGCCAACAGTGCCTTCCTGGTCCAATTGCTGCTACTTCTTTAAAAAAAAAATTCATGGCATGCTATTTAGTGTACAAAGCTTAACATCAATAAGAATGATTCCAGCCACCAAGTAATGAGAATACTTGAACACAAAGTTTATTTAAGGATAAAACACATTAAAAAGTATTTGGTTGATTTGTAAAAAGAGAAGGGATTGGGTTCGAGGGGGTAGGAGAGTGGGTGGGGTTCCCCAGGTCAACAATATCCCCAGTGGCCAAAGCTGCCATGGCAAGGTTGAAGGACACAGTGGGTGGAGAAGCGCCTCATAGACAGAACACGTGCATAACGTAGATCGGACACTTCCAAACACCAGCAAGATTCCTTAGAGGGAGTCAAACCTTCCAGTCATCACTTCAAAATCGTTCCAACAGGCCCTCTCTCTGTAAAAAACTGTGATCCAGAAATAGCACTGGCTTGACAGATTTCTCTGGTCAGATTTCCAGTCAGATTTCTCTAACCAGAATTTTTTTCCTTTACTGGTTTTTCATGTGAACCAAAGTCTCTAGTGACAACTGTTTGGGAATTTTACACAAGAGAGATACTTTCCATAACTGGCTTGTAGAAGCCCCGTTTCATACTCTGAAAGAGGAGCTTGGATGGTCGCTGGTTTCTGGACCTTGGACCATTGGAGGCAGGTGGCATCATTTTGAGATGCTGGACACTTTCAAATAGGTTTTGACTTAAGGGCACACACTTTTTATCCTACAGGGTGTTGAAGTAAGTAAATTACAGTACTTTATATAGCAACCTTGAGTTAATTATGAGGTCGTGCCTGATTTATAGACAAAATGCCATAATGAAATCTGGATCATGATGAGAAGAAGCGTCCAGACTTGAAGTTCCATTGAAGAATTAGAGGCTGTAAACAGAGAGGAACACAGTAAGCCCTATGGGGGGAAAAATACCTGTTTGATAGGGATCAGACATCTTTGCAGCACTCAGCTAAAGAAAGGAAACTTCATTGCCAAGAACCCATTTTACCTAAATGGCCCTAAGGCAGCAAAGTAGCAGAATTAATCCAATCTTAAGAGAGTCCTACTTTGGGAGGCCAACACAGGCGGATCATGAGGTCAGGAGTTTGAGACCAGCCTGGCCAATATGGTGAAACCCCATCTCTACTAAAAATACAAAAATTAGCTGGGCGTGGTGGCGTGTGCCTGTAGTCCCAGTTACTCCGGTGGTTGAGGCAGGAGAATCGCTTGAACCCGGGAGGCAGAGGTTGCAGTGAGCCAAGATCATGCCACTGCACTCCAGTCTGGGCAACAGAGCGAGACTCCATCTCAAAAAGGAAGAGAGTCCTGCCAACCTTGTAAGAGGTCAGGGAAACCATATGCTAAGGCTTGTTTGCTGGAGGAAGCATCCCAATCCCAACCTTAGCCCAAGTAGACTTGGCAGCCAGATGTAGGCCAATATATGGTCCTTAAAATTGGCTGGATAACTTGTTTTTTTAAATTACCTTTATATTTTAGATGAAAGAGCAAGGTTTTTTTGTTGTTGTTGTTTGTTTGTTTGTTTAATGGCCCTAGAATTCCTTGGGCATGTTCCCCATCTTTCCTTCTTAATTTCTGGAGTTTTCGAGGGAGAGTTGCTGACCGAGTGGCCTTCAAATCTGAATTTCTCCTTCTGGTGGTAAAGAACCTCCCGTGTCTCCCAGCTGCCTGCCCCAGGGTAGAAGAGTGTCTACCTCTGCAGCTCTTGCCGTCCTCCTGCAGGGTTCCTGTTACACAGCTGCAGAGAGGCCCATCCACCCGGCTCGTGCAAATCTGCTCACACCCTCCATTGTCCTCACACCAGTCCAGCCCTACAAAAGAGCAGTTAGGAAGATTAACTACAGACAGTTCAACCCTTCCACTGGTATTGAAGGGAAGGGCTTTAAAAAGAGAGGAGGACAGGCTGGGCGCGGTGGCTCACGCCTGTAATCCCAGCACTTTGGGAGGCCGAGGCGGGTGGATCACGCGGTCAGGAGATCGAGACCATCCTGGCTAACACAGTGAAACCCCGTCTCTACTAAAAATACAAAAAAATTAGCCGGGCGTGGGGGCGGGCACCTGTAGTCCCAGCTACTCGGGAGGCTGAGGCAGGAGAATGGCGTGAACCCGGGAGGCGGAGCTTGCAGTGAGCCAAGATTGCGCCACCGCTCTCCAGCTTGGGCGACAGAGAAAGACTCCGTCTCAAAGAAAAAAAAAAAAGAGGAGGACAAAGAAAACCTCAATGCCATTGCTGAATGTTTATAAGTAAATGAAAAGATGTCTTTAAGGAAGCAGGTGATGTTCTCAAACCGGTGTCCCCAACACCAGCCTCCTTGTCCACTGGACCCACATCAGAGGTGAAACACATCTGAGCCTTGAAATCCCGTTGTTTTAATAATTTAGGGTGTGTTTTAGGGAACATACATACTTTTTCTCCTAATAGGTCCCACTGAAATGATCTGTTCTTTGGGCTCTTTTGTGTAATCTGTGGCAATCCTGGAATTGTGTGGGCAAGTCTGCAAGACAGAATACCAGGGGGAAATTTTCACACAATTAAGCTGATAACTTATTCTTCACCATGTTTCACCTCTAAAAGAGGCAGTGGCTCTGGCCTCAAGCATTATGGAGGCTCAGATTAATTAGAACCAATGCATTCTTGATCATTGAATCCACTGGGACTCTAGGCTGTATGTTGAACAGAATTAAATACACTCTCCACACTGGAATTAGTAATTTTCCTTTTTAAAAACCTCTCCTTCATTTCTGATTGATCCACACTGGAATTAGATTCAAAGAGGCTCCCTGCCCAGGAATAGGATTGCTGTGTCTCATCAGACACTAATGTATGCAGTATCATCTGTAAGTTGCTCTGACCATAATTCACATCTTGATTCTGCAAATATGGTGTAAGCATAAAGCTGCAATGTTAAAGGCTAGGGGCCAGGTATTGGTGCAATCAAATCTTAAGGACCCAGCCCGTAAGTGGTGGAGGTGGAAGCCTGGCACAGAAGAGATCATTGGTTTGCTACCTCATCCCTCACCCCCTCCAGAGTCTGATGTAGATCAGGTGTGATGCAGGACACCTGGATACATTGTATCCTGAGCTCAAGAGTTTGGTTCTATAGTGGAGTGGAACTTGGCCCAGTGGTCATTAGAGTCAGGCCGCCTGGCTCCTTGAGACTCTAGTGCAGTGGTTCTCAACCAGGCCAACTGGCAACATCTGGAGACATTTTGGGTGTTGAAACTGGGGGAAGATGTGACTGGTATCCATGGGTAGAGGTGAGGGATGTTGCTAACATCCTACAGTGCACAGAACAGTCCTCCACAACAAAGAATTATTCAGTCCAAAACGTCAACAGTGCCGAGCTTTGAGAAACCCTAGTCTAGCGTTAAGCCAATGACTGGTTGACAATTCAGAGATAGAAGAGTAAATAGATATATTTCCCTGCGTTTTCTCTCACTGTCCCATCAAAGATGACTGTCCACCCCAAGCATCTATGGATGATTCCAGTCCGGTCACCTGGCATTCACGATCCTCATGTTGGGAAACCAAGACAGTGAGAAATAAGGCTAAGCACTTTGTTTTCACACTCTCACTTACGATTTTACAGGAGTACTTTTCTGAGTCGCAGAGTGACACTGCACAGTGAAGGTGAACTTCGTCGTAATCCCCTATGAATTTAAAGACGGTGACGTGAAAGCGACAGGTCAGGGAGACTGCATTCTCCTCGATGCCAATGGTGTTATCTTTGAGGTTCTGACACCTATTCAGAAAAAATAATGGAATCTTTGCTTCACATGTTTTCCTCTTACACCTTAATCCTCACCTTCAGTTCAAAATTTCACTTTTCACATAAAACCACCATAAATGGCAGAAATGCCTTTACATTTGAAAGTGACCCCTGGACTGCATGGGCTTGTCATTTATTATCACTCCCTCATGTTTTCATAGTTTGTTTTGAAACATCAAACACCACCTTGAATTAGTATCCTAACTGCAACTAAAAACAAAACGACTGCAGGGACCACATTCAATTTCCCCACGCTTCAGTTTCTCATTCCGCCCCCTCATAATGTTGTGTTCTACCGATACCAATTTAATAAACACAAGATTCATTCTTACTTCTTCTGTACTTTCTTCAGTTAATTATCAATGTTGGCAAGGGCCCCTGACTCAAACCCTGTTGGGAATACTTCCCATGCGTCAAAATAGGTAGGAGCTGGAGGGGAAAGAAGACCAGTCGGGGTGAGCTGCAGAGTCGTTTTGATGTAGCTGACTGCCACTTTTCTCAGCCCCCTTCCTTCTTGTGGCATTGAGCCAAGAGACAACCCCAGCCAAGACATATCTCAGGCACAGATAACTTGCTTCAATTATGTATAGTTCCCCAAATGCATCAGAGTCTCCTATAGTCCTGTGTCTTTTCATGCAATGTTTCCCCCACCTGGAAGATCTTCCTGCTCTTTGTCCAATGCATCACTCCTGCCCTTTCTCCAACACCAGTTCTACGGCAACCTCTCTTCTATAAATGTCCCCTAGTCATGCCCGGACCAGGCACAAACAAATGGCCTTTTCTGAGTTTGCCAACAGCCCTCTGTTGAGCTCCTTGAGTGCAGGAACCAAGTCATGTTCCTTACTGTGTCTCCAATGCACTACATGGCATGTGGCATGTATTTGAAAACTTCTGTCAGATGAATGAATGAGTGAACAAATGGTGTTGCCACAGCCAAGGCTGGCCCATAGGAGCTAAAAAGCTCTTTAAAATGATAAAGATAAAAAGGGTGACTCTTTTCCTTATATTTCCTTTCCCTAGTCCACAGGATTAAATAGCTTAGCAATAAGGAAAATTAAAAATTGAAGTTATCCTTCAGCATTCCCACACTTAATATGTTTTGTAATTAGCCTTCTAGGCAAAATGCAAGTTGCTTTTCAAGGCAATAGCCTCTGAAGTGCTTTGAAACAAAAACTTACATGCCATACTTTTCCTTAACACTGTTATTCATTTGGATAATCTGAACAGGCTCAAGGATTCTAAAGTGGTAACAGCTCTTCAGTCTTCACACTGACCTTCCCTCTTAACCAGACCACCAACTCTCTCCCAAGGAGATGACTTGACATTTAGGTATCAGAAAAACTGAAGGAAAGGGCATAGAGAGGCAGGAATGGCTATCTGGCTGGCTTTCTTAGAGTGAGCACAGACGCCAAGCACTAGAATCTTCTATTAACAATGAAACACCTGCCCTTTCCTCTGTCTAGCACCTGAAGAGACAAGAGAAGTGGCCTGCATGTCCCCAGACTTACAAGCCACTTGTAGAAGTTGCTGCTGTCTCTGCCCTCCACACAGCTGGAGAGAAACAACTGACCCCAAAATACTTTAGTGGACCCATTTTGCAGCTCATTCATTAAGCATTGAACATCTGCTTTCCCTACTCATTCATTAAGCATTGAACATCTGCTTTCCCTACTCATTAAGCATTGAACATCTTCTTTCCCTACTCATTCATTAAGCATTGAACATCTGCTTTCCCTACTCATTCATTAAGCACTGAACATCTGCTTTCCCTACTCATTCATTAAGCATTGAACATCTGCTTTCCCTACTCATTCATTAAGCATTCAACATCTGCTTTCCCTACTCATTCATTAAGAGCATTGAACATCTGCTTTCCTTACTCATTCATTAAGCATTGAACATCTGCTTTCCCTACTCATTCATTAAGCATTGAACATCTGCTTTCCCTACTCATTCATTAAGCATTGAACATCTGCTTTCCCTACTCATTCATTAAGCATTGAACATCTGCTTTCCCTACTCATTCATTAAGCATTGAACATCTGCTTTCCCTACTCATTCATTAAGCATTGAACATCTGCTTTCCCTACTCATTCATTAAGCATTGAACATCTGCTTTCCCTACTCATTCATTAAGCATTGAACATCTGCTTTCCCTACTCATTCATTAAGCATTGAACATCTGCTTTCCCTACTCATTCATTAAGCATTCAACATCTGCTTTCCCTACTCATTCATTAAGCATTCAACATCTGCTTTCCCTACTCGTTCATTAAGCATTGAACATCTGCTTTCCCTACTCATTCATTAAGCATTCAACATCTGCTTTCCCTACTCATTCATTAAGCATTCAACATCTGCTTTCCCTACTCATTCATTAAGCATTGAACATCTGCTTTCCCTACTCATTCATTAAGCATTGAACATCTGCTTTCCCTACTCATTCATTAAGCATTGAACATCTGCTTTCCCTACTCACTCATTAAGCATTGAACATCTACTTTCCCTACTCATTCATTAAGCATTGAACATCTGGTTTCCCTAAATGCACTGGAAAAAAACAATAATCACATCCCTCCAAGAAAGGTTAGGAGGACTGATGGATTCACCTACATAAAGAAGTCACTTCCCACCCAACCACAGTTTAATTTGAAGACGTTTATTCAGACAGACACTGGGGTAAGCTGAGATTTATGAACATGCTCTCCGGCTCACTCTCCCTCTCTGGGTCAAGTCTATTAAATACCATTTTTAAAATGCTAAATGCTACCACATCCTTCAAAGGAGACATAAGCCCTATAATCTGGGTTTGCATTTGTAGAGTGTCTCATATCTTAACCCTTTTATGTTGCGAAAGGAATACAAAAAGAGGAGGAAGAAACATGGACAAAAGGATAATTGTGATGCTCACCCACTCATCTAGGCCTGCAGGACACCAAGTAGTCACCACGTCCCTCCCTTTCCCTTTGAGGAGGATAAACATCAATTCAGAAATACAAATACCTTAGTGAGGTCTTTGCTGAAAATTCCACAGTACACCTCAGCAACCCATGCCATTCACCACACCTGGTCACTTAGGGAGTCGGTGTGTCTTGAAACCTAAAAGGATTTCTTCTCTGCTCCTTGATAGTTGTGTGACCTTGAGTGAGCGCTGTGCCTAGCCTCTCTGAGCCTGTTTCATCTGCAAACTAGTGAATGTCTATTGTTTGTCTTCCCAGAACCACACCCTTCTTCTCTTGGAAAACCATGCCTCTTTCCCTCAACCATAAAGCTACTTACAGTATCCACAGCACTCTCTGACCACCACAGGGATGGGTGCTGACCAGGCCAGGCAAATGCAATGGTGCATAACCCTACCCACCAAATGAAGGATAAGCAAGTGGTCCAGGATAGGCCTGGGATTCCCTGCACTGGAGTTAGAAGTGCTCTCTCCTCATTGGTTACAATGCTATAAGAATGTGAGTCTAGGATTGCCAGTGTCTAACAAGGTCAATGAGAGAGAGAGACAAAGAGGAGGAGACAAGGGATAAAGCAAGAGGAGAGTGTTGATAGCATCTGGCTCCCTGGATCTAATCATCTCTGAAGTCACATCCACTCCTGTGATTTGGTGTTGTAACCATTAAATGCCTTGGTTTTTGCATAAACTAGTTTGAATGGGTCTCTACCACTTAGAATTGTGATTAATACATTCACCTGCTTTAAGAATTATTGTAGGCTGGCTGGCATGGTAGGTCACACCTGTAATCCTAGCACTTTGGGAGGCGAAGATGGGAGGATCACTTGAGCCTAAGAGTTCAAGACCAGCCTGAACAACACAGGGAGACCAAGTCTCTACGAAAAATAGAGAAAATTAGCTGGGCATGGTGGTGTGTGCCTGTAGTCCCAGCTACTCAGGAGGCTGAGGTGGGAGGATCACTTGAGCCCAGGACGTTGAGACTGCATTGAGCCATTATCATACAACCACACTCTAGCCTGGGCAATAGAGTGAGACTAAATTCATTCAATGAATGAAATTAAAAAATACAATCAAGAGCTTCAACAATATGCTAGATCAAACAGAATAAAGAATTATTTTTTTTGAGATGGAGTCTTGCTCTGTCGCCAGGCTGGAGTGCAGTGGTGAGATCTCAGCTCACTGCAACCTCTGCCTCCTGAGTTCAAGTGATTCTCCTGCCTCAAGTTGAATAGAGCATCAAAGAAAGAACACTGGAATTCAACAAAAGAGGGACAGAGGATCTCCGAGGCATGAAAATAAAGGGAAACAAAGCAGTTGGCCCTGCCAGGGTCAGCTTGGAGCCAGGAGAAACTTCCCAATATGGGAAAAGGTAATTGAGAGATCCCCAGTGGTCCATATTCCACTGCAGACTTTCGTAATGCTAGCCATGGGAGAGCCATTTGGGCCCTGAGACTAGTATAGGAAGCTACCCAGACTCCACATAACAGTATTGTTCCAGAGAAGGAGTTCACACTGAATCGCACACCCTCCAGCCCCTCAGACCCAAGCAGCTGCAGCATGGTGCCATGTTGCGAGCCCAGCCCCCGTCAGACTATATCTTGCCCTGGGGCCCAACATCCCCTGCTTCTTCACATCCCTGGAGCCCTGCTAACACCCACCCCTCATGCCTACTTAAAAGGATGCAGGTTCACAACACTGGCTGGACTCAGTGGTGCAGGTGGGTCCAAGCACTCTAACCCACACAGTGTCCTACACCCTGGGGAACAGGTGATGCAGTGCGCCAGGGAGGCTGTCCCCAGGAAAAAGGGGCTGACGCACAAGCTCCCCAGAACCCAAGAGCCACCTGCCTGCAGCTGCTGCCACTGTCAGCAACTCTGCCACTTCCCCAGCAGCAGGGCCACCAGACACCCATATACACCTTCAGGGGGCCTGAAGATCAGCCCACCAGGTGCTGTCATGGGGCCTGAGGACAGGCCTGCCCCACCCACCACCACTGGTGCCCATGTATCCTGTCGAGGGATCTGGGGTTTGACTCACCCACCAGTCACCACTGGCTCCCATACACATCTTCCAGGGGTCTAAGGACAGGCCTAACCAACGTGTTGCCACCACCACTGGCAACCAAGTGTGTCGTTGGGGGGATTTAGGGATCAACCTGCCCCATCCACTAACACCGATGGCTGCATGTACCATCAGGGGGGCCTGACAACAGACCTGCCCCACCCACTGCCAGTGCTCACATGCACCATCGGGGGCTTGGGGATCAGCCCACCCCTGTGCTCACACACATTATCAAGGGATCTGAAGATAGGCCTGCCCTGCTTGCCACTCCCAGCACCCATGCACATCATCTGGAGGCTTATGGATTGCCCTACCCTGTCCACCACTGCCAACGACTACATTTGCCTTTAAAATTTGCCTTTTGGGAAACTGAGGGCAGGCCCACCCAGCCTGCCACCACTGCCAGAACTCACCAATGTGCCACCTGAGGACCTGAGGACTGGCCCACCACCACCACCACTGGCACTCCCATGTGAAGCTCTGGGGCCTGAGAGTTGGCCCACTGCTGCTACTGCCATCACTGATGCCACACACACCACTTAGGGCCTGAGGACCCACCCACCTGGCCCACTGCTACCACTGACCAAGGATTGGCCCACCCAGACCTTCTACCATGAGTGCTTGTTAATGCCACCCAGGGGCCCAAAAGCTGGCATGCCTAGCCTGCTATCACCACCACTGGTACCCGAGGACTGGCCCATCTGGCATCCCTGTCCCCAGCAAAGCCTCACCATATCCTCCATTAATAGCCTAAGTCACTGACTAACTCACAGACATGACTGATGCTGATTACAGCTGAAGAAATCATATGGAGACCACACTGCTGTGTCCACTCAGAATCAAAGCCAAAGTCAAACCCAACCAACACTATAGATACATCTATAGGAAAAACTCTGTCCCTACAAAAGCCAATCCATAAAATTGGAGAAGCAACTATTATACCAGATGCACAGAAACAAACATAAAGACATAAGAATATAAAAAAGCAAGGACACAATAAGAACACAATAATTCTCCAGTGACTGGGCATGGTGGCTCACGCCTGTAATCCCAGCACTTTGTGAGGCCAAGGTGGGTGGATCACCTGAGGTTGTGAGTTTGAGATAGCTTGACCAACATGGAGAAACCTGTCTCTACTAAAAATACAAAAATTAGCTGGGCATGGTGGCACATTCCTATAATCCCAGCTACTCAGGAGGCTGAGGCAGGAGAATCACTTGAACCCGGGAGGCAGAGGTTGTGGTGAACTGAGATTGCGCCATTGCACTCCAGCATGGGCAACAAGAGCAAAACTCCATTTCAAAAAATAAAATCATAATAATAATAATAATAATAATTCTCCAGCAACACATTCCAACAAAAAAAGAAATCTATGAAATACCTGAGAAAGAATTCAATATAATGATATTAAAGAAGTTCAGTGAGATACAGGAAAACACAAATAAACAATACAAAGAAATCAGAAAAATAATTCATGATCTGAGTGAGAAATTCAACAAAGAGACAGATAAAAAGAACCAAACAGAAATTTTGGAACTGAAGAATTCAATGAATGAAATTAAAAAATACAATCAAGAGCTTCAACAATATGCTAGATCAAACAGAATAAAGAATTATTTTTTTTGAGACGGAGTCTTGCTCTGTCACCAGGCTGGAGTGCGGTGGTGAGATCTCAGCTCACTGCAACTTCTGCCTCCTGAGTTCAAGTGATTCTCCTGCCTCAGCCTCCCAAGTAGCTAGGACTACAGACACGCCACCAGACCTGGCTAATTTTTTGTATTTTTAGTAGAGACAGGGTTTCACTGTGTTAGCCAGGATGGTCTCAATCTCCTGACCTCATGATCCACCCGCTTCGGCCTCCTAAAGTGCTGGGACTACAGGTGTGAGCCACTGTGCCTGGCCAGAATAAAGAATTTTAAAACTTGAATACAGGTCTTTGAAATAACCTAGTCAGGCAAAAAAAAAAAAAAAAAAGGAATAAGAAAGAAAGAAGAAATCCTATGTTAAATATAAGACATCATAAAGTGACCAAATATACCAATTTGGGGAGTTCCAGAAGGGCAAAAGATGTCCAAAGGCATAGAAAACCTATTTAATGAAATAATAGCTGAAAACTTCCCAAGTCTTGCAAGAGATATAAACATCTACATATAGGAAGCTCAAAGATCCCAAATTGATTCAACCGAAAAATTGTCTTCTCCAAGGCATATTACACTCAAAGTGACAAAAGCCAAAGACAGAATTCTAAAAACAGTGAAAGAAAAGCATCAAGTTATATATAATAGAACCCCATCAGACCAACAGCAGATCTCTCAGCAGAACTCTTGTAGGATAGGAGAGAATGCAAGGATATATTCAAAGTGCTGAAATAAAAAAAACCTGCTAATCAAGAATACTATACCCAGCAAAGCTATCCTTCAAAAATGAAGAAAAATAGTATTTCCCAGACAAGCAAAAACTGAGGGAATTCACCACCAGGCCAGCCCTACAAGAACATTTAAGTGTGTCCTACATTTAGAAGTGAAGGGTTGATATATGACATAATAAAAACACACAAAAGTGTAAACTCAATGGCAGATCATATACACAAAACCGAAAGAGAAGGAGTCAAATGTTACTGCTACAGAAAGCCACCAAACTACAATAATAAATGATAAGAGAGAATGAAACAAAGGGTACACAAACAACCATAAAACAATAAACAAAATGACAGGAATAACTTCTCACTTATCAATAATAACCTTGAATATAAGCAGATTAAATTCCCCACTTAAAAGATACAGACTGGTTGAACAGCTAAAAAAAAAAAAAAACAAACAAACAAACAAAAAAAACTCAAATATATGCTGCCTACAAGAAACTCACTTCACCTGTAAAGACACACATAGACTGAAAGTAATGGGATGGAAAAAGATAATTTGTGACAATCAAAACCAAAAGCAAGCAGGAGTAGCTATATTTGTGTCAGATATAACAGACTTTAAGTCAAAGGCTGTAAAAAGAGACAAAGAAGATCATTACATAATGAAGAAAGGACAAATTCAGCAAGAGGATACAACAATTCTAAATATATATCCATCCAACATCACAGCACCCAAATATGTAAAGCAAATATTATTAGATCTAAAGGGAGAGATAAATTCCAAAGTAAAGAAAATTGGGGAATTTAACACCCTACTCTCAACATTGGAAAGAAAATCAACAAAAAAAATTTACTTAAATTGCACTTTAGACCAAATGGACTTAACAGGCATTTACAGAATATTTTACCCAACAGCTGCAGAATACACATTTTTCTCATTAGTACACAGAATATTTTCCAAGATAGACCGTATGTTAGGCCAAAAACCAAGTCCTGACAAATTTTTAAAAATTGAAATCATATCAACTATCTTCTCAGACCACAATGGAATAAAACTAGAAATCAATAATAAGAGAAATTTTGGACACTGAACAAATACTTAGAAATTAGGCCACATGCTCCTGAACAAGCACTGGGTCAATGAATAAATTAAGAAGGAGATTTAAAAAAAATTTTTAAAAACAAGTGAAAATGGAAACAGAACATACCAAAACATGTGAGATACAACAAAAAAGAGTGCTAAGAGGAAAATTTATTGCAATATACACCTACATCAAAAAAGTAGAAAATTAAATCCAAAATTAGTAGAAGGAAAAATATAATAAAGATTAGGCCAGAGCTAAATAAAGTAGAGATCAAAACAAGCAAAGAATCAATGAAATGTAAATTTGGTTTTTTAAAAGATAACAAAATGATAAAGCACCAGTTAGACTAACTTAAGGGGAAAAAAGAGAGAAAACCCAAGTAAAATCAGAAATAAAAAAGAAGATAATACTACTGATACCACAGAAATACAAAGAATCATTACAGACTGTTATGAACAACTATACACTTTGTAAAACCTACAGAAAATGGATAGATTCTTGGACACATACAACCTACCAAGGTTGAATCAGGAAGAAATAGAAAACCTGAACAGACCAATAACTAATAACAGGATTGAATCAGGAACAAAATGTCTCTCAGCAAAGTCCAGGACTAGTTGTCTTTACTGCTAAATTCTACCATACTTACAAAGAAGAACTAATACCAATGCTTCCTAAACTATTTCAAAAAAAACTGAAGATGAAGGAATTTGGGGATTCTTCCTAGCTCATTCTACAAGACTAGCATTACCCTGATATCAAAACTAGACCAGGACACCACACACACACACACACACACACACACACACACACACACACACACTAACTACAAGCCAATATCTAAACATAGATGCAAAAATCCTCAAGAAAATACTAGCAAACTGAATCTAACAACACATCAAAAAGATAATACGCCATGATCAAGCAGGATTTATTCCAGGGATGCAAGAATGTTTCAATATATACAAATCAATAAATGTCATATATCACATAAGAATGAACAATAGAACGGTTGGGAGCCAAGATGGCTGAATAGGAACAGCTCCAGTCTACAGCTCCCAGCGTGAGCGACGCAGAAGACGGGTGATTTCTGCATTTCCATCTGAGGTACTGGGTTCATCTCACTAGGGAGTGCCAGACAGTGGGCGCAGGACAGTGGGTGCAGTGCACCGTGCACGAGCCGAAGCAGGGCGAGGCATTGCCTCACTTGGGAAGCACAAGGGGTCAGGGAGTTCCCTTTCCTAGTCAAAGAAAGGGGTGACAGACGGCACCTGGAAAATCAGGTCACTCCCACCCCAATACTGCGCTTTTCCGACGGGCTTAAAAAACAGCGCATCAGGAGATTATATCCCACACCTGGCTCAGAGGGTCCTATGCCCACAGAGTCTCGCTGATTGGTAGCACAGCAGTCTGAGATCAAACTGCAAGGCGGCAGCAAGGCTGGGGGAGGGGCGCCCACCATTGCCCAGGCTTGCTTAGGTAAACAAAGCAGCCGGGAAGCTCGAACTGGGTGGAGCCCACCACAGCTCAAGGACGCCTGCCTGCCTCTGTAGGCTCCACCTCTGGGGGCAGGGCACAGACAAACAAAAAGACAGCAGTAACCACTGCAGACTTAAATGTCCCTGTCTGACATCTTTGAAGGGAGCAGTGGTTCTCCCAGCACGCAGCTGGAGATCTGAGAACAGGCAGACTGCCTCCTCAAGTGGGTCCCTGACCCCTGACCCCCGAGCAGCCTAACTGGGAGGCACCCTCCAGTAGGGGCAGACTGACACCTCACACGGCCGGGTACTCCTCTGAGACAAAACTTCCAGAGGAACGATCAGACAGCAGCATTTGTGGTTCACGAAAATCTGCTGTTCTGCAGCCACCACTGCTGGTACCCAGGCAAAGAGGGTCTGGAGTGGACCTCTAGCAAACTCCAATAGACCTGCAGCTGAGGGTCCTGTCTGTTAGAAGGAAAACTAACAAACAGAAAGGACATCCACACCAAAAACCCATCTGTACATCACCATCATCAAAGACCAAAAGTAGATAAAACCACAAAGATGGGGAAAAAACAGAGCAGAAAAACTGGAAACTCTAAAAAGCAGAGCGCCTCTCCTCCTCCAAAGGAATGCAGCTCCTCACCAGCAACGGAACAAAGCTGGACAGAGAATGACTTTGACGAGTTGAGAGAAGAAGGCTTCAGACAATCAAACTACTCCGAGCTACAGGAGGAAATTCAAACCAAAGGCAAAGAAGTTGAAAACTTTGAAAAAAATTTAGACGAATGTATAACTAGAATAACCAATACAGAGAAGTGTGTAAAGGAGCTGATGGAGCTGAAAGCCAAGGCTCAAGAACTACGTGAAGAATGCAGAAGCCTCAGGAGCTGATGTGATCAACTGGAAGTAAGGGTATCAGTGATGGAAGATGAAATGAATGAAATGAAGCAAGAAGGGAAGTTTAGAGAAAAAAGAAGAAAAAGAAATGAACAAAGCCTCCAAGAAATGTGGGACTATGTGAAAAGACCAAATCTATGTCTGATTGGTGTACCTGAAAGTGATGGGGAGAATGGAACCAAGTTGGAAAATACTCTGCAGGATATTATCCAGGAGAACTTCCCCAATCTAGCAAGGCAGGCCAACATTCAGATTCAGGAAATACAGAGAACGCCACAAAGATACTCCTCAAGAAGAGCAACTCCAAGACACATAATTGTCAGATTCACCAAAGTTGAAATGAAGGAAAAAATGTTAAGGGCAGCCAGAGAGAAAGGTCAGGTTACCCACAAAGGGAAGCCCATCAGACTAACAGCGGATCTCTTGGCAGAAACTCTACAAGCCAGAAGATATTTGACATTCTTAAAGAAAAGAATTTTCAACCCAGAATTTCATATCCAGCCAAACTAAGCTTCATAAGTGAAGGAGAAATAAAATACTTTACAGACAAGCAAATGCTGAGAGATTTTGTCACCACCAGGCCTGCCCTAAAAGAGCTCCTGAAGGAAGCACTAAACATGGAAAGGAACAACCGGTACCAGCCACTGCAAAAACATGCCAAATTGTAAAGACCATCGAGGCTAGGAAGAAACTGCATCAACTAACGAGCAAAATAACCAGCTAACATCATAATGACAGGATCAAATTCACACATAACAATATTAACTTTAAATGTAAATGGACTAAATACTCCAATTAAAAGACACAGACTGGCAAATTGGATAAAGAGTCAAGACCCATCAGTGTGCTGTATTCAGGAAACCCATCTCACATGCAGAGACACACATAGGCTCAAAATAAAAGGATGGAGGAAGATCTACCAAGCAAATGGAAAAAAAAAAGGCAGGGGTTGCAATCCTAGTCTCTGATAAAACAGACTTTAAACCAACAAAGATCAAAAGAGACAAAGAAGGCCATTACATAATGGTAAAGGGATCAATTCAACAAGAAGAGCTAACTATCCTAAATACATATGCACCCAACACAGGAGCACCCAGATTCATAAAGCAAGTCCTGAGTGACCTACAAAGAGACTTAGACTCCCACACAATAATAATGGGAGACTTTAACACCCCGTCAACATTAGACAGATCAACGAGACAGAAAGTTAACAAGGATACCTAGGAATTGAACTCAGCTCTGCTCCAAGCAGACCTAATAGACATCTACAGAACTCTCCGCCCCAAATCAACAGAATATACATTCTTTTCAGCACCACACCACACCTATTCCAAAATTGACCACATAGTTGGAAGTAAAGCTCTCCTCAGCAAATGTAAAAGAACAGAAATTATAACAAACTGTCTCTCAGACCACAATGCAATCAAACTAGAACTCAGGATTAAGAAACTCACTCAAAACCGCTCAATTACATGGAAACTGAACAACCTGCTCCTGAACGACTATGGGTACAAAACGAAATGAAGGCAGAAATAAAGATGTTCTTTGAAACCAACGAGAATAAAGACACAACATACCAGAATCTCTGGGACACACTCAAAGCAGTGTGTAGAGGGAAATTTATAGCACTAAATGCCCACAAGAGAAAGCAGGAAAGATCCAAAATTGACACCCTAACATCACAATTAAAAGAACTAGAAAAGCAAGAGCAAACACATTCAAAAGCTAGCAGAAGGCAAGAAATAACTAAAATCAGAGCAGAACTGAAGGAAATACAGACACAAAAAAACCCTTCAAAAAATTAATGAATCCAGGAGCTGGTTTTTTGAAAGGATCAACAAAATTGATAGACCGCTAGCAAGATTAATAAAGAAGAAAAGAGAGAAGAATCAAATAGACGCAATAAAAAATGATAAAGGGGATATCACCACCGATCCCACAGAAATACAAACTACCATCAGAGAATACTACAAACAGCTCTACGCAAATAAACTAGAAAATCTAGGAGAAATGGATAAATTCCTCGACACATACACCCTCCCAAGACTAAATCAGGAAGAAGTTGGATCTCTGAACAGATCAGTAACAGGCTCTGAAATTGTGGAAATAATCAATAGCTTACCAACCAAAAAGAGTCCAGGACCAGATGGATTCACAGCCGAATTCTACCAGAGGTACAAGGAGGAACTGGTACCATTCCTTCTGAAACTATTCCAATCAATAGAAAAAGAGGGAATCCTCCCTAACTCATTTTATGAGGCCAGCATTATCCTGATACCAAAGCCAGGCAGAGACACAACCAAAAAAGAGAATTTTAGACCAATATCCTTGAAGAACATTGATGCAAAAATCCTCAATAAAATACTGGCAAACCAAATCCAGCAGCACATCAAAAAGCTTATCCACCATGATCAAGTGGGCTTCATCCCTGGGATGCAAGGCTGGTTCAATATACATAAATCAATAAATGTAATCCAGCATGTAAACAGAACGAAAGACAAAAATCACATGATTATCTCAATAGATGCAGAAAAGGCCTTTGACAAAATTCAACAACCCTTCATGCTAAAAACTCTCAATAAATTAGGTATTGATGGGACATATCTCAAAATAATAAGAGCTATCTATGACTAACCCACAGCCAATATCATACTGAATGGGCAAAAACTGGAAGCATTCCCTTTGAAAACGGGCACAAGACAGGGATGCCCTCTCTCACCACTCCTATTCAACATAGTGTTGGAAGTTCTGGCCAGGGCAATTAGGCAGGAGAAGGAAATAAAGGGTATTCAATTAGGAAAAGAGGAAGACAAATTGTCCCTGTTTGCAGATGACATGATTGTATATCTAGAAAACCCCATTGTCTCAGCCCAAAATCTCCTTAAGCTCATAAGCAACTTCAGCAAAGTCTCAGGATACAAAATCAATGTACAAAAATCATAAGCATTCTTATACACCAATAACAGACAAACAGAGAGCCAAATCATGAGTGAACTCCCATTCACAATTGCTTCAAAGAGAATAAAATACCTAGGAATCCAACTTACAAGGGACGTGAAGGACCTCTTCAAGGAGAACTACAAACCACTGCTCGATGAAATAAAAGAGGATACAAACAAATGGAAGAACATTTCATGCTCATGGGTAGGAAGAATCAATATCGTGAAAATGGCCATGCTGCCCAAGGTAATTTACAGATTCAATGCCACCCCCATCAAGCTACCAATGACTTTCTTCACAGAATTGGAAAAAACTACTTTAAAGTTCATATGGAACCAAAAAAGAGCCCACATCACCAAGTCAATCCTAAGCCAAAAGAACAAAGCTGGAGGCATCACGCTACCTGACTTCAAACTATACTACAAGGCTACAGTAACCAGAACAGCATGGTACTGGTACCAAAACAGAGATATAGATCAATGGAACAGAACAGAGCCCTCAGAAATAACGCCGCATATCTACAACTATCTGATCTTTGACAAACCTGAGAAAAACAAGCAATGGGGAAAGGATTCCCTATTTAATAAATGGTGCTGGGAAAACTGGCTAGCCATATGTAGAAAGCTGAAACTGGATCCCTTCCTTACACCTTATACAAAAATTAATTCAAGATGGATTAAAGACTTAAACATTAGACCTAAAACCATAAAAACCCTAGAAGAAAACCTAGGCTTTACCATTCAGGACATAGGCATGGGCAAGGACTTCATGTCTAAAACACCAAAAGCAATGGCAACAAAAACCAAAATTGACAAATGGGATCTAATTAAACTAAAGAGCTTCTGCACAGCAAAAGAAACTACCACCAGAGTGAACAGGCAACCTGCAAAATGGGAGAAAATTTTTGGAACCTACTCATCTGACAAAGGGCTAGTATCCAGAATCTACAATGAACTCAAACAAATTTACAAGAAAAAAACAAACAACCCCATCAAAAAGTGGGTGAAGGACATGAACAGACACTTCTCAAAAGAAGACATTTATGCAGCCAAAAAACACATGAAAAAATGCTCACCATCACTGGCCATCAGAGAAATGCAAATCAAAACCACAATGAGATACCATCTCACACCAGTTAGAATGGCAATCATTAAAAAGTCAGGAAACAACAGGTGCTGGAGAGGATGTGGAGAAATAGGAACACTTTTACACTGTTGGTGGGACTGTAAACTAGTTCAACCCTTGCAGAAGTCAGTGTGGCGATTCCTCAGGGATCTAGAACTAGAAATAGCATTTGACCCAGCCATCCCATTACTGGGTATATACCCAAAGGACTATAAATCATGCTGCTATAAAGACACATGCACATGTATGTTTATTGCGGCACTATTCACAATAGCAAAGACTTGGAACCAACCCAAATGTCCAACAATGATAGACTGGATTAAGAAAATGTGGCACATATACACCATGGGATACTATGTAGCCATGAAAAATGATGAGTTCATGTCCTTTGTAGGGACATGGATGAAATTGGAAATCATCATTCTCAGTAAACTATCACAAGAACAAAAAACCAAACACCGCATATTCTCACTCATAGGTGGGAACTGGACAATGAGAACACATGGACACAGGAAGGGGAACGTCACACTCTGGGGACTGTTGTGGGGTGGGGAGAGCGGGGAGGGATAGCTTTAGGAGATACACCTAATGCTAAATGACGAGTTAATGGGTGCAGCACACCAGCATGGCACATGTATACATATGTAACTAACCTGCACATTGTGCACATGTACCCTAAAACTTAAAGTATAATAATAATAAAATAAAATAAAAAAAGAATGAACAATAAAAACCATATGATTATCTGAATAGATGCACAAAAAGCATTTGATAAAATTCAATGTCCCTTTATGATAAAAATTCTCAAAAAATTAGGCACAGAAGGAACATGTCTCAACATAATGAAGGTCATATATGACAAACCCACAGATAATATCATACTGAACGGAGAAAAGCTGAAAGTACTGGAACAATTCCTGGGTGCTCACTCTCATCATTCCTATTAACATAGTACTAGAAGTCCTAGCCAGTTCAATCAAGCAAGAGAGAAAAATAAAAGACATCCAAACTGGGAAACAGAAAGTCAAACTGTCCCTTTGCAGATAACATGATCTTATATACAGAAAAACCTAAAGATTCAATCAAAAACTCTTAGAACAGATAAACAAATTCAGTAAAGTTGCAGGACATAAAAACAACATGCAAAAATCAGTAGCATTTTTATACACCAATAATGAACTAGCAGCAAAATAAATCAAGAAGGCAATCTCATTTATAATACCTACAAAAAAATGAGAAATCTAGGAATAAATTTAACCAAGTGAAAATCTCTACAAGGAAAATTACAAAACGCTGATGGAAGAAATTGAAGAGGACAAATGGAAAGGTATCTCATGCTTATGGATTGGGAGAATTAAAATTGTTAAGGTGACCATACTACTCACAAAAAACCCACAGATCAAATGCAATCCCTATCAATACACCAATGAAATTCTTCACAGAAATAGAAAAAAAATCCTAAAATTTGTATAAAGCCACAATAGACCCTGAATAGCCCAAGCAATACTCACTAAAAAGAACAAAGCTGGAGACATCACACTACCTGACTTTTAAGTATAGTGTGAAGCTATAGTAGCCAAAACAGCATGGTATTGTATAAAAACAGACACATAGAGCAGTGTAACAAAACAGAACTCAGAAATAAATCCATGTATTTACAGCCAACTGATTTTCAACAAAGATGTCAAGAACATACATTGGGGAAAGGATGCTCTCTTCAAAAACTGGTGCTGAGAAAACTGGATATCCATATGCAGAAGAATTAAATTATACCCCTGTGTCTCACCATAAACAAAAATCAACTCAAAGAGGATTAAAGATTTAAATGTGCAACCAGAAACTATAAAGCTACTAGAAGAAAACAAAGTGAACATGCTTCATCATTAGTTGAGGCAAATATTTTATGGGTAAGATTTCAAAAGCCCAAGCGACAAAGCAAAAATAGACAAATGGGACTATATTAAACTAAAAAGTCTCTACACAGCAAAGATATCAATCAACAAAATGAAGAGACAACCTGTTGAATAAAAGAAAATATTTGCAAACTATTCATCCAACAAGGGATTAGTATCCAGAATATGCAAGAAACTCAAACAACTCAACAGCAAGAAAACAAATAATTTCTTTAAAAACTGGGCAAAGGATTTACACAAATATTTCTCAAAAGAAGACATACAAATGGCCAACAGGTATATGAAAAAACAATTCTCAACATTACTAATCATCAGGGAAATAAAAATCAAAACCACAATGAGATATCATGTCATGCCAGTAAAAATGGCTACTATTAAAAAGACAAAAAGTAACAAATGCTAGTGAGGATATGGAGAAAGGGGAACTCTTCTACACTACTGGTGGGACTAGAAATGAGTACAGCCATTATGGGAAACACTACAGAGGTTTCACACGCACACACACATGCAAAACAAAACAAAGCAAAACAAAACAAAACCAAACAAAACAAAACAAAACAAAAAAACCCCACTAAAAATAGAACTCCCACATGATCCAGCAAGGCCACTACTGGGTATTTATCCAAAGGAAAGGAAATTAGTATATCAAAAGAATACCTACACTTCCATGTTTATTGCAGCACTATTCACAATAGCCAAGATATGGAATCAACCTAAGTATACATCAATGGATGAATGGATAAAGAAAATGTGATATATATACACAAGGGAATACTATTCAGCCTTAAAAAGAAATGAAATCCTATCATTTGCAACAACATGGTCAGAACTGGAAGTCATTATGTTAAGTGAAATAAGCCAGGCAGGGAAAGACAAATATCTCAGGTTCTCACTCACATGTGGGAGCTTAAAAAGTTGATTTCATGGAAGTACAGAGTAGACTGATAGTTACCAGAGGCTGGGAAAGAAGCTGGGATGAAGAGAGGTTGGTTAATGGCTACAAACGTGCATTTAGATAAAAGGAATAAGTTCTAGTGTTCAATAGCACAGTAGGGTGACTATAGTTAACAACAATTTATTGTATATTTCAAAATAGCCAGAAGACAAGATTTGAAATGCCCCACACAAAGGAAAGATACATATTCAAGGTGATAGATATCCTAAATTCCCTGATCTGAGCACTACACATTTAATGCATGTGTCAAAATATCACATCTATTCCATAAATATGTAAATGTATCAATACATTTTTAAAAGAAATTCATATAAATAGTAACTATTGGAGTGACAAAAATGTTCTAAAATTAGATTATGGTGATAATTGCAATTCTCTGCAAATTTACCAAAAACCATTGATTTTTACACTTAAAGCAAGTAAATTGTATTATAAATTATCTTTGCAATAAAGCTGTTAAAATGAATTGTTATAAAATCTATTGCAATAAATGTAAACTGTCTAATGTAACCAGAAAGTATTTTTGTTTTTAATAAAGATAATTATTGTGGTTGGTCTACAGTCTTTTCTTCTCATTCATTCATTCATTCATTCGAGAATTTTTGTTGTGTATCACTGTTTCAGGAAATATACTAAGTGGTAAGCATACAGTGGTGAGTAAACAGAAACTTGTTGAGTCTATAGGCTATTAGGTTAACTTCTTTTTTATTTTTATAGATGCCTTGTTCATTAACCTGTGGTTATTGTCATTACATTCTTTCATTTGCAGAATTCCACATTCTTCCCAATTTGAAGTTCAAAGTAAACAGCACAGAATCCCCACTTTGAGAATAAAGCATCTGTAGTTAATGCCACATGGACGTGGGGTACCTACCAATATATTTCTGTGTGACTTTAGGCAAGTTACTTGATTGTCTGTAAAATGAGGCCTATAATATCTACCTCATAGGTTGTCTTGAGAATTAGATGAATTAATAAATGCAAAATTCTGGCCTTGTAGGCAGCCAACAAATATTAGTTTCCATTCCCTTCCTTAAAAAATGATGAGGACAATATTATACCTGAAGCTCTGAGAATGTTGTCTATAAAGAGGCTACTCACCCTCCTTCAATGATGAAATATCGGAGCTTATCATTGCTATCTCGGGTGGGTGTGGCATAGCATTTGTTGAGTGTTAGGATTAAATGTGTGGCGTCAGCTCCAACCACAAAAACCCCTACATACAGCACATCTCGAGTCGTCAACACTACTTCACCCTGGCGGTAAGGATGTTTGTAGGAGGCGTTTTTGTAGAGAGCCATCTTGGTGATGAAGCTGCCTTCTTGGGTTGGAACTGTCAGGTTAATTACACTAAAACGGAAACAATTATGAGACAGGAATCCAAAACAATGTTACCTATTCAATTACCTACCATTTTTCAGGCTGAGAATGCAGAGGGAAAGCAAAGCACGTAGTAGCAAAGTCTAAGGCTGTGCTGTCCAATACAGTACCTGCTAGCCACATGGGGCAATTTACATTTAAATGAAATGAAATTAAATAAAATTAAAAATTCAATTCCGCAGCCCCCTGAGCCACATTTCAAGTGCTGAGCAGCCACATGTAGCCACCACATTAAACAGTACAGATGGAATATTTCCATCGTCACAGAGAGTTCTATTGAACAATGTTGGTTGAAAGCATTTAGGCTCAAGAAACGTGAATTATGTTTTTCCTAGGGCATCAAAGACAAACGCTAGCAATTTTGATTATGCTAACCTTAACTGTCAAGGAATAGAAAAAGCAATGTGCACAGCCCAGGAGACACCTTACCTTAGCATAGGCTTCACAACAGAATCCAAGGAGATCTTGATATCCAGCTCATAAGCACATGAAAATTCCACATTGATCGTGCGGTCCCTGGTGATGATGTTGCCAGTGTTGTTGGCGCTTTCGATCCAGAGTGTGTTTTTATACATGATATGCGTGCCATTGGACTGCAGAACAAGGGGAAGTCAGAAATCGTTACATCTGGGAGTGAGTATGTAGCTTGCATATCAAATCCATATCCCTGAAAGTGGAGAAATGGCTTCCTTCCATACATAATTTAGAGGCCAGTATAAATCAGCATGGAGCTAGCCTTAGCATTTACTTGGGGGAAAAAAAAGTATTACAATAGATATCAGCAGCACCCTTCAGTCTGATAACCTTGAATACCCGTGGAAGGTGATTTCATCTACTACTGAATTCTAACCACTACCAGACCCCACTTATCTGTGGGACCCCAAGCTAGGAATAGCATGAACTATTGCCATTGCTGGGTAATAGAAATCTTCTTTTTCAATGCTTAATTCAAAATCTCTTCTCCACCAAATCCATCACCAGACATGCCTACAAGGACCAACATGAACAAGTGCAAGTTTCACCTCCTTACTCCTTTCAGCCTCTGGTAAAAGTTTTAAGGAATAGAGCCATGAATAGAAGACACAGAGCAAGATGGAAAAAGAAGAGAAACAAGATACTTTGCTAACCTATACACTGGATAATCTGACATTAAAAGTTGGGACCTCACTATATTTCTGAAGCCAGCTGTTTTTTTGTTTTGTTTTGTTTTGTTTTTAGCAACAGGGTCTCACTATCACCCAGGATGGAGTGCCGTGGTACATTCATAGCTCACTGCAGCCTTGAACTCCTGGGCTTATGATCCTCCCATGTCAGCCTTCCAAGTAGACACAACTACAGGCACTGTCACCACACCCAGCTAATTTTTAGATTTTTTAAAAATAGAGACAGGGTCTTGCGATGTTGCCTGGGCCGGTCTTGAATTCCTGGCCTCTAGCAGTCCTTCTGCCTTGGCCTCCCAAAGTGCTGGGATTACAGGCATGAGCCATAGCACTTGGCCTGAAGCCACCTGTTAAATGAGGTTCGGGACTCCCTTACCCCCTGAAATAGCTAAGCCTATATGTATTTGCCTCAAAGAGCAATAGAAGCAGAAAAGAAGACACAATCCTGTCCATATACAGGAGAAAGAACCACAGTAGGCATCCCAAACCAAGGAAAAAACACATCACTCTTTCAACTCCGTCAATCACTTAGCATCAAATGATGACTGCTCTTGCTGTCTTTCATGTTGCACATGCCTATTGCTGTTTTCTAAGGAGCATATTTCTAAGCAGATCACCCTGAAGTTGGTTTTCAGGACAATAAATGTGCAAACACTCGAAGCTGTCGCTGCCTCTGCCAGGTGCTCTTTCCTGCTGCTTTTCTCACCTGCACAATGTTTCCACAATTCCCTTTGGTGTTGTTGATCTGAAAGGAGATAAAATCTTCCCCCTCGATGCCGGTGCACTGTCTGTCATTGATCCTCACGCCCTCCCTCTCAAAACCGAGCTGGAAGAGCTTGCACTTAGATATGGACACTTCCATTTGGGCTGCTTTGCAGGTCACCTCTGCATCGATAATGTCATGTGAGTCTGTGGGAACAGTTATTACGAAAGGCAAATCAGTGGAGTCGGTCTTGCTGCAGGAGTGGGAGCAAAGCATCCCATTTCCATTCTCCTTTAGAAGAGGCAAATGACCTCCACTCCAAGGCTGCAGCATTTCTAATTATGCTTTGATCAAACCAAATGAGCATATGAATTCATTCAAAGCAGTAACCTGGGCATTAGCAGAGCCTTTTTAAAAGGATAAAAATGCTAATAAAGTGTCTTCTGTCTTTTCTTTACAAACCCAGGTCTTCCCCCACCTTGCTGGTGGCAGCTACTTTTCTGTAAGCTGCATACTGAACATGCCAAATCTGGCACATTGTGGCCTGGCTGAAGAACATGCCTCCAAGGGACAGCAGCACTGGCCAGACCACATCTGAAGCCCCTGCTGATTCAGCTCAGCAGAACCCTAGTGATTCCCAGGTGAGCACTAGGAGCTTGCTTTTTGACATGGCAAGGCACCGATTGACATTTTCTCTTGAGCATATAAACACTGGCTAATAAGCACTACAGAAACAGAGAAAAACATTTTATCTGTTTAGGTGAAGCCCTTGTCCCCTCCTAAGGAGCCTTTGGTCAACCAGATTTTCATTCCCGAATGCTGTTAAATTTAGCAACTGCCTCTGCGTTATTTGGTTCAGGAAGGGGAGCAGAGATGGAAGGCAAAGCAGTTCTGCCTCAAGCAGCCATCCAGGAAGGCTCGGCAGTGGACAAGGCCATTTCCACACCAAGGGAGCTACAGTTAGGAACAAGTCCTGGAGTCCTAGTTATTTATGGCTTGCTTCAGACATTTCAGTTGTATATATCTTCAGGACCAAAAAACTTTGGGTCAAATAAATCTGGCTTTAAATAACATTCGTCCTAATTATTTCATATTGGCATCAAAATACCCTATTTCCTTGCGCATCTAAAAGATCAATTTGGACCTTTCTGATGTTGAATGTGGCCTCAGATGGAACCGGCTGGTTCCATTCATGTACAAATTTGTGTGTTATAATGTATTGAAGAAAAGGATGTAGCTGTACTTTGAAGCAGTCAGATTGCTTCCTTGTTCTGCTTAAATGCTCCTGAAAGCTTCACTATTTGGGAAAGCTTCACAAAGTGGGATGCATCAAGGTCGTTCCCCAGAGCAGCATCTCCCATGGGGCCTTTCTGGGTGGGGAGGTGGCCCATGTCACTCACTATTTCCATAGGGGGGTGGCTCGATGCAGCCACACAGCTCCCTGCCATTGCCCAGCTCGCAAGTTCGGTTGGGACAGTCCGCCCCCACACAGGGATCTTCAACCACTCCTGCTAAAAAGAAAAACACACAGAAACATGCACAACTTCATTTTCACACCTACATGCGGTAGCTTTTGGTTCCACTCCAGACTTGCCACTTTAATCACATTGGAAATGGTCAGATGGCAGCTGCCAGTTAACAGACAGGGCAACCTTCCAGAAAATAATGTCAATAGCTAGCACATAGGTGCTTGCTGTGGGCCTGGATTAGCTTCTTTGACCCTCACAAATACTCCTCAAGCTAAGTATTATAAGCTCTATTTCACAGTTGAAACTTGCCCAAGGTCAAAAGTGAAGGTAAGTGGTGAAGACTGAATGCACAGATGCTCTTAACCCCAGTCATCTTACCATGATTAAGGCACCTACTACACTATAACACAATGATTTGCACTGATATTTATATAAAGAGTAGCATCCAGATCATTTATCTCTACATCCCAGCACTCAACCACCTCATGGTTTGTGCACAATAAATACGTGCCAATAATGAACATATTAGGGCCAGTAAGATCCCAGAGAGGTCTCCCACACCAGGGCTTCTTAGTCCTTTCCGATTCTTGGTCCACTTTCCCCCATGATCTTCTACTTGATTTTGTAAAAAGAGACAAAGGAAAAACTTCCACACAAGTCACCAGCATTGACTTAGATTCATGGTGATGTTTTGCCAAAAGGGGAAAACTATAAGTACAATAAAGATGTTATGTGGAGTATCATCACGATGTTATTATGAACAATATTTCTGTAACAGATGAGATCACCTGCAAGATAGTCAACGCCTCGGTCTGAGAACCACTAATTAGGAGCATTGTCTTTTAGATGTTCATTTCTTTATTTAAAGAATCGCTCTGCCTATCAAGACAGAATATTCCTCCTGTTCATCACAGTATATGATGGACAGTGCTAAAGAAACAACTGTTCAATCCCAGCATGAGCCAAGTTGGCTTCAAGAGTTTTTTTAAAAAGAGTTTTAAAAGGATGCAGAATTTCATTTAGACAAGAGGAATAAATTCAAGAGATCTACTGAACATCAAAGTGGCTATAGTTAGTACCAATACACTGTACACTTGAAAATTACCAACAGAGTAGAGTTTCATGTTCTCACCACAGACACACATACCCACACACACAGGGAAAACAGAATTTAAAAACAAAACAAAAATCCCAAGCTGCCCACAGCTCCATACACCTCTTCTGACTCAGCTGCCACGCCCCTCTGGTAGGTAACTAATTACATTACGTGGGAGTGCATGGATGGCTCAACATCAGCCTGTCTTAATTTCTGGAAAGACAACTGAAAGAAAGACATCAGCATAAGTTAAATACATTTATTTTCAAAAAGCTCTCTTTTATAAAGATCCTTTCACTGGCCCAGTATGTCCAATACCTAGCACAGTGCTAAGCACATAACAGCCACCAAGCGAAAGTTATGATTCACCACCTCTGTACGAGAATGACAAACAACAGAAAGATGGTGCAGAGGTTACAGCCCACAGGAAGGACACGTTTATTTACAAACGTGGTGGTCCATCTGCCAACTGGCAAATAAGACATGCCCTTAGATAGAGGGAAGCTTTGAGTATTTTTTAATGATATATGTATTTTTTTAAATTCCTGACAATTTGAAAAGTTCAAAACAGTTAATTTTTAAAGTCATTGAAAGTATTCTTATTCTTCTTCTTATTATTATTATACTTTAAGTTTTAGGGTACATGTGCACAATGTGCAGGTTAGTTACATATGTATACATGTGCCATGCTGGTGTGCTGCACCCATTAACTCGTCATTTAGCATTAGGTATATCTCCTAATGCTATCCCTCCACCCTCCCCCCACCCCACAACAGTCCCCAGAGTGTGATGTTCTCCTTCCTGTGTCCATGTGTTCTCACTGTTCAATTCCCACCTATGAGTGAGAACATGAGTATTCTTATTAACACAGCAGAGTAAAATACTAATAACAAATATTTCTGTTAGTTTCCAACAGAGACTAGGAATTTGCTTGTTAACAGTTTCTGAAATCACTGAAATGTATTTTAATTAACTGCATTGTTTTTAGGCTCTGAATTAAGTGTATTCCTACACTTAATCAGGTTTGGTCTGCGAATTTACCAATGTGTGTGTATCATCTTGGAGTCAGCCTATTTTCACAGTGGTACCTGTATACACACTGGGTTGGTGTTGTGGGTCAGAGAACAAAACACACATTCCATTGGCCACACTAGTGAGAGTGACCATTTATGTATATGGACACACATGTATGTCTATGGCACATTTATATGTGTTTGTATACATCTATAATTGTTCTCCTATTTGATTAACACAGTAAGAAAATGAACAAATTGAATAATAGAAATACACATCAAAATAATTTTCTTACTACAGAAAAAACCCCACAAGATTCTGTATATCTTTATTTTACCAGCTGATCTAATATATGTACTCTCCACAGTCAATCGAACTGCAGCTTCCTTTGAGCCCAGGTGGACATAACCAGCTCAGTTCCCGCTCTGCCTTCCACCTGCCCTGTGCCTTCGCTTTCTGATAGAGGACGGCCTCATGTTAAAGGAGCCAAGGTGGAGCTGAGTTTGGGAACTAAAATCCATCAGGAATCCCACACTGTGTCCCTCTACCTCATAAGCCACTAACCAGGGCTCTTCCAACCCAGAGAGCCCCATCTTCCCACGTTTGTTTTCCAAATCCCATAACTGGACAGGAGCCGTAGGTGGGTTAGGCTCCACGGGAGGGGCCCGTCACTGAATCTCGGCTGCAGCTCACAGCTCTCTACTATCCAATCCTGGAAGCAGATCTATGAGTAAATCTGGAGAGGACCAGTCATCCCTAGAAAAAGCAATGCTACCAGCAAAGCTGTTCTTTTCACTGAAAATGGAATTCACAGAAATAAAATAATTCTCTTACAGCAATTCTCCTTCTCAATCCACTCGGTGCTAAGGATCCCGAAGGAGCGGCAGGCCTCCCCGTAGGCGGCCAGGGAGCCGCACAGCTGGAACTTCTTGTGGCTGTAGCAGCCGTCCAGGTAGCAGGACTCGTAGAATGGGAGGGGATCGAGAAGCCCATAGCAGGGCTGGAAGAAGCCCTTCATGTCGGTGAGCTTCAGGCAGTAGCCATCACCCTGCATCTTCTGGATGTGCACATTGTCACACATGGCTGCATACTGTGAGAACTGCAGCTCGTTGCAGCTGGGGGCAAGAGGTCTGGTCAGACTGAGTGAAGCAAAAACAGCCATCTGAGATCTCCAATGGAAGGTAAATTGCATCTGTACCTGTTTTGCTACCCCTGAAGCTAGTGCATTGTGCCAATTCCAACACTAGCTTTGTGACCTTTGGCAAGTAAGATACTGCTAGTCTCTATTCTATCCATCTAAGAAAGTAAAACGGTAATTCCTGTTGTTTATATCACTGAAATACAGTGAGGGTAAAATGGAATGATGGATTAATGGCCAAAGTGCCACATGAAAGGCCGATATTGATATAGTAAGCATGAACACTTTGACATAATTGATTGATATGATTGATATAATAACCATTAACAGGTATTGATATAACCAATAACAATGATAATAGTAATGATACCTCGTGGAATTAAAGATTTGAAAGGAAGGTTTCTAAGCCAGTTCCACTTTAGCCATTAGGGGCCAAAAGCTAAACATTACAAGAAAGTTGGTGTCCAGTTGATAATAGTTTATTTAAAAAGGAAGGGGAGGGAAGGGAAGGGAAGGGAAGGGAAGGAGGGAGGGAAGGAGGGAGGGAGGCAGGCCGGCCAAATCCAAACAGAATCATAATTCCTCAGGAGGAACTGAACCTTGCCTATCTTTGGAAACACTACAATGGCTTAATGTAGTGTTCTAAATGTAATGTCCAAAGTTCTCTCTTTTCTATCTGTAGGTCGATGCATGGTATTCTAGAGTAAGCACCAAATTAGGAATCCTAGAATCTAGTCCTGGCTTTGCCATATATGGGGCCTCCTCATGTAAGTCATTCACTGTCTTAGTCTCTGTTTTACCTAGGAAAGGAAGAGATTGGACAAGATATTGCCCAAGAATTTTCACAGCTCTGAGTCCCATAATTCACAGGATAGTCTAATATATGATACATTGTTCAGTGTCCACTTGGGGCAGAGTCAAAGAGGCTTAAAGTGTGATTTCCAGGACTGGGGATTTAGCTGATATTTAGCTGTAAAGCAATGTGATTGAGCCATTGTACAAGTGGAGAACTAACAAGAAAGAGAAGCATGTCTACAGATCCAGAAAGGTATCCACATATTCAGCAGCCCTGAGGGGCCCTAAATTTAAAACCTTTGGAATAACTTCTTTAGCTCACTCTCTCTCTGCTGGCCAGGGGTGGGCCTGATAATAACCTTGTAACTTCTGTTTTTAAAAAAGGCTTTCCTGATTCCCACCAACTTCTGCCTACACAACCACAGCAAGCCTTCTTGTAAGAGGCAAGGACACACAATTAGACCCAGCATTAAGGGAGTCAAAGATAGCCCTTCTTCTTCTCAGTCACCTCTTAATTCCACACCCAGCAGAGGTGCCTAGGTCCCATGTGGGCAGCTGGTCAAGGCCTCAGAGTTCTCATCCTGGGCACACTCTTCTGTTTAGCCAAGGGCTGGATGACATGAAAATTAGAGTTATATCATCTAAGCCCAACTCCTTCCTCTGCAGTTCACGAAATTACTGGGGTCTCTGATGTGCCTATTTTTAGCATCAAAACTCCAAAGAGCTTTGGCTCGTCTCTGTAGGAGAGCAGGGGCAGTGCTAAGGAAAAGGCATTCCTCATTCACACCACCCATGGACGTGAGAGAACTTGGGCCACCAAGTCTAGTGGCTTGAACTCCTACACCCTCACCTCTTCTGCATGCCATTGGTTTTCCAGCTCTGGGCCAGCACCACGCTGCTTACCACCGGCTTCCCTCGCAAGGTCACATAATCATCTGTTAGGTCCCCGTTGAAGTTGCCACAGAGACCGCACACTTTGTTCTGCAGCCTCTCGCTGATGCTGATTTTAATGACGTTGAAACCATTGTAGTATATCTGGATGTCTGGGCTGGTGTCAATCACCAGAAACCCCTCACTGCTGTAGATTTTGGTTGCCAAACCAGTTATAAATGGAACATTCACTTGTGTGCCATTCACCTATTGGAGGAGGAAAAAAGAAAATAATTACGCTTAGAGTAGGTGTTGGCAAACTTGTTCAGGAAAGGGCCAGGGAAAATATTTTGGGTGTCGCAGGCCCTGTGATCTCTGTCTCAACGACTCCATTCTGTCCCTGCAGCATGACAGCAGGCATAGACAATATACAACTAAATGAGTGTGGCTGTGTTCCAGCAAAGCTTTATTTACACAAACAGGCAGCAAGCAGATTTGCTGGCCCCTGCCCTAGAGTTTAAAGGCATTCACTCATCTTACTGTGTAGTTGCCCCAAAGGAAGCAAACTATGGAGCAGAAGTAGGGGAGAGGAGGTGAGAGATAAGGAAACCTTAGAAAAGTATAACCCACAATGAATGGCTGGATTTGTGTCTAAAACTTTCCCCAGCATAAACCAATGACTGAAAATGAAATCCCAATCCTGTGCCAAGGAGAGTCTAACACAGTTAATATGGATCTGGGCATCATTGCCATATTTATCGTTTTCTTGCTTATAATGTTCAAACTGGAGGTCCCCCCAGAGGACCTATACACACATTATTTTCTGCATTTGTCATTTTTCTGCTTTCTAACATTTTCTTTCCTTAGCCCTTGGGACAGAATATAACTTGCTTTTCCTGTACTTACAAAATAAAACTATTCTCCCCAGGCTATTAGTAGCTTTTATACCTTAAAATAAATGAAAAAGTAGGCACCTTTTTCAAAAATGAGTCTCTACTGTTTTGACTAGCTTGGGGTATTTTGTTCAACCACAATGTCAGTTTTGCTCTCTTGGGTGGTCATTTTTGTTTTCTAGCTCCTGGATTCTGGACCAAGGCTGTCGTGTTGATGTGGGCCAATTTGTGAAAGGAATGAGAATGTTAAAAACAGTGGCACCTTTCATTGAAGTTAAAACCGGTATTAAATTTCAGATTCTTCATTTTAAGCTCACAAAATACTGCTGCTCTTTTGCCTGATGCTGGATACGCTATTTGATGACTCTTCAATTAAAGATACACTCAAGGCCTGATTATCTGAGCAGGTGGAAAACAGATACACACAATAACACTCAATTCCAAAAATTGTTAATGTGGCTGTCTCCGGGTCCCTGCCTCTCTGTGCTCACAGTGCCAGGGCCTGGCTCCATCCTTCCGAGTGACCTGCCACAGCAGCCTGCTCTAGCTGAGAGGCTGGGTCACCGTCAACAGTGCATCTGAGCAGATGCTCTTCTTAAATGGAAGGGGTGGGAGGAATTCAAGTCGGAGAGCCATATTTGTTGTGAGGATGGGTGGGGGGTTTACATTTATTTACACACAGGTGTAAGATAAACAAGAAACCAGGCAATGGGCCTAAGGAGGAGCCAACCTAAGAGAAATCCACCAAGAGCAGCCTCCCATTTCCTGCCCCTCAGCATGTCATCACGGGGCCCTCGGATAATGGGGGTGTGAGTCAGGTTTTTACTCAGATTGGTGTTTTTTAGGCAAGTGCTTGCTTTCCCTTAGCTTATAGAAAGGATGGCAAAGATGAAGGGTGGGTCTTACTACAAGAGGGCAGAGCCAAGAATAATCTTAAGGGCTGTTAAAAACAAATGAGATGCTTTTTGGAAAGCAATCAGGGTAAAAACTGATTTATCTAACAATTTATCACCTGAAGCTCTATTAGCGCCCATGCCATTGCCTGGTTCTGAGACCCTGCAAGTCTCCTGCCTTTGGAATCATCAGCCAAGAACCAAATGGTGTCCATTCTCAGGCTTAAAACATCTTCATACTTTGATTCTTTAAAACCTGGTCACTGTGTGTGGAACACCATGAAGCAACAATCTATCCTACAACTTGGCTATCTGGGAGAACCCTACACAGTCCCCTAGCCAACCCCTTGTTTCCGGGCCCCTTCTTAAGAATGGCCGCCAGGCTGGTTACCTTGACCGTGTTCCGGTCGTTGATGAGAATCTGCTCTTCGTTAATGTAGAAGTAGACGGGCGAAATGATGGTGAGGTTGGGGGCCGACCACTTGTCGAAGTTGATGATAAGCTGGAAGGAGATGTCGGGCAGTTTCTGGCAGATGGTGGACAGCACGAAGGCGCAGTTGGCTGGGAAGCGCAGGAAGGCGCCGTCGAAGGTGCGGAAGACGCCGCCGCCGGCCGCCAGGCAGTAGGAGGTCTTGGTGCTGAAGCAGCCGCGCACCCCGTTGCGCAGCGCACACTCCTCGTCTGACTTGCATTGGCGCGGGTCGCACTGAATCACGTTGCGACGGAAACAGCGGCAGCGCCGCGTGCAGTCGCTGTTCCAAAATAGCTGCTTGGGCTGGAAGAGAGGCGCCGTTTGCATTAAATTCAGACTGTGGTCAGGGCTGGGGACCCGAAAGCCCAGTCCCCCTCGTCTTTTATCAGGCTTGGCTAGCCTATCTTTAATGGGGCTGGAATTTGTAGGAGGCAGCAGTGGGGAAACGGCCTCAACTCAAATGCTCCATCAGTTCCATGCAACTCAGACGCCAAACAATACGCAGTTTTGACACGCATTTATTTACTTACTTATTAATTTATTTTTAGAGACAGGGTCTCATTCTGTTGCCGAGGCTGGAGTGCAGTAGTGCAATCGCAGATCACTGTAAGTAACCCGGAACGCCTGGACTCAAGCGATTCTCCTATCTCAGCCTCCCTAGTAGCTGGAACTATAAGCACACGCCACCACACCCAGCTAATTTTTGTATTTTTTGTAGAGACGGAGTCTCACTATGTTCTTGAACTGCTAGGCTCGAGTGATCCTCCTGCCTCAGCCTCCCAAACTGCTTGGATTACGGGTATGAGCCACCACCCCGGCCATAACTTGATTGATTTTAATCAAGAACTCTGAAATCTTTGTGGCTGGATTGTAGAACTAATCACAGTCAACCTGAATGTGCAGCTGTTAGAGGAACTAGGTAAAGAGGAAGAATATTTGGTAGAAAATATTCATCAAGGAATCACACTTCTAACAAGTACAGACTCTGCTTCAAAGATGAAATTAAAATTCACTCAAGAATGATAAATTGGCCCTTCAAATCTTAAACAGTCGTAAGAAAGCAATGACCAACACTTCTGATTAACCATTTCACATTTCACAATCCTCACCCTTCCTTGTGTCTAGTCTGCTTCCAATTTACTTCTGATGGAAGTACCTTCATTCCCACGTGTCCTGAATGTGAAAGATCCAAAGAACACCTGGGGTCCATGAAAGGAACGTTTTGGGATCAGACCACCTGGGTTTCAATCTAGTCCTGTATCCCCACCTGTGCCATCTTGAGTAGCGTTACTCACCTCCCCAGTGTCACTTTGCTCATTTCTAAATTGGAGATATTAATAATATCTTGTGGTTGAGTGCAGTGGCTCATGCCTGTAATCCCAGCACTTTGGGAGGTTGAGGTGGAAGGACTGCTTGAGCCCAGGGGTTTCAGATAAGCCTGAGCAACACAGTGAAACCTCATCTCTACTTCAAATAATAATAAAAATAATAATAATAATAGGCCAGGTGCAGTGACTCATGCCTGTAATCCCAGCACTTTGGGAGGCTGAGGTGGGTGGATCACCGGAGGTCAGGAGTTTGAGAGGAGCCTGGCCAACATGGTGAAACCCCAACTCTACTAAAAATACAAAAACTCGCCAGGCATGGTGGCACATGTCTATAGTCCCAGCCACTCGGTAGGCTGAGGCAGGAGAATCGTTTGAACCTGGGAGGCAGAGGTTGCCGTGAGCCTAGATCGTGCCATTACACTCCAGCCTGGGTGACAGAGCAAAACTCTGTCTCAAAATAATAATAATAATAATAACAACCAGCATGGTAGTGCATGCCTGTAGTCCCAGCTACTCCAGAGGCTGAGGTGGGAGGACCGCTTAAGCCTGTGAGGTAGAGGCTGCAGTGAGTTGTGATCCTGCTGCTGCACTTCAGCCTGGGCAACAGAGTGAGACCCTGTCTCAGAAGTAATAATAATAAAATTAAATTAAAAATAATGTCTTACAGGGCAGTTGTGAGGATTAAATTAAATAAGATGTATAAAACACACTTCCGGCATAGGATAGGCACTCAAGAAATAGAAGCTGCTATTACAGGAGTAGAATGGCTCATCCTCTTTCAGATGGTGAAGAAATTATACAACATTATATAAAATACCTACAACATAGCGTATCCTCAACTGGAGGCAGCTATTCTTTTCTTTTCATTTCTTTCCCAGGAGTCCCACAACTAGAATGTTATTTTCTACTTTTTCCCAAAACAGGCAGCAATCTGCAGGCACGACTCTGCTTGGTAGGGTTTGCATTCTTGATGTTGCACTTGCTCTAGACTAAGAATTCCAGGAAACTGTTGGAAATTGGTCATGATTGTCCAAGTGGGATGTGGTACCAATAAATAGACTGTGTCATAGAGATGTGGGCACTCAATGCATTATCGACTTACCAAAATAGCGTTATCCAGAAAAGATCTTTCAATAGCACAAAAAGGCCTATGCTTCTGTCTGGTCAGTTTTCTGCTTTAACTAGAGACATCAAAACCCTGGATATCAACTACAGATATGACTCAGATTCAAGGGTAAATAGATAGAGGAGGAGATCTTCCAGAACAAGTTTCCTGATTGCAGTGCACTTCAAGATGCTATTGCTGATTCTTTCATCTTCAAAGTGAAGTCATTCCTGGAACTAAGTCTACTCTCCTTCCAGACTTATGTAACATATTCTGGGTGCCAACAGCCTCACAAATTGACTTCATTTCTCTTATCAGATTTATAGAATAACTGAGTGGATGGTTTGGCCTCTCTCTGATAAGAAGTCAGACATTACAGTGGTGAAAAGAGAAAAATAACTTGATGTATGTGGATACGATAAAGGGTAAATAACTCATCCACAAGAGAATCTGATCCTGAAACTAGCATCACGGTAAAATGGCTGGCCCAACGCTGCTTTCTTTACTTGAATCATACATGACAATGACAGCTGGGTGATCACTCTACATGCTAATAGCCAGGCGTATTCTCTATTCATTTCCGAAGAAATTTGTTCTATGAACAAGTCCCCAGGCACTTTGGAATGGTGGCAAGTAGATGTGGATTCTTTGTTCTCTGAGTTTGCTGCTTCCCGGATGTAAGCTGTTGTCAAAATCCACTGAGGTTCTGATGAAAAACTGCTCATAATGTTTGCACTGTAGTACTAATAGCAGCCAAGAGCTGACCATGCTTTTCCTGAGAGTTCCAAGGGCTTTTCTTTGCATCCTTTCATTAACACGGCTGGATTTTTCGTTTACAAAATGTTTCTCAAGAGAATAACAAAACAACAATAACAATAGCAGCTACCAATTATTGAAGGACTCGATGCCAGGCACTAGGCTAGGAACCCAGCATAGATTATTTATGCAACAGCCCTACTGTGTTGGTATCATTAGTCACATCTCATTCACAGGGAAACAGATGCTCAGAGAAATGACAGCGTTTGCTCAGTGTCACACCTCCAGCAGTGGTACCGCTAGGATGGAACCCAGGTTTCATTGAATTATGCCACACTGACACTCAGGATGCCTGCCGAGGGTGCATGGCACAGTTGAGAAATGGATAGGTTTTGGTAAGTCTCCGGGCTGGGGAACACAGTTTAGAGAGTGCTTTTTGAGTTTTGAGCCTGGTTATATCTTCTCCTCAATTGTGAGAAAACAGAATTCATTAATTTTTTCCACATGTTCTGCCTTTTCCTTTCAAATAACATTTCTAAGAGCTCATTTCAACACCCCCTTTCCCAAAAAGTCTCCTTTGATTAGTTTCACTATTTTACCTTACTTCCTCCCTGTCTTTCTAATATAGCATTTAAATAAATTCTCCACTGAAAGTGAAATTGAGGGTAATGTCCACATTTCTTTTATTTATCCCCGAAGTTAGGGCAACTTGAATGAGTCAATGTATCTTTACAAAAAGGAGATATTATTTATTTTTCGCCTAGCTGATTTCCAATTCAGACATTTCAATTAGATTTATTTTAAAGCTACTATTCTTTTTCACTTAAAATTGATTAGTTCTGTAGGGTATTATTTTTCACTTGCTGATAGGTTATTTTGTAACTGATCTCTTGTTCTTTAAAGTACATTGTTTCTCTCTTCTGAATAGATTTTTAAGATCCTCAAGGCAGAGGACGTGCTTTCTCATCCCCCACAATACCACCAGCACAGTGCTTTGCAAACAGCAGATACTCAATTATCTGTAGTTGTTAACCATCTAACTTGCCAACATATGGTTTTGATATCATTTAAACAGAGAATGGGCTTGAGGTCGAACCATGAACTAAATACCTTGTCTAGGCAAGAGCTTTTCTAGCTTAGTATTATGGAATTCTAGCTTAGTATTATGGAAAGATTACAAAGTCCAAAAAGTGAAATGATTTCGTGAACTAATATGCTTTATTGAGAAACATCTACGAAGGGCATCTTCATGAACTCTATGTTTAAACTCCTGTAGAGGGCGCCGCAGAGGGTGGGATGTGGGGGCACCACATTAGCAGTCCAGACCAAACTCCAGGGATGATACCACAGTGACAAATGGCACACGTGGAGATGGCAGCCACAGCTACCCTCACGGAGCCTCAACAGACAGAAGAGGGAAGTCCGCCCCACTCAGCCTCCAGCTCCATATTTTCCAGTTACAAATGTCCTTAGCTAAGACAGCTACAAATATCAGATTCACAGCCACCGTGTATCCAAACTATAGCTCTATCTGAAGCTTTCAAACTGAGATTCACAGGACAGAAAATCAGAGAAAGGCACGACACAGACACACAAATGTGAGTGAGTAGGGGAGGCAGAGTGCTGGAGACCTTGCCACTGTGGAGGAGGGAGGAAGGAGACACTCAGGTGTTTTTCCAAATCTGACACTCAGTGCCCAAGAGCATCACCTGAACAGTGTGCTTAGCCTCTCTACCCCCCATCCCATTCCCCTGCCACGAACACGACGCTCTTCATAATGAAGTGGGAAAATTGGTCAATCTGACCAACCTCTTAGAGTTGGAGAGGAATCTGATCATTGGCAAGGAGGAAAAGGCCGGGCTGGCCTCCCATACCTCGTAATATTTGCCATCGGAGTAGCAGCCGCAGCTGTGGGGCAGGATGCAGCTCTTGCCGTTGAGGACGTAGCCAGCGTCGCAGTGACAGCCCTCCACGCAGTAGTGGCTGCAGTCACTCTTCAGGCGGATGGCGGCGCAGCGGGGCTGGCAGACACTCACGCAGCTCTCGTAATGGCTGTTTGGAGGGCAGGTGACAGCTGGAACAAGAGAGACAAGTCAAGACTCGCACGATCACAAGGCACCGAGGAGGGTTTTCTCATGGCCATTGCTCACCTACTCAGGGAGATGAAAGGCACGGGGAGAGGCAGGAGCCAGGAGGTCTGCCGCCTTTCTTCATTACTGCCCTCTTTGCTCACAGAAAGCCTGGGTCTGATTCGTTCCTGCTTAAATAAAGGGCCAACATGCAGACGGAGGTGGCTGGAGCTTCTCACATCATGGTCGTCCTCACCTCAGCCTGGCCATTGAGATCCTCTATGGCCTGCCACCTGAACCCACCGCCCATCTGAATCTCCAGTTAGACATGTCACCTGATAACCTCCCAGGGCACCCACACTCCTCCTGCCTCTAGGTCTTCATTCACATTGATCTTTCTTATTCATGCCCTTCTTCATCCTCTCAGCCTATCCAAATTCCTGGTTCTTCAAGTGCCAGTGGGAGTCCCACCTTACCCATGTAGTTCTCCCTCTTCGACCAATGTCAGCTCCTCTACACCCCAGAGCTTCTACAGAACGTTTTTCTAAGCCAGCAGCTTATCATCAGTAGATGCCTCAGCCCCATGATCTCTGAGAAGGCAAATGTACACCGTGTGTGTTTGTGTGCATGAGTACACGTGCTGGCATGCATGGGTGTGTGCACGTGCACATGTCTGTGCAAACTGATTCACGTCAATTATGTTCTGCCATTTTTCAAATGCATCTAGATGCTTCTATAGAAGGCAGGTAGGGTCCTGGTGAAGGGTGTGGGCTCTGGAACCAGCTATAAGAGACCCAGAGCGTCACTCGGGCTCTCTGAGCTTCAGCTTTCTTATCTATAAATACAGATACCAATAGCATTCACTTCATGGCTGATTGCAAAGGATTAAGTGAGTCTGTGTGCTCAGAACAGTGGTTGGCATGTAAGTGTTCAGTATTAGTCAATCATTAAAGATAGGTTTGCTTAAAAAGTTTCGTAGAAGCTATTATCTCAATCAACGTATACTAAAAGCACAGCTACCATTATGTGGGAACTTCTACCCTATACCCTATACAGTATCTATATGGGGGGTTATTTCATTTTTTAAATTATATAGCGGTAACACCTACTTTTAGAGTACACAGTTCTATGAATTTTAACACATGTATTGATTCATATAACCACTCTCACAATATACCATGTTTTTAAAAAACATTTGTAGTTTAATACATAATACTTGCATAGTGTAGAAAATCCAAACCATACAAGAAAAAGCGTGATGAAATGGCAACCTCCGATAGCAAACTATAGTCAATTTTTCCAGAAGTGTTCTATGCATATACAAGCACCCATCTGTGTGTGTGTGTATGCACATAAGCATACATGTATGCCTTGTCCATTATTTTTTGCATAAATGGGAGCATAATATATACACATTTCTGCTCATTGCTTTCTTTATGACAATATTCATTCCATTTAGCCTCAAATTATTGCTTTTGCACTGCTGCATGCTGTGTGTACTTTATGTGTTTATGCTGATGCTGCAGTGAACATCCCTGTATGTATACCTTTGCCCTCATGAGTAAGGGCATCTGTGGAATAAATTACTGAAAGTGGAATTACTGGGTGAAATGGTATGAATGCCGCTAAGTTGCTTCTAAAGAGACTGTGCCAATTTGTCTTCCTACCTGCGCTATTGGAGGAGGTTTGTTTTCCCACACTCTCCTTGATTGTCTTATCACCAAATTGTCTGATCCTTGGAAACAAGGTTAAAATGCGATATGTGCCATCTCCTTATTTAGTTTGCATTTCTTTGTGAGGTTGATCCTCTTGTTCTCATTTGTTTATAATCCATTTATATGTCTTTTTTTGTTAACTGCCTTTTCATATCCTTTTCACATTTCATGTTGTTGAAATTTTTATTATTAAATTATAAAAGTTCTTTAAAAATTAAAATAGGCCTGGCCAGGCACAGTGGCTCACGCCTGTAATCCCAGCACTTTGGGAGGCCGAGGCAGGTGGATCATGAGGTCAAGAGATCGAGACCATCCTGGCCAACATGGTGAAACCCTGTCTCTACTAAAAATACAAAAATTAGCCAGGCATGGTGGCATGCGCCTTTAGTCCCAGCTACTTGGGAGGCTGAGGCAGGAGAATTGCTTGAACCCAGGAGGCGGTGGTTGCAGTGAGCTGAGATCGTGCCACTGCACTCCAGCCTGGTGACAGAGAAAGACTCCATCTCAAAAAAAAAAAAAAAAAAAAATTAAAATAGGCCTTTGTGGTATGTCATATGTGTTACAAAATATTTATCATTTGCCTTTTGACTTTGTATTCATTTTTAAATAATTTTTTAACTTTTTTTGAAGTTGTTATCTCTTTGCCATGTAAAGATGTAAAATTTTTAATGTAATGAAATTTGTCAAGTTTCCCTTTTAGCCTTGGATAATTTGTTCTGAAATGTTCTCTCCACTGCAAGATTATCAAGAACGCTCCTTTGTTTTCTTCTAGTATTTTTGTGATTTAATTTTTTTCTGTTTAATCTTTGTTCTGCCCGGATTTTATTTCGGAGTAAGAAATGAAGGAAGGATTTAGCTTTTCCCAGCTAGTTTGCCCTTTGACCTTTTACTACTTACTGAATAACAAATATGTTTTCCCAGTAATTTGAAATGCCAGCTTTACCATACGCTAATTTCTCTTTAGTGTTTGGGCCTGTTTCTGAACTTTCTCTTCTTTCCGTTGGTTGGTCTTTCTGTTCATGGGCCAGTATTCACTTGTTTTATTTTTATTATTTATTTGTTTAACTTGTTCATATGCCAGTGTTAACAGTGACTGAAGGTCTGCGATACATTGTAACATTTGGGAAGAGGTATTACCAATTTAGAGATGTTTGTTCTTTAAGTATTTCACATGGGTCTATTTCTCCAACTAGATGATAAACACCACGTTTCACACTCTGATTCTTCCATGCCACCCAAAACAGTGCTGAGAACATGACAGATGGCTAAGAAACACCTGATTCTTGGAAAACAAACTTTCAGATTCCTAGAACTGATCCGCTGCTTCTCGCTCCCCACCAAATGATGTACTGAGAGCTGTGGCGTGATGACCTGGGCTCTGCACCTGGATTTGTACCGTGGTCAAGAATCTGTCTCTTGCCATACCCAGCATCTGTGCCTTGGTAGACAGGATGAATGGAGCCCCTAAAAAGCAATTCAGCTCAACAGAATGGACAGGGGCTTTGGAATCAGACCAACCTGGATTTGAGGCCTCGCTCTGCCATTAAGCAGTGTCACTATGGACAGGTTACTTACTCTCTCTAAACCTCTGTTTTCTCATCTATAAAATTGGGATCATAATATCTCCCTCATCAAGTAGTTATCAAAATAAAATGAGATATAATTCGTAAAGCTCCTGATATAGTGCCTGGTACTTCTATAATAACTTCTGCAATTCACAGTAGTAATAGTTGTAGTCACAGAAGGATTTTTTAAAACAATTATTCAACAGGAATTTATTAGATGTATGGAGAAATATGTAAGACAAATCCTAGTTACCAGACTTTGGACCCAGCACTCTGAAGTAGCAGCAGCTGCCTCCAATAAAAGGGAAAATGACGATGACAACCAACTTTGACCACATGTTAGGCACTGGTTGACCAGGCTCAGAGAGGCAGCATTGCACAGAAGGGAGAGCACTGTCTTAGGAGCCACTTTCCAACTTACCCAGGCCACCTTCCTGGGGAAAGTGACTTCATTTCTCTGAGCTTCAGTTTCTTCCTCTAAAAAATGGGACTATGAGTAGTACCTACCTGGCAGGGTTGCCATGAGAAGTAAATGCATGAGTCCCCAGATCCCACTTAGAACCTGGCACATAGTGAGAGCTAAGGAACTGTCATTTATTCCTTTTTTATTTCCTTCTCTTTCTCCTCTCACCATCTAATACCATCTAATTACAGTCCCCGATTAAGGGACTGAAAGAATGATAGACTCAGCTCAATGAATTTTAAGGAGAGGCTAGTAATTAAGACAATTTAACTTCCCTACTCCCTGTAAGCCTATTTGTTCAACTTAGGTTACAAGATTTTCCAACGAGTTTACAAATAAGGTAATTGAGTAATAAATTATTCCATTGATAGAAACAGTCAGATCATTGAAAAACACCAGCATTCTACCTTGTTACCAATAAAGCACAAATTTGATGGGCAGTTCTAGGTTAACCCCTTTGCTCCTAAAGCACCATTTCTCCTATCAAGCAATTGCTAGATTGGATTAATTTTTGGTAGAATGAGAGGTGGAGAGAGATGGGGCCTGCCCTCACATGATGGGGAGTCACATCAGATACAGTTACAAACAACCCTATTCTCAGGTCGAATGGCTGAGTTAGGACTCAGTCTCCTGAAGCTTTTCTCTGCTTCTGAGATTCAAAATGTAAAAGGAAGCTGCCTCCAACCACACCCTCTCCCCCAGCCTGACCCCCATACCATCTTTAAAACATATATTTTTTCTCCTATTTTAGTTTTCCTTTTTGCCATTCATTACCACCATCTCCTCAGGTGCTCTAACTTTTGGATCTTTGCCCCTATCCTGAAATGCCACGGTAGGGAAGGTCTAAGTCTCTTTGTGATGGGAACGATTCTAAGTTACCTGTTGGCCCTGGCGTATTGGCCTGGAACGTGCTGGTGGGAAGCTGGTAGAAGTCAAGGGATAGGACCTGAGACTGAGGATGAGGCAGGGCAGACTCGGCTCTGGGTGCCATGAGTAGAGCTCCCATTACTGGTGAGCCAGGGTAGAGAGGAGGCAACCAATGTTTGGACAGAAATTTGGGAGGGGAGAGGAAAGGGTTCCTGGTAGAAGGGAGAGAAAGACAAGAAAAATCACCTTCTTACTCTTTGTCCCTAGCCAAGCTTTGTAGTGGGGGCCCTTATTCCTTGGGGGTAAGGTTGTGAGGCCTTGCTGACTCAATTTCTTTTCCTTCCCATGAGTGACAAAAATTAAGACCCATCAATTGAGGTGAGAGTTCCTGGCATTAGCCCCCTGTGTGCATTTCCCTGTTTGTTGCAGTTGGAAGCATTGGTTTTTGGCATGCCTGTCCCCACCCCAGCCACCCTGGGAGCAGTACACCCAGCACAGCATGGCTGCAGGTGAAGAGGGAAGTCTCCACAACATGTCTCAAGGGGAAACAGCAGAGCTTTCCCTTCCAAAACAGCTTCCCCATTCTGCACCACGTTTAGGCCTTTGCGTCCAAAGCTGGGTTTTCTGATTTAGAGGAAGACAAGCTCTCTGGTCCTACTGGAATGACCCCCAATGAATCCAGAGTAGCCCTGGGGATTTATCCAGACCCGAGCTTTTTTATAGGCATATTTATTTTATTGAAGTCATTAGAGGCCGGTTTGTCAGGACCGTCATCCCTACTGGCACCATTTCCCACCCTGCCTGGCCTCACCCACTCAGGGACTGAGCCTGGATGAAATGGGATGGCATCTGTTCCCCGCCTTCATCTTCCTCCCACCCTTCCCTTACAATCTACGTGAATCCAGTTGTGTGGAATGTAAACTGACTGTGTGAGTGTTGAACCACAATGCTGTTTCTGGTTTTTCATCTGAATCTCCTTTTCCAGATGAAAATGGGAGTTGATTCTCTGGGGACCCTGCTGCATCGCTTAGTTAGAGCTCTATGCATTCAGGATCAATTTGTAGTTTTAAAAGAGCTACAGACCTTCTAAAAGGAATATGCTTTTTAAAGAAATATGCTATGGTTAATGAGATTGAGACAGGAAAATAGATCAAAGCAGGTTAGCTAAAGACCAACAGTGTTTCCCCCCCACCCCCACAAGTTTTTCCTATTCTTATGTGCTAAAGGCAGGTAAATTACCCCACTACATAGTCCAGCAGTATAGTATATGGGTTGGGAGCCTGGGCTTTGGGTTAGAAGCTCAAGTCCTGACTTTGCCACTCAGATTATATGACCTTAGGCAGTTACTTCATTCCTCTGAGTCTCAGTTGCTCCTTGACTAATTGGGTCATTGAGAAGAATAAATGAGGTATATTGATAAAACGTTTAGCATGGGGTCTTGGCTCAGAGCAAGCCATTAATATAACAGTACCGCTTAGCATGCACAGAGTGTGCCTGGCTTTCAATTACCTAATTGGATCCCCTTTACGTTTCTGAGGCATGAACAGTAAAGGCAGCATTACCACTGCTTTATGGAAGGGGAAACTGAGAACCAGGGAGGAAAAGTGAATTGCCCCAAGGTCACACAGATCCTTAAAGACAGAGTAAAGGCTAGAATCCAGGGGCTCTAGTTCCTTCTCTAATGTACTCTTAATATTCTGCTCTGTTTCATAAACACAAAGACTGAAACATGACATATATGAATCAAATAGAATAACATGCTTAGACAAAGCATGCGGATTATTAACACAAGGATGGGCCCATGAGGTGCTTGAACTTAGTAACTAATCCTTCTTTCATTAATCTCGTTAGCATTCTATTGTGAACTTTGTGCGTCCAAGTGCCATGTGTGATACTCTGTGATTTATATGCATGATCTTATTTCATCCTCAGGGTAACCCATGAAATAAGTGATATTAACTCCATTTTACCAATAAGGACATGGAGGCTCCAAGAGGTTACATGTCATGCTTCATTCAGATAACAAACTCAGTTCCAAAGTGCATATCCTTAAATTGCTACTCAATTTGCTCTGACTTCTAGGGAGTTGGAAGACTGGCCTTCCCAGAGCAATCAAGAAAGAGGAGAAGCTACAAGGAGGGACAACGAGAAGGACTCACTGCAGGACGTGTAATTCCTCCAGCCAGTCACCGTAATCCCCTGAGTCTGGCAGGTGCTGGCGTAGTTCTGCAGCCAGCTGCAGGCGGTCTGCACCGCGCCCCCATCGATGCAAGAGTCAAACAGGCAGTTCTTATAGAAGAAGGTGGGGTTAACTTTGCTGTGACACTTGGAGAAGGCAGCGTTCTGGTTGGGGATCAGGCTGCACAGCTGCTGCACTTTGGAGAAACCTTCCACCTTGGCACAGGACGGACAGCGGTCCCCACAGCCCACCTGGCAGAAGGTGTCCCTCTTCACCCAGCTCTGCCCAAACTCATTGACACTCGATGCAAGCAGACCCATGGGCATCTCCAGGTCATCATCAGGGTTGCCGTTGTAGCGGCCACACAGACCATAGGTGCTGTTCTGCATGCTCCGAGGGACTGTGATGGACAGGAAGGTCTTCCAGTCATATACAACCTTCAGGCCAAAATCAGTTTCCACCACCACGTGGAAGCCAAAGGAAAAGATATTTATCTTCCCTTGCCCCAGCTTCAGGGGCAGATAGAGCCGTTCACTGTTGACCTGTAAGAGGAGAGATGAGGTGGAGAAACACAGTTGGCCCAGAGATTTCCCAGCTCTTCTCCTAACGATGAGTCTCTTGAAAGACAAGTCCCAGAGGGAAGTTTGAGCAGGTTGAATGCAGTCTTTGCATGTACTGTTGTTTATGTCAGTCAACTATTATGATTAAGATTTGAACAGACGCAAATGACTATCCTTGGTACACTAATATACCTATTTATTTCAGTGCCTTCTGTTTACATAGCATTATTTCCCCCAGGAGTTCAAATTGTTTTCTCCAAGGTAATGTAAAGGTAATAAGAATTCAATTAAAGTTTAGACTGAACTACCAAAACATAGAACTCTTGTGTTTCTATTTCTAGCTCTACCATGGAATTTATTTTAGGCAAGCCCCAGTGTACTAATTCCTTCGAGATTTCTTTTTTCTTGAAGGATGGCTTCACTTTGCTGTTCCCTCTGTCTGAAATGCCACTCTCCACCCATCAACATCCCTCTCATCCTCCAGACCCTGCTCCAATGTCACCTCTTCTGTAAGTCAAGATTTTCTGAGCCCGTGGTCAGAATTAATTACTCCCTTGTCTGGGTAACCAGGGCAGGTTATTTATACTTCTCTTGTATTCCTCTCTACCGCTGGCCAGGATCAAGCCTGCATACACTGTATTGCAGCACACATCACAGTCTGCCTTATGTTACGGCTGGGTGTACGCTCTTCCATCTCACCTACAAGATTATGGGCAACTTGAGGGCAGGAACCACATTTTATTGATCTTTATGCCCACCTTCCCCTCATTACCCCCCAGGCACCCAGCACGATGTCTCCCATGGAGGGGGCACTTGACATATGTTTCCTCCCACATATTTTTAAATTCAGACAAGAGGGAAATCCCTTAACAGTAAACTCCAGGACTGCACTGCCCTTGAACTATTTTGATTCAGAGGAGCCAAATCCTATAGCCTGTGGCTGGGTTAGTGCATGATGGAAGATAGAGACAGCCAGCTTGCTCACTGCAGCAACGGCTCACAGGTGAGGTGGTTTGCCTTGTGGGAGAAGTAGGTGTTTTAAGATTGTTCTCTGACCAGAAATCCCTTCCCCCAACCTCCTTCCTCTCTCTCTTAGCTGACAACCCTTTCCACGCCACTGCTCCTCCCTTGGTTCAGACTCTTATCACCTTTCACCTTGACTGTAGTGTACTCTCCTAACTTGTCCCCCTGGCCCCAGGATTGTCCCTCCATTCAGTCACTACCGCCACGCCAATAATCTTAATGCAATTGAAAGCAGTTAATCCAATACTGAAAGCCCTCTCCAGGGCTTGAGTAAAGTGTCTGATATGCTTAGCACATCACCCTGGGCTCTCTAGGAGCTGGCCCTGCCTCTCAGATCCACCCCATTGGCTTCCTGCACACCAGCAACACCGAACAGTTTGCAGTTCCCTAAATGAACCAAGCTGTGACATTCCACCCTGCCATTTCCTGTGCCGTGAGTGTGAAGGATGCTTTCCATGCTCCACCCAGGGCCCCTAACCCCAGGCCCTGCGTCTATGGGCTAATGATAACTCACAGCTGGCCTTGGCCCCATGGGAACCACTTTGCCCAGAAGATTCTGACCCCCTAATTCAAGGGTAGTCCTTGGCCAATGACTGGCTGACACTGGGAGTCAAGTGCCAGGGCTCCCAGTAGCCCAGGCTAAAGCTGGTCTGCACCTTGGACCACAGCCCTGCTGAGATCTCTTGCCCTGGTGCTATCCTCACTTTCCCAGGCTCTAGGGAACCTGACCTAAGACAACAGGGATGCCCTTGACCCCACCTTTGTCCTGGGGCAATGTTCACCCTTCAAAACTCAACTATCTGCTCTTCTGTGAGTATTTGTTGAGGCAGAATTCATACATTCATCCAGTAGACATTGATTTGGCACCACTGAGTGCCAGGCACTGTGCTAAAGGCTGGAATAAAGCACATACGGCCTTTCCCTAGGAGTTCCCAGGCACATGGCAGAGGCAAGTACACAGACAGATAACAATATCATGTGATAAAAGCAAAGATAGAGGTAAACAGATGCACAGGCACCAGCCTCAGCCTGGGCACAAGATCAGGGCTGCCTGCAGAAGACAATGCCCACACCTGGTCTCAAAGGAGGAGGAGGGGTTGGCTAGTCAAGAAGGAGTGGGAGTGAAGACAAGGGAATTCAAAGTAAAGGGCTCAGCCCCAGCAAAGCCCCAGGTAGATAAGGGAAAAATATCCTGATAAATATGAATAATTACAGCAATTTAGTGCTGCTGGGGCATAGAGTGTGGCTTGGGAGTGGTGGGAGATGAAAATGCACAGGTGGGGAGGGCCTGGATCATGAAGGGCCTTGTATCCCATACACACATGGCAAAGAGGCCCAAGAGATAAACCCTGCAAAACACCCATTCGTTTTGTAAAACAAAAACATCAGCAATCTTACTAAGAGAATTTAAGTAGGAAGATGAGGCCAGAATTTGGGTTGCAGAAGCAAATAGCAAATAAAGTAACAAACAGGAGATTCAGAAGCAGAGATGATGCTCTTAAGGAGTCTGACCAGAAAGGGGAGGAGAGAGATTGGATTGAAGCTAGTAGGGAATTGGGGGCAAGGCTTGTTTGAGAATGAGAATGTTTATGAGTTGAAGAGAAGGACCCTGTAGAAAGACACAGAAGGGAGAGGAGATGACAGAGGGCCAAGATTCCAGGGAAGGCAACAAAGAGGTGGCACAGGAAGAGCGGCCACGGGAGGAGAAGAGATGCCTCACTCTCGGCACCTGGAAGGGAGGAGGTGGAGAGGTGCAGTGACAGTCATTTAAGTGACAGGGTGCATGGAGGGTGAGAGGAGGAGTGAGATCAGGCCATGGAGACTCTGATCTGTCCTGAAAGCTCACAGCGAATAAAGTAAAAGCCTTGCACTCAGAGGCCGATCGGTGCCAGCTGGCTTTTCTTCCTAAGTTACCTTGCATTCTATATCCCTGGCTACCTGATGTCACTCAGGAGGCAATGCCTTGAGGAGGCAATATAATTGGATGAAGCTAAAAGGCTTGCAAATTCTGCCATTGCCAAGGAGAGCCCTGAGACAGGAACACCCTCTACTCAGACAGGCTCGGCTTCTCTGTGTCTCAGAAACCCCACGCATGCTGCCTCCACCCTGGCACCACTGCCCTGCCTCTCTCTCTGTGAGTGAGAAATGGAGGAAAAGAGGGAGCTCAGAGGCAGGAGGTCAGAGGAAAAGAGAGAGGCTAGAATGGCAACAGGCTTGATGGATGGAGGAGGAAGTCGCAGAAGACGATGAGAAGGTATGGGAGGAGTGGGGGAAAGTGTATTTCAAATATTTAAGTATTGGAAATAAGACCACATATTAGAGTTTTTGGAGAGAGTTTTCCTTTAAACAACAGACCTTGACCTAGTTCTCCAGCAAGGTCTTCTGCAGCAAAGTCTCCTTGCATCCCTCACTTTACTACCCACCTTGAGTCTGCACCAATATTTCCTTTTCCTAGACACCCTCACCTCATTCCTGGCCTGGCAAGTGTAATCCTCCAGGCCTCAGCTCTGGGTCTCCTCTTCCAGGAAGCTCTCCCTAAGGTTCTCCTGGCTGATTTAGGTAACCCCTCCTCTGTGCTCTCACACCCTCCATGAGCAACATTTTTGCAGCACTTCATGTTACATGGACATTAACTGCCAATGTCTGTCTCTTGCGCTAGACTCTAAGCTCTCTTAGGACAGAGGCCATGTTTGATTCATTTTTCTACCCCGAGGACTTGGTAGAGAACAGACATCAATACAAGCTCATGATACTAAACCAAGCCAGAGTGATGCCCAAAACCCTACTCTTCTCTGATGGCCACCTGACTGGCAATAAGTGATAAAGACACAGGCTATTAGAGCCCTGAAAACCTCCCTGTTGGCCTGAACCATGTCAGACTTGGCTGCGATGAAGCCTGAGGGTGGGGGCAGGAGAGAGGCAGTCTCTGTTGAGCCCTGGCTGTGGATGGCTGAGATGGGCTATGGCGGTGCCCCCAGGAGTGGCTCACCTTCTGCAGCTCACCCCCCTACCCTGTCTGGTCTATAGATAGCACATTTATTTCTAGCTTCTCTTGGCTTAGTGGATTTTCCCATGTCCTGTGGTGCTGCTCAATGCAGGGAAAGGTCAGAGTCATAGAAGGACCCTGTGTCCCAAGGAAGCACTTTCATATCACCCTCCATTTCTAAGGGCCACAGCAGTGACCTGCACTGTGGGCTGTGTTTTACCCAGCACTTCATTTCACACTGTCATCCTGATGGCCATTATTCTTCAGGCTCAGGGAGAGATGGTGACTAATAATAACATCATGGGAAAACAAATGCAAATCATTGAATAAGCAGATCCTGCAATGCATTTTAATAATCCGAAGTAACTGTTAAATCTAGCCTCCATACCTCAGAAGAAAAGAACCCTCAATGCACCCTGAGCTTGGTCTTCTTGTCAAGAGTTTGAAAGCTGTATACTCTGTTTCCAACTTGCTTAGAAAGAAGTGCCCTAGCAAGGAGTCCCCTCACCTCTTTAATCCATTTCTCCTTGATGCTCATTGTCTCCAATGACCCCCTATTGTGGGTTACACTGTGTCCCCCCAAAAGAAATGTTGAGGCCTTAACCCCCAGTACCTGTGAATGCACTTACTTGGAAATAGGGGCTTTGTAGATGTAATCAAGTTAAGATGAGGTCACACTGGATTAGGTGGGGCTAACTCCAATGAACGGTGTACTTAAAAGGAGAAGGAGATTTGGACACAGAGAAAACAGAAGACACAGAGGGAAAGAGGCCATGTAAAGGCGGAGGCAGAGACTGGAGTTTATGCTGCCACAAGGTGACGAACATTGAGGATTGCCCACAGCCGCCAGAAGCTAGGAGAGAGGCAGGGGGTGGTGCTTCCCGAGGACCTCACGGGGAGTGTGAACCTGCTGCCACCTTGACTTTGGACTTACACCCTCCAGAACTGTGAGAGAACGAGTTTCTGTGGTTTTAGGCCGCCCAGTCTGTGGTATTTCATTATGGCAGCCCTTAATAAACTAATTCACACCTCCCCTCTCCACCTCTCTGTGAGGAAGAAGTCAGCTGTGTGGTTCTCCAGGCTTGGGACTTCAGCAATAAGTGCATCTCGTGAGATTGGGGCAGAGCACATGCCTGGAGGGAGAGCTAACCCACTGGGGGCTTAACCCTAAAGTAGAGGGAAAGGGAAGGAAATGCCTAGAGACAGTGGGGAGTCGGTTATTGTGAAGGAGAGGGAAGGGTAGCATGAAAGAAGAGTAGGTGCTCACGAGGACCCCACAGTCTATACATGAAAAGAACTGGGAGGATGTCTGAAACCAACATGCGTAGCCTCAGATGTTGCGGTACCTAAATGCAGAGAGTGTGTAACACAAGGCAGAAAACACAATTCATCATAAACTAGATGAGACAGGACCCATGAAGAGATTACATTTTAAAAGAAAAGAAAAACGTGAAAGGCAGAAAGGCCAAAGAGCACCGAATGTCAAGGAGATAAGTAACTGCATGAAAACACCTAAATCTAAGGGTGGAAATATATCACATAAGGAAACAAAGAGTAAAGGACAAATATGATGCGAGCAACGTGGGCAAAACGATCGATATATTTGTTTTAACATTAAGATGAAAATGGATAGAGGGAAGTTGTTGTAATGGGTAGCTTTGACTATCCAAACATCTAGAAATCTTATGTGGCTAAAAGCCAAGCCTCTGACACACTCCTAACTTGCCTCAGTGGCAATATAACCTCTCAGATCGTTGAAGCAGTACTGTGACAAAATCATGGGAACCCTGGAAGAAAGCGGTTATTTGTATCATTTCATTCATTATTTTTTTTTTTTTGAGACAGAGTCTTGCTCTGTCGTCCAGGCTGGAGTGCAATGGCGCAATCTTGCCTCACTGCAATCTCCGCCTCCTGGGTTCAAGCAATTCTCTGTCTCAGCCTCCCTAGTAGCTGGGATTACAGGTGTCTGCCACCACAGCTGGCTAATTTTTATATTTTTAATAGAGACGGGCTTTCACCATCTTGGCCAGGCTGGTCTTGAACTCTTGACCTTGTGATCCACCTGCCTTGGCCTCCCAAAATGCTGGGATTACAGACATGAGCCACCGTGCTCAGCCTCACTCATTCATTTGACCAGTGTTTCCAGTGTCACTAGGTGCAGGGGGCTGCCCATTCATTCAACATAAAGATGAATTAGGTATGTATGGTTCCTGCCCTTAAGAAGCCCATGATTAGAAGTGAGAACACTTTAGACATGAAGATCACGAAAAATACAGCCTGATGAATGTAATAATGGCTACTGGAATAAACTGTTAGGAGGAGCAGAGAGGAAAACAACTGGGATTTAGGTTTGTGGTGTGCAAGCAAGGGAAGAGGACGACACAGTGAAATTGCTTCCTTGGATGATAAAAAGGCAGACTTCCAATAAACATGAAAGATAATTCAAGAGGCTTGGGAATCTCTCTTTGTCAGAGAAGAAAGTTGAGGAAATCCCGAGGCAGGAAAAGAAGTCAGTATAGTTGCCCAGGGAACTCTTTAGTTAGGTTTAGATAGTTTAGTTCAGTATAGCTCAGAATTTTTAAGAGAATGTATACAAGATGAAAAGGAGTCCCTTTAGAGATAGAAAAATTATGACACAGACCTGTGATAATAATGTCAAGAAGGCAAGCACCCTAAATCAGCTCCCTAAAATGCTAAAGCAGAGGCTGCTGGCTTGATTGTTAGCATTTCAAGTCATGTGCAGAGCAGGACCCTGGAGAAAGAATAGCTGGGCCTGTGGCTGGAGCTGATGTCTGCAGGCCAGACGAGGAGTGCACAGAGCTCCTCAGCCTCAGCCCTGCTGCTCCTGTCTTCATGGCCAAGGAAGTGCTCTTTGGGTGAAAAGGGTGGGAAGCTTAGAAAGAGGGAGTTGAAGCCCAAGTGAGTAAAGGGATTGTAGGAGAGCCCCGAGTCCTCCAAATGCGTGTGAGACTCATGAACTCACAGATCCCTTGGGAGCCAAAAGGGACCAGGAGAGACGGAGGGAGGCCAGAAAAGGTGAATATCACCCTGATCTCAAAAAAGGGAAGTGGGTGGACAAGGACAATAGCATCAGTTAGGGAGGCCTAGTCTGTGCAAGGTAGGCATTTCTTTTACAGATGGAGTGGCCAAGCTAGGAGGTTAAGTGACTGCCTGAGGTCACACAGCAGCCACCAAGCAGGGATGCTAACCTCGGTCTGTGCTCTCTCCAGCATGCTCTGCTGCCATACGAAAGGCACTGCTTCCAGAGCTGGCTCTGCCTCCTAACTTGGTGTATGTGACTTGGGCAAATCATTTTTTTCTCTGAGCCTCTGTTTCCTTCTCTGTAAGATGAAGTGACAGAAAATCTCTAGGGCCTCTCTCTGCTTTAATATACTAAGATTTTCTTTGGATTCCGGACCTGCCTGATTCAGCTGCAGCCTGGCTTGCCGACCCCATCCTGACGTCTCCACGATTCCCCTTTTGAGGGGACCTCATGACTACTCACCAGCACAGTGTGCTTGTAAGCTCGGTGGATCACGATGCTGTAGCCAAACACGGTCACGTCCACCTGCTTAACCCACAAGGCCAGTGACGGGTCCCGGTCCTCATTCTTGGCTGTGACAACAAACTTGGGGAAAGAGTCTGAGCTTGGCCTGCTTCCTGTGGTGCACAGGATGAGTGGGCAGCTGGTCTGGAAGTCAAAGGGGAAGCCATCAAAGGTGAGGTAGTGGCCGTAGCCTGAGACGATGCAGGAGGCGTCGGTGCGGGCTTGGCAGTAGTACAGGCCACCTTCCTCCATGCAGTACTCATCATCCTTGCAGGGAATGGTCTCGCAGTGGACCCTGTTGTCTGTGCCACTGCAATAGCAGAAGATCTGGCAGTCCAGGTCCACCCAGAAGGTCTCATTGGTGGCAAGTTGGTGCCCCTCAAAGTTGCAGCCACACTCACTCCGCGTGACACACTGGCTGCCCAGTAGAGCATAGCCCTCATCACACTGACATCCCTCAGAGCAGCTATCCACGCAGATGGGGCCCAGGGTAAGGGTCTCACAGGTCTCTGTACATGTGATGCACTCCTCAAAGTGGCTGTTCTCTGGGCACTCCAGTGCTGCAGGTGGTCAAGGAGAAGACGGGTTTGAGAAAAGGACAAAAGTCAGAGACAGAAGTGTGCGTGCATGCATGTGTGTATGAGTGCATGTGTGTTTGTGAGTGCATGTGCGTGTGTGCATGCATGCATTTGTGTATGCATGCATTTGTGCATGCATGTGTGTGTGCACGTGCGTGTGTGCGAGTGCATGTGTGTGCATGCATGTGTGCGAGTGCGTGTGTGTACGTATGAGTGCCTGTGTGTGCACACATCTGTGCATGCGAGTGTGCATGTGCACGTGTGTGTGCATGTGAGTATCCATGTGTGTGATTGCATGTGTGTGCCTCTGTATATGTGTGTGGTCTTATTTGCACAGTACAGTGAGCTGTAGTCATCCTCATTTGGGAGATCCAAGTCCCAGTGGCACCCCTTCATTCACACACTCTGCTAGGGCACCTAGCTTTCCACATAGAAGGTTTTGAGTCTAAGACCCAGAATTGAGCACCTGCGACATGCCAGGCACTGTCCTAGGCACTTTTGTGTACCTTATCTCAACAACCTGGAAAGTAAGGTAAATCTTATCATTCTTATCTTACAGGTGAGGAAACTGAAGTTCAATGATTTAAATAAATCTAACTAGTAAGTGCCAGAGTGAGATTTAATCTGGGTCCACTGACTCAAAGACTCTGGAGAGGGAGCATTGTATGTTTTGGGACCACAGAGACCTGTGGATGCTGCTAACTTAACTTTGGGATGTTATTTCATGTCTTCAGAGCTTCTGTTTCCTCTTTCATTAAGTATGAACCACATTTAGCTAGCACGGTTGTTTTGAGGGTTAATAATCTAATCTATCAAGAGGGTCTCCATCAATGGTATGCCTTGCTCCTCTTTGTACCTCCTTCTATTACACAGACAGGCTATATGTAGGTATTTTTACTCTGCAAATTGGCTTGTAGACTCTCCCTTTGTCTTTCATTTCTCTGTTCCTGGTGCCCTCTGGCCTCGTCCACCTCCTCATCATTCTCTGCAAAGGAGGTCATCACCCCGCAGCCCCTTTGCTCATGCGCTTTCCCCTTCCTGGACAGCCCCCCACCCACAAAGCCAAGTCCCACCCATCCTTCAAGTCTCACTTCAAATTGCCCATCTTCCCAGAAGCCTTCCTTGAAAGATCAAGACTCTTGGTCAAAAAGCACAGCACACACTTGTAAATCCCAGCACTTTGGGAGGCTGAGGCGGGTGGATCACCTGAGGTCAGGAGTTCAAGACAGCCTGGCCAACATGGTGAAACCCCATCTCTACTAAAAATACAAAAAAAATTAGCCAGGCGTGGTGGTACACACCTGTAATCTAAGCTACTCGGGAGGCTGAGGCTCTAGAATCGCTCGAACCTGGGAGGTGGCAGTTGCAGTGAGCAGAGATTGCGCCACTGTACTCCAGCCTGGGTGACAGAGCGAGACTCCGTCTGGAGAAAAAAAAAAAGCACATAAAATGATAATACCACGGGATACTCACCATGTAGTGGTAGGCATACTTCCTATTTCTCACTATTACTTTAATGGGTCACAATTTGCCAGAGGCAGGGACAGAACTCAGGAGCACAGAAGAAGCCTCCTACAAGTCTGTGCGATCTAAAGATCAGCGAAGTCCCCACCATCTTCTGGGAAAATAAGATCTCGCCTTTAAAACTTTCTTTGGCTCGTATACATACCATCACTCCTTAATACTGTTTTACAATCCAAGGACACGGAGGACATTACAGAGAAATAAATTGCATGGCAATAATAGTTCTGCCCACAAGTACCGATACAACAGTTCTGCACTGTGGACTGAAAGCCAATCATTTTTTCCTCTGCGCTAAAGGACTATCTCCACTCCCATTGACTACAATACCACACGGCTTTGGAGTTGAAGGCTAGTTCAGCACTGATTATATATGTCTGTGTAGAGGGATTTTCACATTTGTCTTTAAATTATGAATGTTCTAACACTGACTGCAGATTTATGGTGATAGCAAATAACATGACTTATTTAAATGGCTCTCACTTTATGACTTATTGTGTTGTCTGAATTTGTCTGAAAGTCTGGAACACACAGACGTGGAGTAATAGAACTTCCCCTAGGCCCCGGAATGCCTGTGTGAAATTATTTAATTGGGCAGCCTGGCTCTGCCAACAGGAGGGCCAGTTAAAAATATCTGAACACAGAGGCAGCAGTTGTCTCTCTAGGTTCAAAGAAGATTGTGTTCCTGATTCACAGCTGTCATCCAGTTTGATCCCCACCATGCAAGACTCCGACCAGATTAATCCCTTAGTGCTCGGCGGCCTGACGAATCAAGTGCGTGCTATCCAGTGCTACTCGCCAGAACCATGTGCACAAGATCTAGATAAGACATCCTGGGGGACATCTCAAGTAGGAGCCCTGGCCCTCAGCCCAAGAAAGCCATGTTCCATGTGACTGCTTCTGCCCACATCTTCCCTAAAAAAGACACTGATAAGAGCTTCCTCCAGGTCTGCTGGCCCAGATGAGGGATAGTGAGAAGCTTTTCTCAGTAGCTGTCACATGCAGGGAAACAGGGAATATCACCATCACGCCCTGCTAACTTGGCACACACGACGCTACCAAACTGTGCTCCATGCAGCACAAAAATAACTCAAACATCCCCTGCCAGGTAGGAGTTAGCAGTCTAAAAGGACGGCACTGAAATGGCCTGGCAACAGAACAGATTTGGTATAGGGGAGACTCGGCAATCCTGTAGCATGAATGAAATACAACTGGGAGGCTCAATGTGGGAGCAGAAACAGAGATCGTGTTGGATAAGCTGGAGATAGGACAAAAGAGGATATAGGGAGGTGGATGAAAAAAAAAAAGACTTTGGGAAAGTATGATAAGGTCCCACCGGATGTGGTGGCCGACAGAAGCCGTGGAGGCTCTCCTGCTGTAGGTAGCTCTGGAGTCCCAGCATCTGCTATTAGTCCCTCCCCGGGGGCTCACCAGGGACACAACTGCCCTTCTGAGATGACAACCACTAAGCTCTCCACATGCTCCTTGGATTTCCCAAGGTCAGGAATCATAGAGTTAAAAAGAAGTGTGTGCGTGTGTGTGTGTGTGTGTGTGTGGTGTTGGTTTTCAGCTCCGTCTGTTGAAAGGACCTAGAGGCAAAGCAAAGATGCCCCAACAGCAACAGGGACACCTCCCTTACATCTTGGTTTCTAATAACATTCCCCACTCACCAGGGCTTCTTGGAGTCAAGCTGATTCCAGCATGGGGCAGGGAAGATTAAAAGATGAGCGCGAAGCACCCTGTTATGCCAAAAGGAAGAAAGTGCTCAAAAAAAATGACAGAGGCATGCTGAAGGGACACAGGAGCCAGCTTGAAGGAGATCCTACAGGCCAATCCAGAGCAATTTTAACACCAAAAATAATTAATACATGGAAGATGAAATATAGATGAAATATAGACCACTGGAAAAAACAGGCATCCATGTCCAGATTGATAAGATGACCGATAGACAGACAGATAGACTGACAGACAGGATATTTGCACACTCTTAAAGTATTTCCCCATGGGTTGCTTATTAGTTGCAAGGGAAAGCTCACAGTGACTCTGCAGCAGAGACATTTGCTAACACCTTGACCAGGGAATCAACATGCACATCACCAATGAGGGGAGGCTGGACAAGATCGTGCTTCCGTGTGTGCTGTGATTCCATGAGAAAAACCACATGGCACCTGCCCGGGAGGCTGAGTGGAGATGCACAGCTGAAGATCCTCAGGATGGAACATCAACCCCAATGGAGGGTCATTCTGTTTATGGAGGATCATTCTGTTTCAAAAGGCAGGGAGGCTGTGTTCTTCAAAAATGCCCATATCAGAAAAGACAAAGAAAACTAAGTCATTGTTCCAGATTAAAGGAGACTAAAGAGACACGACAATGAAATGCAACGTGTGATTCTAAATTAGGTCTGTACTGAGTTCCCCATCCTGGCACCCCAAAAGAACCGTAAAGAACATTGCTCAGTCAACTGACAAAATTGGAATATGGATGTTAAATTACTATATCAATGTTAAATTTCCTAAGGTTGAAAACTGTACTGTGGTTATGTATATAAATGCCCCTACTCTAAGGAAATACATACTGAAGTTTTACGGGTAATGAGGCATGAAGTCTGCAACTCACTCTCACATGAAGGGCAGGGAGGGAGGAAGGAAGAGACAGGGAAAGGGAGGGAATGATAAAACAAATGAACAAATGTTATTAATAGGTTAATCTGGGCAATGAGTTTACAGGTGTTCTCTTATGTAGTTTTGAAATTATTTCAAAATAAGAAGCTAAGAAAATAAGCAAACAGGAGGAAATACAATGGGCCAGGTTTCTCACTCTCAGATAAAAGAAACTAAAAAATGGAAAACTGGCCGGGCGTGGTGGCTCACGCCTGTAATCCCAGCACCTTAGGACACCAAGGTGGGTGGATCACGAGGTCAGGAGTTCAAGACCAGCCTGGCCAAGATGGTGAAACCCCCGTCTCTACTAAAAACACACACACACAAAAAAAATTAGCCAGGTGCAGTGGCAGGCACCTGTAATCTCAGTTACTCGGGAGGCTGAGGTAGAAGAATTGCTTGAACCTGGTGGGGGCAGAGGTTGCAGTGAGCTGAGGTCATGCCACTGCACTCCAGCCTGGGTGAGAGAGTGAGACTCCATCTCAAAAAAAATTAAAAAAGGAAAACTAGAAAACTCTGCGGTATTGGACTGAAACTGTAGGTTCAGTATGAACTCATGGTGAGATAGAGACAGAAACAGATAAAAAGAGAGAGTAACACACCTAGCTACATAAAAATGTGTATGGAGGGTGTGTATAGGCACATACATGCACTTCCTCACTCTCTCCACTAAGGAATGCTAGAATCAATGACACTCTAGGAAGAACGGGCACACCTGACACCCAGATCCTATCTCCTCAACACTACGCTCCACTCGAAGGAACCAGAGATCCTTGGAGAAATGGCTAATCCAAGGCTAGAGCAGAGAAAGTACAAGATGAGCCCGGAGTACATCGTGCCTCGTGGAAAGCAACGAATGATGAAGCAAATGTCAACAGAAACCATTGCTGGAGGGGACTCCCACTGGCCGTATATGGAACAATTTGAGCATAAAACAAATTATGATAACAGATACAATCGGTTAAGTAGGAATCCATGAGTCATCTAAACAAATAAAAAGAAACAAATGGGTGAAAAGGACATCTCTTTACAGTAGAATGCCAACTAATGAATGCAGGAGCCATTGAATTAGAAAAAAATTGCCATTTCACAAACAGTAATAAATGATTCAGACAAAAATCATCACTGGATACTAAATCTAGTGTATGCAAGTTCAAGGAATAGAATAGCTACCTAAATTTAAAGTATTTCCCTGAAAAATATGTATTAATTATATGATTAAAAAACAGTAACTTTCAATGGAGAAATCTGACAGACACTACCTTAAGCAAGCGATCGAATCTATCATGCTCAGTGTAACGGGACAAACCAACATCAGAGGCCTCCAGATATGACACATTGAGAAGACGCATCATTGCTTTTGTGGTATTCCTGCCAAAAATGCATAATTTCAATGGAACCAGGAAGAAATATAAGCCAACTCAAACTGAGAAACAGTCTGCAAAATAACTGGCCTGTACTCTTCAAGAACGCTAAGACAATGAAAGTCAAAGACTGAGGACCTACTCCAGATTAAAGGCGTCTACAGAGACATCATAATAAGATGCAACATGTGATCCTGGATTGGATTCCAGGGTTTGTTTTTTGTTTTGGCTGTAAAAGACATTATTGGAACCACTAACAAAATATGAACATGGTCTTCAGATTACATAATAGTATTGTATCAATGGCAATATCCTGATTTTAATGATTATGTTATGGTCATATAAATGTGCTTATTCTTAGGAAACACACTGAAATATTTAGGTACAAACAGGCATAATGACAGCAACTTACTCTCAAGTGGTTTAGAAAAAGAGTGAGTATATTTTCAGAGACAAAATTAGAAAGAAAATGTGTTACAATGTTAACGATTCGGGAATCTGAGAGAATGGTAGACTGTCTTATTCCTGCAACTTTTCTGTAAGTCTAAAATTATTTCAAATTAAAAAATACTTTTGCCAATTAAAAACGGAGGACAGATAAATAGCCGTCAGGGATGAATCCTTTTTTTTTTTTTTTTTTTTTTGAGATGGAGTCTTGCTCTGTCGCCCAGGCTGGAGTGCAGTGGCGTGATCTGGGCTCACTGCAAGCTCCGCAGCCCAGGTACAAGCGATTCTCCTGCCTCAGCCTTCCAAATAGTTGGGACCACAGGCCCCCGCCACCACGCCCGGCTAATTTTTTGTATTTTTAGTAGAGACAGGGTTTCCCCATGTTAGCCAGGATGGTCTCGATCTCCTGACCTCGTGATCCACCTGCCTTTGCCTCCCAAAGTGCTGGGATTCCAGGCGTGAGCCACCATGCCCGGCCGGGGATGGAATCTTAATGGTGGCCTTGGCTTTGGTGTGGGGCCCACCTTTGTGGTGGGAGAGGGTTGTGTGCTGAAGGCCAGATGAGGCAGTTCTTGCTCCACGAGTGAGTCCTGCTTTCTGCCATGTTACTTCTCCCTGTGGCTTCCCTGATAATCAAGGGTGTTACGTATCAGGTCTTCCCAGAAAGTTTTCTAATTACTACTAGTACTTGCCACTGCATTGCTGAGAGGGGTCAGATACTTTCGGGACAAAATTAAAAGCCAGCAACACAGGACTCTCTTAATACCCATTGTCAGGTTTGCCCTGGGGAGCATGCTAATCTCCATGCCCCAAAGGTGCCCTGGCCGATCACTTCCTATCAAAATCAATGGGGCTCTTCTTTGCCAAGGGAGAAGGCACCTACAGAGCCATCACAAAGATTTCTAGTCCTTTGACATGGTGCCTCTACCCTCTGCTAGATAAAACCACATGCAAATAGGATGGTTAATTGTTCTGCAGTGAGGAGGTACTGTGCAGTTAGGAAAAAAAGTAAAGATGAGAGGCTCTCCGGTTTGGGGTGATGAGTCTTTGGGAGGACACATCAGACTAGGGTAGGTATACACAGTAATTAACATCACCCTTGAGCTCAGTCCCACCTGGAAGGGAAGTCCTGAGTAAGGCCCAGCATGGCACCTATTTCCCAGCTAGAAAGCCTCTCCCAGAATCCAACCCCAACTTACGGCAGAAGTCATAGGTCCGCCAGGGCCCCACCTCCACGTCCGCATTCTTGCAGGCGCTTGCATACCGGGCCACAGAGTCACAGAGCTCTGACTCATTGCCCCCACTCTGGCACAGGCGGAAAAGGCAGGTGCGGTAATAGGCAGTGACGTTCACCACCCCATGGCACTCCAGGAAGGAGCTGTTGGAGGGGTCGTTGATGATGCCGCACCTGGAGCGGCTTCGATAAAACTTGAGCAGCTCCGAGTCATTGTTGCAGGCCTTCAGCAGGTCCCCACACTCTCCATTGCAGATCTCCTCGAAAGTTGTCCAGCTTTCCAGGAACACTGCCAGGTTGTCCGTGCACTTGCCGTTGGGGAGACAGAACTCGTCACTGGCGTTGGCATTGTAGAAGCCGCACAAGCCCCCTGTGCAATTGAAGTATGTGGTGGACAGCCGGATGTACAATAGACCTATGTCTGAGTACTGGACAGTCACCACGCCCTTGGACTCCACTGTCGTACTGTTTTTGTTTCGATAAATTTCCAGCTTCCCCGAAGGATGGAAAAAAGGCAATTCCACTTCCTGACCATTCAACTGAAAAATCAAGTCATTCTTATCAATTCCAGAGACACACAGAGCACTTTCCATTTCCTAGGCTGTGGGATAAAGACACGGTCTGCCCTATTGCTAGCCTTTTGAGAGAGGTCAAGAAGCTGATGGAACCCACAAAGATACCAACCGATTTGTCATGGGCTTCTTTATTTATTTCTTTTTGGATTCCCCTGATTAGACCCATTTGCTGTTTATTTGTGTGTTCTGGACCCAAAGCTAGCCCAAAACAAACGAAACTAAAGTGTGAGCAAAAATCGTCTTAGATACGTGGCTCCCTCCTGCCGCCTGGCATCTCTGTTTTGGTACCTTTCAAAATAGCTCCCCTCCTTCCCTGCCTTTCTGGCTGCTTTTCTCTTCCAGTCTTACTTTTTCTGTGTCCCAGCTCCTCGAGGGCACATAGCATATCTCTAATGATCTAGCTGTCCATTCTTCTATCTACTTCCTACTAGTCTATTAATAAATAAATCTCTGCCAATGTGGCAATGAGAATAAAAACACATCCCTTCCAGTTTGTGGATGCGTATTTTATTATCTCCTTGGGCAGTACTGTGTTGGCTTTTGTTTTCCAAACTAGACTTCAGGTGACATAAAATGCATGTTGCATCCCCGTTCTGCAACAATTAGCTGTGGGACCTTCACTTACCCTTTTAGTAAGTGTCTTCATGTGAAATGAGGAGTTGCACTAGATAATTCTCAATATTCCTTCTAGAGCTAAGGATCTATAAGTCTGGGTGCCTAATGATGGGTTTTTCAGAGCAAGTCAGAGGGGTGGGAGTCACCCCTTACATCACCCCACATAGACTGGCATGTATAGGTAGGGGAGTTAGTAGGGTGCAAGGGTTAAGAGCGCAGATTCTGGAGCCAGCCAGGCAGGTGTGAATCTCCCTTCACGGTTAGGTGTCCCTGTGGAAGTTACTTAGCCTCTCTGCTCCTCAGCTTTCTCATCTGTAAAATGAGGATCATAAGATGAAGTGTGATACTGCTTATAAGGGGCTTAGAATAGTGCTTGGCACATAGTAAGTGTTCTGTAAGTATTTGCTATTCCGGAGAGCTAGTCCTGCTCTATCTAATTGGAGAAATCCCAGCTGCATGCCATTTCTCCACCTGATAATTCTTATTTGGTGCAGATCATTAGAAAACGCTCCCGTTTGGAGCCATCTTCTTTCTAAAATCCACTCATAGGCAGAGGCAGAAAGGCAAACCTGAAGAGGATGGCGAGCTCCTCCTCCTGGCTGGACGTACCAGGAACCCCTCCAAAGGAGCAAGGAGCCTTACCTTGACTTCCGAAGCCCCGATGCCTCCTATCTTGACCTCCTGGTCGGCCACCAGGATCCGAAGTCCCCGCAGCCAAGCAGGTCCTGCATCGGGCTTCTTCTTGTTGATGTCGATTTCCAAGTACTCTGGGCGCTCAGGGCAGGTCTTCAGGAGGGTGTAGGAGAACTCGGAGGGGAAGGCGTAGGAGGCGCCGTCAAAGGTGTGCAGCACCTGGTTCTGGCTGAGCAGGCACACGGTCTCCCGCTTGGGGAAGCAGCCCTGGTAGCCGTCCTCCACGGCGCACACCTCCCCGCTGCCGCAGGTCTTGTTGAAGCAGTAGACGTCCCCGCCCTCCTCGCACAGGCATTGCACAGTGCAGTTGGCCGTGGCCCAGAAGAACTCCCCCATGGTGTAGTAGTGGCCGTCGAAGTCGCAGCCGCACTTGTGCAGAGGGACGCACTGGCTGGTGCTGAGGACGAAGCCCTGGTTGCACTCGCAGCCCTCTGTGCACGGCGTGGCGCAGTTCCGCGAGGCCGTCAGGTCGGAGCATGTGTCGGGGCAGCTGCTTGTGCACACGGAGTAGTGGCTGAAGCTCGGGCACTGCACTGTGGACACTGACGCGGGGAAAGGAAGAGAGCCGATAACAAGGTGAATGGACCCGGAGTGCTAACCCGCCAGAATCTTAACGCTCCTCCTGGATCATTTAGTTCCTAGAGTGAGGGTCAAGCGGCCACTCGGGGAAGACAGAATTGAGGTTGTATCTGTAAAACCCAGCTCAATGACTCTCCTAATAACTACTGAGCAGCATGATTGGACTGTGAACTTCTATTGGAATTTGATCATCTTGACTAAAATTAAACTTTCAGGATGCCATCCTTTCTAGACTACTGATTACCCAATATAGGTTTATTATTTGATGATCCACACTACCGAGATATTTTAAGACCTTCCACTGATGGACATATAAATTGATCTGATTTTAAAGAGCATGGTCCATTCTTAGAAGGAAATAAATCCAATTTTCAGGAGAAATGAAAAATGTAACCATTAGAGGAGTAATTTGAAAACGTGAAATTTGTAACAGGGAGGCACTTAAAATACCTAAGTGTGACCAAGGAAGGCTGTGGGGATGAATTCCCTGGGATATTAAAAATAAGAAAGCGCCCTGGCTACCTCCAAAGAATTCAAAGAATTTGTGTGGCTGTTTCTCCAGGAGACAAGGTAAGATGTCTTCTAAAGGCCCTTCTTGCCTTAGAAATCTTCGGTTCTTGCTTTAATAACATCTGGGTCTACATAAATGTTTGAGTCTGGTTGAATCCAACAAGCAGGGGCTCAGGGGCCTAGCAAACTAGCTCTCTGAATTAAACAGAGTCCATTGAGCCAGAAAAGAAAGCGAAATGTAGAGGATGGGAAAGTAGTGCCACTAGAAAATATATATCTGTGGCCATTGTAACATTTTAGTCAGGTAATTTGGATGCTCTTGTAAGGATCAAAGAGAAGCCATATTCAATCTCAACTTGAATCCAAATATGGATGCTCTGGTCATAAGAGAGGCTGGTCAGTCACACAGCAAGAATACAGTTGCTTGTATTGTAGTTTGACCAAAACTCTTAAGAATTGAACCTGATACATTATGGTTTATGTGACTCCAACTTATACTGATGGGAAGAATTCTCCCTCTAGCCTTGGAACTTAAAGAAACTTTTAAATCTTCTCACCTCCCTAGCACTCTCAAATGCATGGATTACAATTTTCTATTTACTCATATGGAGAAAACCAAGGACTAGGAAGGAAACGAAATCTATTTGTTTTTAAACTGTGTATAACTAGAAAAAGAAATAAATTTTAAGTGGGATACAGGGAAAAAGTACTAAGACAATTAAATGGTACAAAATGCTTAATCCAAAAGTGTAATTCAAAAGAGCCAGGATTTCCCTCAAAGTTGGGGCTTTTCCTAACCACTCCTAATATTTAAGAAAAAGGGCTTCTTTACTCATATGCTGTACTCCTCATCTGCAGCAGCAGCAGGGCACAAACCCTTAAGGGTCTGACAGTGGAGAAGAAAGTGCCAGGAACAATTGCTACAGGTTCCATGTGGAAGGTGACCTATTTTCCCAAGGGCTAGTTTTGATGACCCAGGCCCACAGCTGCATTAACTCAACAGCCACAAAAGTAGCCACCTCCACCTCTGGACAACCCACCTCCTCACTCAACTCTGGAGCTGCCGTCCCCTGCTGTGGGACTTCCTGCCATGCCTTTCATGTTTCCAGACCATGTATGTTCATCAATGGGTTCTTGTTTCCTGGTTGTGGTATTAGGTGGGGGCAAAAGTAAAGATCCTTTCACAATTCGTTCTTTGTAATTTGTGCAATTTCAACCTCCCCCTCATTCTTGGGTCACAAGTCTTAACAAGGACATTTGGAGGAGCCCCCAAAGCCTATCCCTGCCCCCTGCACAAGAGAGACCTGTCATGGGGATGGGATGCCAGCTTACCACACCCAGTCTGGGTTCGCCAGTCTCCAATTGGAATGCCAAGGGCTTGGCACACAAGAGCATAGGCCTGGATGGCTTGGCAGAGGAGCGTGCCATTGTCCCTCACACTGCACAGGTCATACACGCAGCTGTGCACAAAAGCAGTGGGGTCCACGACAGTGCCACACTCCCACAGAGGGCCGTCTGTCTTGTTGAGGAAGCCGCAGTAGTCAGAGCCAAAGTAGAGGGCTTCAGTGGCAGCGTCGCACTGGGTGCAGTTGTCGACGCAGCCGGAGTCGCACTTCCAGTCTGCGTGGTACACACGCCAGCTCTCTCCCAGATCCAGGACAGACATGGCCGGCCTGCCATCCGGGCGGAGGAAGTCATCCAGTGGGTTTTTATTATAGTTTCCACAGAGTCCACAGGTGGAGTTTATATAGGAGCCTGGGACGGAAATGGAGGCGTAGTGCTGGCCATCAAAAGTCACTAAGAGCCCAAAATCTGTTTCCACGGCAGTAGATATGCCACTCTGGTAGATTTTCACTGTCCCCAAGTCTAAGGTGACAGGCAAAGAAGTCACTAGGTCATTAACCTGCCAACAACAGTAATAGTGAAAGGCAGGTGAGCAGGTGCCCAGGCACTGGGTTCCAGCAGAGATCAGGAAAGGAAGGCAAAGCAACTCAACACTCCAGAGAGAATGGCCACCTAAACGGTCCAGGCTCCAGTGGGCTTCCCTCTGATTAAGGCAAAGGCCGGGGGGGAAATGGAGAGAGCTGCTTGTGGGCCAGCCCACGCACTGTGTATATGGGCTGTGATTGCTGTGGCATACAGAGTGCCACTACGGACTCCTCTGGGGACTGTGTGGTTGTCAACATTTCCTGGCTGGCTCTTGGCTAGCTTCATATCTTTTCTTCAAAGACCAGTCACCTCCCTTTTCCTCTGCATTCCTCTAAATATCCATTCTTTAAGTCTCAGCTTAAGTCATGCATTTTCCAGGACCCCCTTCCTGCCTTTAGTCCTCCTCACCCCACTCTCAGCTCGAGTGTGTGCTGGGTCCACTGCTGGACACCATTTAGCTTTGAGGCTGTCCTGATGTAGTATTCTCCAAGTGTTGTACTCTGTAACTTCCTTGTATCAGAACTACGTCATGTAACCATTCAACAACAACACAATTAAACACCTGCTAGGTACCAAGCACTATGTCAGGAACTGAGATGTAAAGGGTTAAAAAACATAATTGCCCCTGCCCCTCAAGGAGCCCTCAGTCTGCTGAAGAAGAGGGACATGCATCGATACTTACAGCATACTCTTTAACTGTGAGTCAATAGAGGATAAAATGGGAGAGCAGTAAATGAACATTGAATCCAGCATAGGGGAATCACATAAGTTTTTTAGAAGCAGTTAAGTCTAACCTGGGTCTTTAAAGATAAACAGAAGTGGCCAAAGGAAGAGTGGGGGAAGGGCAGAGAAATCCAGGACAAGAGAGCAGAGGCAGGAGGGTGAGGAACAGCTGGGTGGGGTTGGGGGGCAGACACTGAGGTGTTACTGGACTACAGAGGGAAGAGATGGCTGAAGATGAGGCTGGAGGTACAGGCAAGGTCCATTCATTCTACAAATACGCATTTATGCCTTTCTATGTACTTGGCACTGTTCTAAGAGTTGGGGATTAGCAGCAAGTGAAATGAACAGAAATCTCTGCCTCGTGGAACTTACATTTTAGCTGGGGAGACCAACAACAAGCAAAATAAATGAGTAAAACTCATGTCAGATGAGTGTTAATGCAGAAAAATAAAGAGCAGGAAATACTTTTCTAAAAAGTGCTAAGGAAAAGTGTTTCTAATTTTAAATAGGATGGTCAGGGAAGACTTCCTTGGGAAGGAGACATCTGAGATAAGGAAGAAATCCATGTGGTTATCTAGGGTGAGAGTGGCTCTTGAGGAGGGAACAGCAGCCCTAGGTTGGGAACATACCTGGGCACTCCCAGGATTACAAGGGGTGTAGGGGACGTGGCTGGAGAGAGACAGCAGGAGAGGGCAGCAATAGATGACGTCAGAGTGAGAAGAGCAGCCAGAACAAGCAGGGCCCGTCAGCCATTGTAAAGACTTTGGCTTTGACTCTGAGCAAGATGGAGAGCCCAGGGAGTGTTTAAAACAAAAAGTCCGCACGATCTGACTTCTGCTTTAAAAGAATTGCTCTGGCTTTTGTGTTGAGAACAGGTCTTGGAGGGCCTTTTAAGCCATGTTAAAAACAAAACAAAAGTTGGATTTCTATTCTGCAGGGAGAGCCCTTGAAGGCTTTTAAGCAAGGGAATGACATCACCAGATTTGTGTTTTAGAAAGCTCCTTCTGGCTAGCGTGAAGAAATTATTGAAGGAAGTTGAGATTAGAAACAGAGAAGCCAGACAGGCAACTGCTGCAGGAGTCCAGGGAGGTGATGAGGATGAAAGCCTAAACTAGCTGCAGACATGAGAGGGAGGGATGAGCTTATAGAACACACACAGCTGGACGTGGTGGTTTTGCAATGGGGCATGAGAAATGAGGGAATAATCAAGAGTGAGCCCCAGGCATCTAGTACGGGTGAGTAAGTGGCTTGATAAGCCTCAAAGAGAGAGAATTAATTTTCTTTTTCACACTTACTATGCCTAGCACCTATGGACATCCATGCTCATGGGCTGGAATGGAATGACTTGTCTTAGAACAGTCCTCGGTGGGCTTGACTATAAGTGCACATAAACTTTCCAGGGTGTCCTGGACCCACACTGATTTCTGGCACATGAGACTGTCTGGCACTCTTACCTGTCATCATTGTTGCTACTTTCTGAGTTGTCTAGGCGATGAGATGATGGTCTGAGCATCCCTTCCAAAATTTACCGTGGCAGGCGCCACATGCAGCTCTCTGTCTCTATAGATTAGTAGTTGGTCCTCACCAGAATCACCCTTAATGGTCCATTCACTACAATGTAGGCTTTTGCTAGAATGTACTTCAAAACTCTTCCAGCCTCTACCAATTACCCAAAGCTGCTACCATTTTTTTTTTTTTTTGAAACAGGGTCTTGCTCTGTCTCCCAGGCTGGAGTGCAGTGGCACAAACGTGGCTCACTGCAGCCTCAACCTCTCTGGCTCCAGTGATCCTCCCATCTCAGCCTCCTGAGTAGCTGGGACTACAGGTGCATGCCACAACACCTGGCTATTTTGGCTTTCTTTTTTTTTTTTTTTTTTTTTGGAGAGACAGGCTTTTGCCATGCTGCCCAGGGTGGTCTTGAACTCCTGAGCTCAAGCAATCTGCCCTCCTTGGCCTCCAAAAGTGCTGGGATTATAGGTGTGAGACGCCGTGCCCAGACTGCTACCACATTTTTAGGTATTTATTACAGCAGCACCCCACTCCTGGTACCAATCTTCTGTTTTAGTCTGTTTGGGCTGCTAGAGCAAAATACCATAAACTGGGTAGCTTATAAACAACTGAAATTTATTTCTCACAGTTCTGGAGGCTGGGAAGTATAAGGTCAGGGGGCTAGCAGATTCATTGTCTGGCGAGAGCCCACTTTCTGGTTCATAAATGGCACCTTCCAGCTGTGTTCACATATGGTGAAAGAAGAAATGAGCTCCCTCTGGCCTCCTTTCTAAGGGCACTAATCCCATTCATAAGGGCTCCACCCTCATGACATAATCACCTCCTCAAGGTCCCACCTCCTTATACCATCACCTTAGGAGTTAGAATTTCAACATATGAATTTTGAGGGGACACAAATATTTAGATCATAGCAATGGGGGAAGGGAATAAGAAAATAAGCTTGAGAAATAAACCATCCTGCAGAGAGCTAGAAGTAGAAAGAAAAACCAAGGAGTTGATTAATTTATTCTTGTCTCCTAGGTAGAGGGTTAGCCAACTCTTACTAGGTGACCTTGCCTATAATATGGCTTTTCCTACCCTAAGAAAAAAGGGAGAGAAGAGCCATATTATAGGGAAGGTCAGCTAGTAAGAGTGCTGAACACTTATCCATTGTTCTGTGCTGGTAAGTGGAAGGGGAAATCTTCCCCAATGTTGGTATAATTATGAATGTCAAATACGTCAACTGCTGAATGGGCTCCTCTGCTCTTACTTAAGCTCCTGCTAGCAAGGGACAAAGTCTTATTGTGTCCCAAAGCAGAAGCCATGGGGTAGGCTGGTTCTGGATATTTCTACAGTCCCCCCACCATCACAACCCTCAGGACGCCAGTTTCCCTGCCTCTGTTCTTGTCGCACTCAGGCTGACCTGACACCTGGGTGACTGTGGGTGTCAGTAATGTTCCAGTTGATACCTTTTTTTTTCTGGCATAAGTGATCATTGCACCCCCTTTCACTCTCCCTATAGAGTCATTGTGCTTGTGTCCCACAGTGCTTAGAGCAGGAGATCCCAGAGAACTCTTGTCCCCAAATGTAATTCCTTGCTTCATTCCTCTGACCCTGTCCTCAACCTATGGTTAGCAGACAGCTGATAAGCCTCGCCTGTTTGCTTGCTTTTCTTCTGCCTGCATTCTGGCCATTTCACTCTTCCACAGTACCTCTCCCAGGATGTGGGTAGGGGCAGGGGGAGGAGGAGAGAAGTGGAGTCACGGAGGCACAGGTCTTGGAACTGAAAGAAAGTTCCATGGGAATGGTCACAGGGAGCCAGCATGCACCGAGCACCTACTGTGTGCCAGGCTTTGTACTGGACATTGCCCTGTGGCTGTTCTATTTAATTCTCATAACAGCCTTAGGAGGTCCTTATCATTTTCTCCTTTTATAGATGAGGAAATTGAGGATGGGGGCTGGTGTGACTTGCAAGTGACAGAGCCTGACCCCTCCTAGTCGAGCTCCAAAGCCAGGTTCTCTCCACTTCTCCCTGCTGCCTGTATCCCAGTGCTGAGGAGAGGCCGCCAAGGCCAGCTACAGCCCAGGAGCTCTGCCTCCTAGAGGGCCCTGTCTCACAAAGAAAACGAAGCTCAAACAGGCCACTCAGCTGGCAGTGGTGGCATAGGAATTTGAACAGGTCCAGCCCTAGAGTCCAAGCTGCTCATCGCCATGGGCTAGTTGGCCTTGGCTCCCTGTTCACTGGAGCACCCTAAACTACTCGTGTTCACGCGGGGAAGAAAGATGAGAACTGGTATTAGCTAGAAGGAGGCGCTTTTTCTAGATGGATTTTTACTTATGCTGCCTTTTTTTGGTCCTACTGGTATATCTAATCCTAAACTGTTTATTTTGTTATTTGAGAACAGTTCAGTGGGGAAAATCCATGTACAGAACCCAGCTCCTAATCCCAGCATATGGAGACAGTGCTGGAGAAGGGGGGTCTGTGTTTTGGAAGAACAGATCTTAGTGGCCATTTCTGGTCTGGCACAGCATGGCTGAAGAAGTCAGCTGCCTCCCAGCATCTCAGGCTCCTTCCTGCTTCCCAGCCCTCTCCCTGCCTGTCCCCACATCACCCTGGGTCGGGGCTCTGCCATCCATCGAGCCAGTCTCCCCAGCAGGGCAGGTGTATTCAGAGACGCTTGGAAACCATTTGGCAAAAGGAAAAGGAAGCCATTGTTAGCTTGCAGTTGGAGTCACATAACCTTTTCTTTCTGAAACATTTACATTCACCCACATCGCCCTGTCGCTACAGAAAATTGAGGAATCCATGCCCTATGCTTGGACGATGGAACAGAGTCACGCAAAATTAGCAGAGCTGCTGGGCCTGAAAGAAATTACGGTGTCCCTTTCCTTCTAAAAAAAAAATCTGACTGAGAATAAAAAAGAATTTTAATCAAAATACAAAATAGGAATAAAGCATGAAGCCTTCTTTTTCAACTACTGATATACACATCATCCCCAAATACAGGAAAGTAGGGGGAAGCTAGTGAAAATTTTTTCTAGCTTGAAATGCCAGCATCTATCTACAAGGATAAGTATAGTGCTCAACAGCACAATATAAATTTAAAAGGGAAAATCTCCAAATTTCTATATCTAAACTCTTAGCCTTGATTTGATATACAGAGTTGTCCCTACAGAGACTAACCAAATAGCAAGCACACTGGCATTTCAACCACAGTAATAGCTCACTTTCCTCATAATGAGACTGATAAACTGCACAGACCTGGGAAAGGCAGAGCCAGAAAGAGTGGAATTAGTTCCCTGGCCCTGCCTTTTGTTGGACATGCTACATCAATTAAAACTACAACACATTTTTTTAAAAAAGAAATAAATCCCTGCATTGGCATCAGTTCTGGTTTGTAATCTCTGTAATGACCTCCATGCATGGGGATTAAGGATTGCACTGGGTTGCAGCAATCAGCCCCTTGTGGTCTTGGTTATTACTGCTTGAATAAATACACGGTTGCAACAAGGTCTTGATTAACATTATGAAAATTGGGGCCTGCACAAATTGAGTAATTGCTAGTAGCTTTTTGCTTTTTCTCTTTTGTTGATGTCCCTGCTTGAAATCCAGGTGGACAGTGACAGGAATCATTTGCATATGCTAAACTGGCCAGCAGATGCCCATGTTCTTCTCTGTTATTCTAGGTGGGAGTTGGGGACTCTATTCGAGGGGTGTCTGGGCAGAGCTTTCATGGGACTTTCCCACCCAAGCCTCACTAAGGAAGTCACCAAAGCCAATCCAGGTGCCTGCACAGGTGGTACCTCTGGAGACATCAATCCATTTGGAGGTTTCTCTGAAAATGAAGCAGCAGCTCTTGAGCAAACAGAATTGGGGCTGAGGTGGGGTGAGGATTATTAATCAAAGGCTGTAGTGAATTGGGGGTTTGTATTGTGTTTGTACCATCTCCAGGGCATGGCTATGTGGCTACAATTATTGCAAGCCAGGACCATGAGAAACTTATCTCTTTCCAGTTTTTCTGAACTGTGTGTGTGTGTGTGTGTGTGTGTGTGTGTGTGTGTGTGTGTGTGCCTATCAGTGTTTATGAGGGAACTAGGAATATAAATGTACTCTAAGTTTAAAAGCAGATAGACATGTTGAGGAGAGAGCTTAGGATAGCTCTTGTACACATAAAATTTGGCCCAGTAAAGTATTTTACAAGCTATTTGCAAGGCGGGGAGAGCTGTGCATCTCTTTGGCACTGTACAGAGACAAACAGCAGAACCAGTAGATCTGGGGAAGTCTTCCCTAGGCTGAAGAATCTCCAGCTTCTCCATTTCCCCGTGAAGGATAGAAAGGGGCTCACCTTGACTCTTCCATAGCTTCCTTTGGGGATGAGAATCTTGTAGCCATTCACCTCCACTGAGAGCTCCTTCACCCAGGAGACGGCTGAACCTCTGCGGTGTTCATTCTTGGCCTCCACACTGAAGAAAGGGAGGCTGGAAGTCTGCAAACACTGTCGGGCCAGCAAGTAGGCACAGGAGCCTTGGAAGTGGAAGAGGAAGCCGTCAAAAGTGTGGTAGTGTGGCTCCCCAAACACCACGCATGTGCTGGTCTCCACAGCGCTGCAGTAGAAGAATTTGCCTTTGGGTTCGCACACCTCGTAGGGGCTACAGGAAGCCTCCTGGCAGTAGATCTCATTGTTGAAATCCAGACAGCGGCACTTGACGGTGCAGTTCAAGTCATCCCAAAACACCTCCCCTCGCCGAAGGAATTGTCCTGGGGAATAATGACATTAGAGCCAACATTTACTGAGCATTTCCCCTCTGTGCCAGGCATTGGGCTAAATGCTTTACTTCCATTATACCATTTAATCCACGTAAGAACCCTGTTAGGGAGGTATGGTCACCCTCATTTGACAAATGAGGAAACTGAGCCTTAAGAGAAGTGAAGTAATTCATCCAGGATCACTCAGCAGCTCCGTGGTAAAGCCAGGATTCCGAGAGGAGTCTGTCTGAATCCCGTCTAAGCTCTTGGTATTATTATCTCCATGGCTGGTGAGCAAACTCACATTCAAGGAAAACCACGTTATCATGAATCCATGGAAAAGGGTATGACACTTGGAGTCATTTCCTGCCTTTCCTTCCGAAGGAAGACCCAGTTTACCCAGGTTACTCGGCAACACTCACTGTTTGCTTGCTAATTTGTTCATTCATTCAACAGACATTTGTTGGGGGCCCAGTATGTGCAGGAAAAGGTCAATAGCACTAATCAGGAGTCAGATGCATGAGTATAAATCCCAAACTCCCTGGGAAGGTTCTGGAAAGCACTGACCACTTTCTTGCACATTTAAAGGCTCATGAATCCTGCAGATGCTGCTTAGGCAGGATTTACACCTACACAAATTGTCTTCTTTCCCACTCTAGGGCCCTGTCCAAGTCCAGGACTTCTCTCTGTCTATGCACCGGACAGACCTTCTTGACAAATTCTAGGTCAGGAAGAGAATGAGGAAAGGGGAGGGGAATGGTTTAAAGGGATGTGATAATTTTAAAAACACTATTATTTCTTTGGTAGACATGCAGTCTTTAAAATCATTTCTGTAAATAAATGACCTCCCCACCAAAAAACTTTGAAATTTTCTGGTTGCTAACATCAACCTTTAATTGAAATAGAAACACGTCTGGGCTGGGGACTGTGATCTAGTCCTTGCTGGGGGATTGGGGTCAAGAGAACTGGGCAGCAGTCACAAATCTGCAATCCATTTCCAAGACTACTCATTCAACTTCCACCTGTCTGTTTTCCTAACCTGTAAAATGTGGATACTGCTGTTTCTCATCCCTGTCTCACAGAGAACAGCGATGTTATAAAAAAGTTGACACAGGTTGATAGAAGTAGAAGCACTTGTAAAATGAGAATGTCTGAAAAGGCAAGTATCAAAGACACAGCATTAAGAAATGTAAATAACATCTCAAGTTTTTATAAAACTGACTATCGAGTGAATAGCACAAGGCTGCAAGGTTAACCCAAGTTGAGGGTGCGGGTGTATCAGTAACAGTCTTGACTCTATCTGCCCAACAGGAACAATGATGTTTCAACAGGCAATTCCATTTTATACCTGTTGAGAATAGGGTTGAAAAATGAGAGAATAGATTTAGTCACATTCCCAATAAGTCATGTGCATCAGCCCTGAAAACAGGTCCTAATCCTCAGCACTCCTTGGCACTAGTTCAGGGCTGTATGTATTGTGACAGCCTCCACTCAGCATCATTTCCAGGCCCTGCTTTTTCAGGCTTTCAATAAGTGAGAGGAAAATGCCTTTGAATAGAGGAGGTTTGGACCAAAAGGTAGACTCTTTGAGATAATTTTGTTTGTGGAATGATGATATAATAAACCAGCTCTACAGAACACTTCCCCTGCTATACCCCAGGCCAAATCCCAGTCTCATTAGATTGATATATGTCCGGAGGCACATAAAAATGCATAGCAGTCTATATAAGGATATTGAAATCATCCCGTATATGAAACCCAAACCTATAACTCAGGAGGAAAAGAATGAAGTCAAAGTGGAGACTGTGTACACAGCTGGCATCTGACCAACTCCGCAGCTCTGCAAGCCAGTGTTTTCCGTTATCACAGCATTTCATTCCCAGGACCCAGGTGAGAGGCTGTCACTGGGCACTCATGTTGTATGGCCATAGCCAGTCATCTCTGTGATGCCTGGACAAAGGGAAGAGGTATTTGGGTAAGAGTCTGCAACTTCTGAGGCCCCTGGTCCAGGCTATACAGGGGAGGGAGATAATGTAGTATTGAGTTGGTATCTCTCACAGACCTTAAGTGATGCCGTATTTACACTCTGTAGGGGAGGAGGGTACAATCTCAAATCCTAATGAGCTCTGGAACTAGATTATTTCCTATCCAGTTAATACCAGCTTAGCTGCAAAACATTTATTTGTTATTTTGAACATGGGGGACTTTACAGAGTCCACAGAGGCAAGGGTCCAGGCAGGCCATCTTCACACATGACCTACCTTAGAGCGAAGGCACTAATCACAGCACAGGGAAAGGGGCAGAGGGCACAGGTGTGTCAGACCATGTGAATGTGGCTTTTCTGTATATTAAACACATTGAGCCCAGGTGCAGTGGCTCACACCTTTAATCCCAGTGCTTTGGAAGGCTGAGATGGGAGGATGGCTTGAGACCAGGAGTTTGAGACCAGCCTGGGCAACATACTGAGACCCTATCTCTACAAAAAATAAAAATTAGCTGACATGGTTGTGGTTCTTGTAGTCCCAGCTACTCAGGAGACTGAGGTGAGAGGATTACTTGAGCCCAGGAGTTTGGAGTTCAAAGTTACAGTGAGCTATGACCACGACACTGTTCTCTAGCCAGTCTGGGTGACAGAGAGAGACCCTGTCTCCTAAACAAAAAACAACAACAACAACAACAAATTGAATCTGAGCCAAGAAAGAACCCCGAGGCCTCCCAGGGCTGCCAAGACAAGCAGTCCAAGCTTCTATCTGAGGGGATAAAGGCACCTCCTCATTCCTATCCAAAACTTCCTTAGAGGTCTGGAAACACTTTTCCCATGGTCTTCCTCTGTGTTTCCACAGTACCCTACACAAGTGTCTACCATAATATGTCTTATGCTGTGTCATCATTGTTCCCATGGCTCTGTCTCCTCTACCATAGTAATGTCATGGTAGCTAGAGCAGCTTTATCTCCAGCACCTCACAGAGTGGCTGGCATTTCAATGGGGCTCTTAAAATGCTTTTCAGAAAGATGCAATGGCTTGCTAAATGGCTGGATGACTTGATGGATGGGTTGGTGGATGGGTGAGTAGGTGGATGGATGGGTGGGTGAATGGGTGGATGGATAAATGGATGGATGGGTGAATGGGTGGGTGGGTAGGTGGATGGATGGGTGGGTGAATGGGTGGATGGATAAATGGATGGATGGGTAGGTGGATGAGTGGGTGAATGGGTGGATGGATAAATGGATGGGTGGGTGAATGGGTGGGTGGGTAGGTGGATGGATAGGTTGGTGAATGGGTGGACGGATGAATGGATGGATGGGTAGGTGGATGAGTGGGTGAATGGGTGGATGGATAAATGGATGGGTGGGTGAATGGGTGGGTGGGTAGGTGGATGGATAGGTTGGTGAATGGGTGGACGGATGAATGGATGGATGGGTAGGTGGATGAGTGGGTGAATGGGTAGATGGATAAATAGATGGGTGGGTGAATGGGTGGGTGGGTAGGTGGATGGATGGGTGGGTGGATGGGTGGGTGGGTAGGTGGATGGGTGAGTGAATGGGTGGGTGGGTAGGTGGATGGATGGGTGGGTGAATGGGTGGATGGATAAATGGATGGGTGGGTGAATGGGTGGGTGGCTAGGTGGATGGATGGGTGGGTGGATGGGTGGGTGGGTAGGTGGATGGATGGGTGGGTGGATGGGTGGGTGGGTAGGTGGATGGATGGGTGGGTGGATGGGTGGGTGGGTGGGTGGGTAGCTGGATAGATGGGTGGGTGGATGGACTAATGAACAGAGGCATTATTTCCTTCTTCTAATTTCTGTAGCTTCTACTCCTGGAAGTAGAAATATTATCAGAAATTCTGTTTTCTAAATATTTTTGGACACAAAAAAGCAGGAATTCATAAACCAGGATGTTTCTCTGAAAGTCCATGGTGAGTTTGCACATCTAAAGGGGTTCGATAGTTCAGAAAAGGCTCCAAACTTTGGGTGCCCAATGTGAAGGACATCCACCCAGGTTCAACTACAGCTTACTCACAGATACCCAAAGTCAGCTTTGATTCTCCTCAAATTCCTGCACGTTTTGCTGATGCTGGGAAGATTTTAGGAGAACTTTTGTTTCTTTTTTTTCTAATCATACTAGGAAGTACTGATTTACCCTCATAGGAACTTGGCAATACTCCAACTGCACCCATTCCTGTAGATCTACAAAGTGCAGAAGACAGAGCGAGAATAAGGATGAGAAGAAAAACATAAAGGGCGGGGGGAGGAAATGGCAACAACAACAACAAAAATAATGTTAAACAGGAGGGCTGCCTTCTGTCCCTCTGGCTCAGAAATCACTCAAGATCTTGGTCCATTTCGGAGTTGTTCAGAACGGATAACTGTGTGCACACTCCAGAAAAGGACTTCCAAAGCCACAAGGTAGTGAATGCAGTGTTTTAGCTTCTGATGTGATGAATGCACATGCTAAAATTACCTTGATCTCCATTACCCAGCGGAGAGATGTCAAAAGAGTAAGGCATCAGGAATGAGTCCGCCCCCGTGGCTTAAAAGCTTGCCTGTCAATCTACACTAAACAAACCCTGCCTTGCCACAGACAGAGGAAAAGCTTTACCCCTTGAGGTGCAGCCATTGGCTGGGTCAATTTCCTTTCCATCAACTTTAAATGCCCAGCGGCCTGGAACATTGACGTTTGTGGTCTCCTGGATATTCACGATCTCGGGGGTTCTTGACCCCGGGAGGCTGAAGAAATTGGTGAGGTTTCCACCATTAAATCCTGCCTGCAGCACAAAAGGAAGACAAGATTTTTGAGTACAAAAATTCCCCATGGGTTAACTGGCCCAACTACCTTATTTTTAAAATCCAGCACCTCTAAAATCAAGAGCCGTCTTTTCCTGGAGTCACTGGGGCCAGCATTCTAGGTGAGAAAGGACTGCCTAGTTCATTTCATAGCCGAGTCAGGGTGCCAAACATGGGCAGGACTAGCCTCGTAGTCCACCTGCGAGATCAGACCTGCGTCTCTAGTTAAAAGCTGGTGGCAGGATTCCCTCCAGGATGCTGAGCCACAGAAGCAGAGAGTGCAGCGACGGAAACACGCGGGGGATGAAGTGGAGAGCCACCTACCTGTGCCATCACTCCACCAAGACCTGTCAGGGGGTCGCCGCCACTCGCCGTCCCCGTGGTCCAGTTGATTTCGTAATAATTGAAGAGGGTGAATGTATAGGAGCCATCGGACACTAGGACGGCCTGGAAGGTGTTCACCTACAGGATGGGAATGCGCAGTCTCATGACTTGCACTCCCCAGGAGGTCCTGGCCCCAAGGAGGTCCTCCCTTCACCCTGCGCCCTCCCCACCCACAGGCAGCTCAGAGCTGCTCTGCAGCCAGGCCCTCCAGCTCTGACTCCTCTCTGAATTTGTTCTCGCCTCCGTTGGGAAAAGCAAGACATGTGGGACTGTGCTTCTAAAAGAGAAATTGCCTGAGATAAACCCAGAGTCTGACTCAGCGCCCACTTATATCTCTGACTTCTACCAGACAGAAAATTCAGAGGCCCGGCTAAGCGTGTGATAATATGAAAGCACCTATAGATGGCAGCATGAGAATAAACTACAGGAAAGACTCGGCCGGGGACCAGGATGCAACCACCGGTTCCCCTTGCAGAGCGGGTTGGAAGAGGGAGCAGATACCAGTCCGTGTGATTAAAGTGGCCATGCGGATTGCGCTCTCTCTCTTCCCGGAAAACAACATTAATCTTGATGAGATGTCTCCCCTTTTAAAAATGGAAGTGGGAAAGTGATTTTTAAAAAGCACTTTCTGGGGAGAAGTTACTCCTCTAATTGAGCATTTGTGCATCACTTTATTTCTGAAAATCGTTAACATTCATCTGTACCCCAGACCAACGCTAAGACGGGTGATCGTATTGGCCCACGCCTATCTTATAGTTAAGAAAACTAGGGACTGCGGGAAATGAGTTACTAGAAATTTCACAGTGACCCAGCAACAGAAAACGAGATTTGCGCCAGAGTTCCCAGTCCATCTCTCAGAGCACTGCCATTCCATGCTGTCTTCATTTTAAACTTTTTAGGATAGAGATGTTGCTTAAATTCATATGAAACTTGTAAATGGTTTTCAGAAATAAGCTGTAGCAAACCCTGTCCTTTATATTTTCCTCTTGCTAATCCTCACCCCTTGTCACATGTTTTCAAAAAATTTAATAGAAATAGAGTTAAAAGGAGAGGCTGCATTGACCTTTTTCTATTCAAACCTAGCACTTTTCCCAGCTGCCTGACACTCTGTCTGATGCAGAGGAAGACACAAATCCTTATCCTGTGTAATCAAACTGGGGTAGAGGATCTTGGAAGCCCCAAATCTCCCCATTCTAGATGATCCCAGAAAGGGAGGCAAGCTATGAGTAAGAACAGCCCTTTTTGTAAAGAACTTTTCTTCCCATGCTCTGTGCTGGCCACGGCTGATGGCGTTTGTGATAGACTTGCTCAGGTAAACGCCTTCAGTCTCT